>NC_000003.12:123099513-123402543 GCF_000001405.40 Homo sapiens | reverse complement strand
CCAACCTGGTCCTATGAGCTGCTCTTCCTTGGATGGAGAGATTCAAAAGAAGCCGGTGCTTGCCTTCCTGGGCCCCCTTGGCTTCCAGCATCCTGCCGGCATTGTCAACACATGGCCACCAGTCACCATCAATCCAGTGCTGTCAGGCAGCCAGATTTGATCCCAAGAATAGTAACTCTGGGTTGGAGCCATGCTCTGCAGCCCCGGCATTCCACCTCTGGGTCTGCTCCAGGCAGTATGTTTGGAGAGTCGAGGGTTTTCCTCCTTGCCATCAACCTTAAAAGGTCCTGCTTGTGGTCTAGGCATCTCTCACGTGCCCTGATAACCGACTGTGGTTCTGCCTTCTCTTTAACATGTTGGAACCCTCCCTAAGCCTCTTGTGTTCTCAGCCTATCTCAGCTCATAGAGAGACGAGGGCCATGGGTCCCCATCCAGCTCAGAACACACTTCCCTTTTGTGTCCTAATCACACTACCTTTAAGCTCTCAGGGGTGCCCAGCACTGGTCTTGGAGGAACTGGTGGATAAGCTTCTCTTCATAGCCCTTGTCCATGTGACCCTGTCCTCTGGATTTGCTCCAGCCTGTCGAGGCTGTATCTGAGGTATGACCTGTGCACCGGGTCTTTGACTGTGGATTCTGCAGGGACAGGCACCGTGGAGTCATCTAGGGGGACATCTGAGTCTTTCGGTATATTTCTAAGACCCTTTCTGAGACAGGCCGGGTTTTTAGGTAGGTTCGGTAAGAGCTACCTGCCACACTACCTCTCCTCACTACCTCTGAGCAGAGGTCTCAGAGAACAGCCAAAAGGGACTGGAAAGTTTGGGGAAAAGTTCCTGCCATGAAGAATGCTGACCAGGGAGGGAGATTAGGACTCAGGAGGGATCCCAGCTTCTCTTCCCTACCCCCCAGAAATGCTGCCTTGACCTTTCCACCACTTGTTCCAACAAAATCTTATGTAGGTGCCCCTGGGCAAAGCTGTTAGTAGCCATTGAGGGTGATGTCTCTCCCTTCCCTGCTTAGCTCCTCTACCTGACTCCAGCCACTATGTGGGCTCCAAGGATGGTCAGACAGATGCTTGTTTTTCATCCTAAGTGCGAATAGCCACAAAAATGGCCCTTCCCTCTCATTTTTTAAAGTAGAGGGATGGGATGGTAGGAATGGCCATTCCCCATCTGGATGGGGCTCTGCTGGTCCCTGGTTCCCCAGCCCTCAGGTGCTTGTCATTTCCCTGAGCCCCCAGAGCTGAGCCTGGGCTTAGTGTGCAACCTCATTTACCACCTGTCTGACCTACCCGGACATGTTAGAGCCATGCGTGCTCTTGGGGACCTTCAAATCCAGGATCTTTGCTATGTAAGTTTTTCAAAATTATTTATGCATATTGGGAAACTGAGAAAAGAAGAAAAAACAAACACCTCTAGTCCCGTCACTCTAAATAGCCACTATTAGCGTTACAATGAATTATCTTCTAGCTTTTTGTGGACATACATGTGTGTCCCCACAGGAGTGCAGTGTTCCTTTTTCTTTTTAAAATTTAACTGCTTTCATACCGTATCAGCTCTTTATTTATTTATTTATTTATTTTTATTTTTATTTCTTTTTTTTTGAGACGGAGTTTTGTTCTTGTCCAGGCTGGAGTGCAGTGGCGTGATCTCGGCTCAGTGCAACCTCCACCTCCCAGGTTCAAGCGATTCTCCTGCCTCAGCCTCCTGAGTAGCTGGGATTACAGGCGCATGCCACCACACCTGGCTAATTTTGTATTTTTAGTAGAGATGGGGTTTCACCATATTGGTCAGGCTGGTCTCGAACCCCTGACCTCATGATCCGCCTGCCTTGGCCTCCCAAAGTGCTGGGATTACAGGCGTGAGCCACCGTGCCTGGCCCATATCAGCTTTTTAATATCCTGCCTCTTTCACGTGGCCAAATGCATGTTTTCTACAGATACTGCATTATTTTAAATAACTGCATAATATTTCATTAAAGGGATTTACCATATCACAGTTTACCCATTCTCCTATTATTAGACTTTAGCTCATTTCCAGTTTGTTAGTGTTATAAACAGTGCTGAGATGAAGGTCTTTGCACATAAGGCTTTTTCCTTTTTAAGGATTATTTCCTTAGGATTCTCAGAAGCAGAATTAGTGGGTCAAAGAGTTTCTGAGGCTCTTGACACATATTGCCAAATTGCTGTACAAAAGGATTGAGCTGGTTCACATTCCCACTAGAAGGGCAAGCGGTGCTGGTCTAGCTGCGTCTTGAAGCATCCGGCTGCTTGTAGCACAGATGAGGAAACCAAAGCCCAGGATGTAAAAGCAGTGATCCAAGGGCATGCAGTTACTTGGGAGCAGAGGTGATTCTGGACCCCAGACCCACAGATTCTGTTTTAGACCTCTTAACTCTCCTCACTAGCTGCTCCTATCTTAGTAACACTTCCCTTTTTATCAGCAGTGTCCCAGTCCCTCCTATTGCAGAGACAATTCTTGATGGGGCAAGAGAACATGTAACTGCTGCGTCTGAACCCATGTTCATTGTGCTTACTGCATGCGTGGAATGGAAAGTGGCCAGGGGTCCAGGGGTTGAACTTTAGTTGTGCAGCTGCCTTTGTACACAGCCCTTAACCCCTGGCCTTCTGTTTCCTTACCTGTTGACTTGGGGATATTAATTCCCGACTTGCATGTTCCACAGGGTCGTTACATGAACTGACTCATGCAAAAAGCACACCCATACTGTAAGCAGTACAAATGAAATGTGCTGTTATGATTATGGTTATTCCTGAAGCGTTCCTGGGATGAAAGATTCAGCATTAGGGCACTAAAGGTCTAAGTCAATTAACTAACTGGTAATACCAGTTTGTTCCAGAAATAATTGGAGGTATCTATCGAAGAAGCAGACATCAAGGTTAAAGAAAACTAAACTGAGAAAAGTGATGCTGTACAATAATATGCATATAGTTAACAATAATGTACTCTCCACTTCAAAATGTGTTAAGAGGGTAGATTTTACGTTATGTGTTTTTTACCACAGTAAAAAAAAAATAAGCCTAAGAAAACAAAGCAGTATGGAGAGGGAAAAGAAAGTAAGAACTAGGGACAATTCAGATGGGACGCTCATTACACCCTTCGGTGGGTAGAGACCATTTTAACATAAAATAGATGACCATGGTCCAATAGAAACATAATGTGAGCTATATGTGTAATTTAATATTTTTCCATAGCTGTATTTTTTAAAAAGGGAAAAGAAACAGGTAAACTGAGTTTTAGGCATACACTTTATTTAACCCAGCATATCCAAATATTATCATTTTAACAGGTAACCAATATGAAAAATACGTGTGGGTGACTTTACATCTTTTGTTCACATCAAGTCTTTGGAATCTGGTATCTATGGAACATTCCAGCATTGCAGAGAGCTCCACTGGGCAGCACTGCTCTAGACTTTGGCCCTCCAGCTTGCCTTGGAACCCTTAGAGAAGCCAGTGCGGGGCTGAAGCTTGGGGAGGGTATGGAGAGAGCTCCCCCAGTCCTGCCCCTGGGAGATTCTAAGGGGATAGCTGGATGGCCGGCCCTATGGGAGCTCCCAGTCCAACAGGGGATTCTCGAGGCCTAATGAAGGAGAAAGCTCTCCCATTGATGAGCTTGCAGTGAAATTTGGAACCCACAGGCAGAAAGATGATCCTTTACAGTTTTACTCATTTGCACCTAACACCATGGTAGGTACAAATAGTTATAGTGACAGACTGCAGTGTGGCTCGCTAAAGGAGGTGGATATGACCCAGAAGACAAGGACATCACAGGAGGGGGTTAATGGCATGGGCAAAGAAAACGGCAGGGACAGGAAAATTGGGACAGAAAGGAGATGTACGTGACTTGAATGGTGAGGACCTAGGGTTGAGGTTGGAGTGTGTGTGTAGGGGTAGAAATATTACAAACATTTAGATTTGATCTGATAAGCTGGGGCTGCTATTTTAGGCGCTTGAGCTGAAGAGTGATTGGATGAAAATGGTATTTGAAGATTATCCCTGTGGTAGTGGCCCTGCGTGCTGCATGGTTTGGAGGCGACAAGGGGCTGGGGTGCAGTGATCATAAATGGTCAGACATTATTCAGATCTGTCCTTGCAAAACGGCAGAGAACCAAGCCCCGTTCAGGATCCTGTGTTGTCTCAGTCCAGGAGACCCCAGGGCAGACTCCCTAGACCATGTGATGGCTGTGTGTGACCGGTTCGAGTTGGGGCACCCTCAGGTCCCTCCATCACTCTGCAGCCAAAGTGTGTGGGTCCCAGTAGAGGGGCAGGGGGAGCACTTGGTTTTGGCAGGGGGGAACTTTGTTAGAAATCACGTGGGGGCCTCATTGCTGGCGAGACCTGACCTCCAGGTACTGGGAGAGCTGGTTGCCATGGCAGTGGGCACAGGTTGCCAATGCTGTGTGCAGGAGGGCAGCAGATGGTTGCTTTGGTGCTGCAGGGCTGAGGCAGTAGAGTAACCCAGACAAAGGGGTGCCTGAACCCCAAGACACCCGCGAGCAGCTTTGTCAGTGCCTTGCAGTCAGGTAGACTTTTCAACAGGAGGGTTAACCCTTAAATTTCCCTTCTTGCTCTTCTCTTGGTCCTCTCTTTACTCTCCCAGCAGCCTCTGTGCTGTGTCTACACCCACACAGTCCCCTTCACTGTCTGTTTTCACCCTATTAGTTCCTCATCTGTCCAGCCAGGGTTTGAGCCAGGGATAGAGTTACAAAAGCCCCCTTTTCCTCAGTCCCCTTCCTTAACCTCCTCCCCTCTGATTTGAAAAAGTCCATTTGACTTTAGATCAGAGGAAGAAGTAGTTGAGAATAGCAAAGAAGATCTTCCCTGCAGAACAGAAGAAGGGATTTAAACCAGACACTAGGAAGAACTTCCAGACATGAGCTTTGAAAATTTTGAGAGAATCTCTCTCTGTCACTCAGGCTGGAGTGCAGTGGTGTGATCACAGCTCACTGTAACCCTGAACTCCTGGGCTCAAGCCATCCTCTTGCCTCAGCCTCCTGAGTAGCTAGGACTACAGGTATACACCACCTTGCCTGGCTAATTTTAAAACTTTTTGTAGAGACAGAGTCTTGATTTTTTTGCCAAGGCTGGTCTCAAAGTCTGGAGCTCAAGGGATCCTTCCGCCTCGGCCTCCCAAAGTGTTGGGATCACAGGCGTGAGCCACTGCGCCTGGCCAGCCATGGTGATTAAGGGCTGGCATGGATGAGTCCATTCCTTTCCTTGGCAGTCTTTGAGCACAGGCAGGACTCCTGCTTGAAGTGGGGCAGAAGAGGGGCAAGTGATTCTGGATATTTCTATGCCTCCCCCTCTGCTGTGCTGCAGCGAGCAGTAAGGAAAAAGTCAGCTAGAGGAGGCACAGAGGCAAGTGCTGGCAGGGCCCCTTCCCTTCCACCTAGTTCCACCCATTCTTAGGAATGTCAGGACAGAGACAAATTTAGCTCTTCTGTTTATTGAGGGTTTGTGGAAGGAAAAATAATAGCATAAATCCTTATTGGGCCAGGGGAATTCCTTCTCGGCGGGACCTTTCTTCCTTTCCCAGTTCCGGGAGCTCACATTGTACAGAAGTTTCCCCAAAGTCATGGGAAGGGTGAGGCATGTGTGTGAAGTGCCCGCAGGCGTGCATGCCCCTGTGTGCTACAGAAAGCAGGGCCCGTGATCCACTGTGGTATGGATATGGGTTCTCTGTCTCTCTCTCTCTCTCTCTCTCTCGCCTGCCTGCCTGCCTGCCTGCCTGCCTGCCTGCCTGCCTTCCTTCCTTCCTTCCTTCCTTCCTTCCTTCCTTCCTTCCTTCCTTCCTTCCTCCCTCCCTTCTCTCTCCCTCCCTCCCTCTCTCTCTCTCTTTCTTTTGTTCTTATTTTCCGTCTTTCCCTCTCTCTCTCTTTCTGTCTCCTTCCCTCCCTCCCTCCCTTCTTCCTCCCTCCCTTCTCTCTTTTTTCTTCTCTTTTCTTTTCTTTTTCTTCCTTTCTTTCTCTTTTTCTTTCTTTCTTTCTTTCTTTTCTTTCTCTCTCTCTTTCTTTCTTTCTCTTATTTTCCCTCTTTCCCTCTCTCTCTTTCTTTCTTTCTTTGTCTCCTTCCCTCCCTTCCTTCCTTTCTCTTTCCCTCCCTCCCTCTCTCTCTCTTTCTCTTTCTTTTTCTCTCTTTCCCTCCCTTCCTTCCTTCTTCCTCCCTCCCTTCTCTCTCTTTTTCTTCTCTTTTCTTTTCCTTTCCTTTTTCATCTTTCTTTCTTTCTTATTTTCCCTCTTTCCCTCTCTCTCTTTCTCTCCTTCCTTCCCTCCCTCTCTCTTTTTCTCTTTCTTTGTTTCTTTTTCTTTCTTTCTCTTTCTTTTCTTCCTTCCTTCCTTCTTCCCTCCCTCCCTTCTTCTCTTTTCTTTTCTTCCCTTTTCTCTTCTTTTTTCCCTCTCTTGCCCTCTCTTTCTTTCTGTCTTCTTCCTTCCCTCCCTCCTTCCCTCCCTCCCTCTCCCTCCCACCCTCCCTCCCTCTCTCCCTCCCTCCCTCTCTCCCTCCCTCCCTCTCTCTTTCTCTCTTTCTTTCTTTCTGTTTCTTTCTTTCCTTCCTTTCT
Source organism: Homo sapiens (assembly GCF_000001405.40). Taxonomy (NCBI): domain Eukaryota; kingdom Metazoa; phylum Chordata; class Mammalia; order Primates; family Hominidae; genus Homo; species Homo sapiens. The sequence continues at coordinate 123,395,969 of NC_000003.12, read as the reverse complement.
TCCTTTCTTTCTCTCTGTCTCTCCTTCCTTCCTTCCTTCTCTCCACTCCTTTCTTTCTCTCTTTCTCTCTCTCTCTTTCTTTTTTTGAGACAGGATCTTCACTCTGTTTCCCAGTCTGGAGTGCAGGGGTGAAATCATGGCTCACTGCAACCTCGACTTCCTAGGCTCAAGTGGTCCTCCCACCTCAGCTTCCCAAGTAGCTGGGACTACAGGCACATGCCACCACACCCGGCAATTAAAAAAATTTTTTTTTTTGTAGAGACGGGGTCACACTATGTTGCCAAGGCTAGTCTTGAACTCCTGGACTCAAGCAATCCTCCCACCTCACCCTCCCAAAGTGCTGGGATTATGTAACACGTGAGCCACCATGCCTGGCTGACATGGGTTTTCAAATCCAGCAAAAGTTTATTGAAGGTCCACCAGGTGCTGAGACAGTGCTGTTCCTGTAGGGAACCAAATAGGAGTGTCTGTCTGCACGTAGCTTACAGAGCCAAGGAGGCGGTGTACAGGCAGCGCCATCCACTCAGTATGGAAAGGAGCCTGTGAGGCGGAGGAGGATTCAGCAGGCAGAGGGGGATTTTGATGGGGAGGGAAGTGGCAGGAGATATGAGGCAGGCTGAACAGGTGCTGTGAAGGAGGATGGGCATGTTTAGGGGAGAGGAGGTAGACTGGGGTTACAGCTTAGCTGTTTATTGGGAGATAAGCCATTGTGGAGCCACATGGAGACCAATTTGGGAGGCCTTGAAGGCCCTGGATTGCCCATTTATCAGATAGTTAGACCAGGGGACAAGGGACTGACATTCCCCTCTGGGTCTGGGCATTGGCCTGAAGGGGTCAGCCCTCTGAGTGGGGAGAGGTCTATGTCCTTGAGAGTTAGGGAGCCCTTCTGCACATCACACAAGGCCCACCAAAAGTGGGGACTGTCCAAAGGGTCATTTTCACTTAAAAAATGAAGGGTCTCAGTAACAACCTTCTCTTCAGAACCCTTGAGGAATGGGCCATTCTGTGTGGCCTGCTTTTCTGGATAATCAAAAATTCATGCCAGCATTTATTATTATAATTCTTCCTGATAGAAGTCTTCTGAAAGTACATGCTTTGTCCACTTCCTGAAGTAGTTGCTGATGCGACCTTTTCTGGGTGACTCAGGTCACCATTGCATTAGTTAATTATCATCCCCTGCCACAATACAAAGCAGGCCTCAGGAGGGTCAGAGGAGGTTTGCTCGTACCCTAGAGAGGTCCAACTGGGTGTTTTGATAACTTATGCTTACTTTAAGAACTCATTTTCTGTCTTGTTCCTCATTAATAAACTGTGCCTTACCACTTTTCAGTGTTATCACAGTGCCTGCCAAAGTGGCTCTGCCCCGCCCCCATCCTACCTTCCCTTCCAGTTTGCTATTTCTAAACTGCACGAGCTTAACAAGTATATTATTAGAATTTTTGGACACCAACAGTTATCAGGTACTTGTGACAATCTGAGATGATCACTTCTGGTTCAAGTCATGAATGTGAGTGTGGAGTCTAAGTGACAGCTACTTTGTCCCATCAGATGCCTTTTTGGCTATTTCCCCGCTCTCAGTTGTGCTATAGATGGATGAGGTGCTACCCTAGATATGCATTTTAAAAAAAATTCGTTCAAAAACAATGAGATCCCCAGAAGGAAACATAGAAACAATTGATTTGCTAAGGTGGTAGGAGTGGAGGCAATATCCTTTATTATTTCTGATTTGGATGAAAAGAAATGTTTTAAAATCAAATTGAGTTAAGAGAAGAGAGAAAATTATGTGTATCTCTTTAAAGTTAGAAAAACAAATTTAAAATGTCACTAACTTTTTTTTTTTGAGATAGAGTCTCACTCTGTTGCCTAGGCAGGAGTGTAGTGGCACGATCTTGGCTCACTGCAACCTCCACCTTATGGGTTGAAGTGATCCTCCTGCCTCAGCTTGGGATTACAGGTGCCCATCACCACGCCTGGCTAATTTTGTGTGTGTGTATTTTTAGTAGAGACAGGGTTTCACCATGTTGGCCAGCCTGGTCTCGAACTCCTGACCTCAAATGATCTGCCCTTAGCCTCCCAAAGTGCTGGGATTACAGGTGTGAACCACCGCGCCCAGCCGCTATCTTAAAAGCTGTTGTTGTTGTGCATAGTTCCTGAAGGGTCCTCAGCAGCCGGGGCGGGAGGGAGGGAGGGGAAGCCAGCCCAGGGCCCAGGGATGTCAGGGAGGCAGGGTGCAGGGGAGTCTGGTCTGCAGGAAGGCCTGAGTTCATAACAAGGATGACCTCCATGTAGTAAGCACCTGCCGGGCCATATGGGCACTTTGCACATGTTATCTCTTTCGCATGTGACGCTGTCCCTCACACCCTCATTTTATTTTATTTTATTTTATTTTATTTTATTTTATTTTAATTTTTTAGAAACAGGGTCTCACTCTGTTGCCCAGGCTGGAGTGCAGTGGCACAGTCATAGCTTACTGTGGCCTCAAACTCCTGGGCTCAAGTGATCCTGTTGGTTCAGCCTCCCTGGTAACTAAGGCTACAGGCATTACCCCACCCTGCCCACCTAATTTTTAGAATTTTTTTTTATGGAATCAGAGTCTTGCTCTGTTGCTCAGGCTGGTTTTGAACTCCTGTCCTTGTGTAATCCTCCCACTTCTGCCTCCCAAAGTGCTGGGATTACAGGCAGGAGCCACTGCACCCGGCCAACACCCTCATTTTATTGATGAGGACACAGGGATTCCAAGAAGGTTTAATGAACCCAAGGCTGCAGAGTTCTGAGTGAGAGGGCTTGAACCAAGGCCTGCCTCACTCTCGACCCCGGGCTCTTTTGTATCACTGGGGGAAGACTGTTGGTACAGTGTGTGTCGGGGCAGCAGGTGGCAGGAACATGGGCCTCTGTGCCTGCCTCACCTGTTGCCTTGTTTGTGGTCTGATTACAGGGACTGAAATTCCCAGTCTTCCTAGCATGTGCCATTGTCTCAGCTCAGTGCATTTAGAGTCACTGGGGGTGGTAGAGACCCCCTTCTGATCATAAAGCCACAGACACCACTTGAACAATCTGGAAAGTTAAGAAAGTGGTGGCCTCCTGTGGATGCTGTATTCTCCTGCCACAAAAAAAAGTGACTGTCCTATGTGGGAGGATGAATAAGGGGCACCATTAGAGTCTTTAGTGAGGCCTGGAGGTATAGCGTGCAAGAGAGGGAGGTGGTGGTGGAGGGAGAGAGAGAGAGGGAGAGGGAGACAGAGAGGCAGAGACTGAGAAAGAGACAGAAAGTTGGAGAAAGAGAGACATGCAGAGAGAAAGAAAGATACAGAGAAGGGGAGTAACACTGTCTGCCTGGGGACCGAGGGCCTGGATTCAGACTCCAGCTTTGTCACCACTCATCGGCTGACTGGCCTTAGGCAAGCTTTGTGCCCTCTGGCCTTGGTCAGCTGACCTTTTGATGAGAGCTGGGGATGGTCTCTGTGCCTCTCTAAGTCTGCGGTTTATGATAACCCCGTGGATCACTGCCTAACCTGTGCTGCCTGCAGACCGAGCCCATCTAAGCCCTTCCTCAGACTTTCTGAACCCCAGGCAGGTTTGTAGCCTTCCAGGAGCTCCCAGAACTTACATCTTAAGTGTCTCTAGGGGAAGAAAAAAACTTGCTCACATTCATAGCCCTGTTTCTGTGATCATAAAGCCATAGACACCACTTGAACAATCTGGAAAGTTAAAAAAGTATAAAGGAGAAAGGATAAAATCCCCCTTAATTCTATCACATTTTGCTATTTCTTTCTAGAAATCATTTAAAACAAATTAGTATAACGGAGGCTATACTGTTGTGTAACTTGCTTCCCCCACTCCTGCCACAACAGTAGTGGATTTTTCTTAATTACATAAAGTAAATTAAGACAAATGCTTTAGATGTGAGGAGGAGGCGCTCGTCCAGAGCAGGCAGGCTTTCAGCAGCTGCTGACTCTGCCCCTACTGCCAGAGTCCCAGTGTGATGGGGGTGCTTTGAGGGCCCCAGGACACTCTGGTGGGACTGTGGGTACCCCTGGGACGGAGATGAAGTTGCTGGACAGACAAGCTGGGAGCTTGGTGGAGGAGAGCTGGTTGTAGATCCACCGGCCACCCCAGGCGAACTGTTAGCCGGTGGGACTATAGCATAAGGTCCTGTACCTGCAGGGCAGTCATTCAGATGTGGCCCACTTGTGAATGGCACCCCCTGGAGTTGTGCAAGTGGAGGTTAGACTAAAGTTGCAGGGCCTGCCTGTGTTACTACTCTGACCTAACAGGAACCCCAGGCCCTGGAAAAGCTAAGCCCATTGCTTGGGGTGAGGATGAGAATATTTTGGTAATATTTCTGTACTGTGGCATTTAGACCTTGGGAAGGGGTGATGGTGGAGGCTGGACTGGAACAAGGCAACTGGAGACAGCCCAGGCAGTGTCCTTGACTGGGTGTCCTCCTGGGAAGGACGTCTCCATTGGCCGCCCTCAGTCTTCAGCCCCAGGGTGTCTCCCTCCTTCTGGGTGGGAAGTCATAATAGTAATTTATAGCTTCTCTTTCCCAAGAGGTGATCTTTCACTCTGTTTTGTCCAAGCTGCACTTGCCGTCCCCTGCACAGCCCTCAAGGACATCTGGAAGTGTTTAGACAGTCTGTGGTCATCAGGCTGGAAAGGGGGGGTTTGGCCAGGTTTTGTGGCCTGAAAGCCTCAGGAGTGGCACGTGCTTTGAAATCCTCAGAATGTAGCTCCCTTTCCTTACCCCAGACCCACACACTTTTGCTTCCTTTCCCTTCCGTCTCCTCCCCTCCCACCCGCCTAGAGGTATCAGCATGCCCTGTATATCCTTAGAGCTTCCAGGAACCCCTGGTCAGTCTGTTTGGGCAGCTGGTCCTCATGTGCAGGTGTGCTGGGCGGCCCCCAAGCCCCTGGAGGGGCAGATGGGAAGTGTGCTGGCCTCTGCCCAAGGCTGGGTCAGCACGGTGTCCTTGTAGTGTTTGGCTTCTGGTTTTCCAAAGTCAGCTTTAGGCACCTTATTCCAGGGAAGAGGGAGGCCTTGAAATGTCCATCTCACATCCCACGTGTCTCTCTTTATAGCGTGCCAGTTGCAGGTTGACTGGCAATGTGAGAGCAGACCTCAGAGATGAACCCTCGGGGATGCAGACCTCAGCCTGCTGTCCTGAGTGGGCAAAGGTGAGAAGGAGCTGAGTCCATTCCCAGGATGGGACTGGGTGGCCTAGCCTCAGGCTGTGCTGCACCTGCAGCCTTGATGGCCCAGGATCACCATGGGATTATGAGGAAGGTTCTTCACTCACATCTGCCACGCCCCAGGGGAGGCCAAGCCCAGCCCTCTGTCTTTACTCCATGGTGTCTTTTAATCCCCCAAAGCAACTTTTTATCTTCCTTTGGGCCTCTGAAAAATCTAAGCATGTATCATCCTTCCTGCAGGGAAATGCACCTCTGTGGATGCAGAGAAAGCTCAAAACCATTTTAGGAGGATCTAGGCTCCCACAGGCCACCTGTTCACCTGGCAGCAGAGCTCCTGCCAAACAGGTCTCCCATGAGGAGGTGGCCCTCCATGGCTCATTCCACCAGAGGGCACAGGAGGGAAATGGGCTTGAAGACGCAGTGGAGGCATTCATTTAGGGTGAGCAAAAGATGGACACCAAACTGGGCAATCAAGGGGATTATAAAGGCTGCTTTGACATCCGGCCACTAGCACAGCATCCAGGTATGACCAGCTCCCTCTTCTTCCCCCATTTTTCCACAAGAAAAAGCCAGGCTTGGCTGTGAGCTGCATCTGCTGGGGAAGGGTCGTAGGGGACGGCCTCTCTCCTCTAGCTGATGGCCCAAAGTGTCTGTCCAGCTTCCTGGCCTGAGACTGAAACTGGCATCGTGATGGCTCAGGGATTGGCAGTCATCCTCACCCCCATCACCGGGAACACCTGCTCTGTCCTGGTGCACCCAGCCCTGTACAGGCCCTGTAGGAAGCCAGGCCCTTCCTACGGCTTTGCCCTCATTGTACCTCTCCTCTCTCCACTCTTGAGGAAGGCTAAGGGCTATTTGTAGCCCCCCATAGAGCTAAGCTCCCCAGCGAGCACTGCACCATTTGTTTTTTGTAGTTGCAGCTCAGAAGGCCTGCATGGACATCTGTGCACTGTCCGTTAAATTAGTTTTTGGTGGTATTCACTTCAGGCTGGAGTTTGTCCTATTCAGAGCCACGGACAGAGAAGCACTTAATTCTGGTAGAGTTGACTGACCCTGTGGTCAGCGAGGGGGAAAGTTATAGGTTTTTCTAACCTCAGGGTTAGTGTCCCTCTCATCTGCTTGTCACATGCCTCTCCACATGTGCCGCTCTGCTGGGGGCTTCACCAAGAGCAAGAAACAGATGTGGGCCTGTATGGAACCAGGAGTGGCCAGCATGGTGTGGAACGTGTGTGTGCGCATGTGTGTGTGCTCGCAGCAGGGGTGTGGGGGTGCTTAGCTCTCTTTTGCGAAAACTCTCCCTGTACAAATGGACCCTACTGGTATTGGGAAAAAGTGGTTTGAAGATTGAGGCAGGGAGAGTGGTCAGGACTACAAATCCTAGTCCAGAGGAAAGTCTCGAAGCTGCGTTCCTAACTCTTCTGAACCAGTTCCTCTCCTGGGCCAGACATTTTGGCAAGGATCTTCTGAGGAGATTTGCTGTTTTAGTCATATCCTCTTCTCCAGAGTGGCCGATCTGAGCCCTCACTGCTGTCCTCTCTGTAGCTCCCAGTCCTGTGTCTCCACCAAGCCCTCATGTTTTTGCAGATAAACTTCCTGCCTCATTGAGGACGTCATAAGCCTTCCCTCTCCATCTCAGCCGACGTCCTGCACCTCCTGGCTTCTCAGAGCAGCCCAGTTCCTTCTCCTGCCCAAGGCATTCCCTCCTTTGACCTGGCCTCCATTCTTTCCTTCTGGCCACCTTCCTCCCTCCTTCCTTCCATGACTCCTGGCCTCCCGCCCCGCCTCCTTCCCCAGGTCCCTCCTGTAGAGGCTAACTAGGGACACAGGTCCCCAGTATAGAAACACCTCCTTCACTCCCTGGCGTGCCTCCATCTCTCACGTCTCTCTCCTCCAACTCCCCACTGGCCCTCTTGACAGGATAGTTCTCAGCGTATGTGCCTCCCCAATCTCACAGAGGACCCTCATGGTGAAAGCAGCCCTTGCCGCTCATATTGGGGGCCCCTGGCTGCCACATGATGGGTCTCCTTCACCTGGCACTGCTTGCTCTGGCCCCACTCCCATTCTTGTCTTTCTTTGGCTGTTCCCACTCTGTCTGTTGTTTTGGCCTCCTCTTTTCTTTTCCTCCTCAAGCATTTGTTTTTCCCAGGGCTCCATCTTGGGCTCTTTTCTTCCAGCTCATTTTGTCCATCTCTGTGATTTTGTTAACCCTCCCCATATCTGTCCCTCTGGCCCAGCCTCTCCGGAGATGCACCTGCACATTTCCAGCTGCCTGTTAGTTATTGCTCCCTGGGGTACCTTAAACCCATCATGTGTACCCCTCACTCATCCACCCCACTGTCCTCACGGAGACCGGCTCCTCCACTGCCTCTCTTCTCTGTCTTATTTCCTGTCATTCTCCCTGTTGCCTGCTTAGAAACTGAAGTCATCCTTGACAACTCCCTCTCCTCGCCTCCCACTTTCAGTTGGTCATACAGTGCTGATGGGTTTGGCTCTGAAACGTCCCCTCCATTCCTCCAACCTCCGCGGCCCCTCCCAACCTGCCCTGGTTAGACCTTCATCATCTCTCATCTGGACCATTGCGCAGCCTTTTACTTAGCTCTGGGCCACCTTCCATACAGCTGTAATGCGACATTTCCAAAATTCAGGTCTGAGCACATCACTTCCTTGCCATTCTGGCCCAAAATACTGGCTTCCCCCCATCTTCCCTACACCCCTGAACAGCTGTTCTCTTCTGCCAAGCTTCTCTAGAATGCTTTCTGTCCCTCCAGTGTCTTGTCCCCCTTTGCTACTCATCTGCATTCCAGAACCCACCTCAAATATCACCTTCTCTGGGAAGCCTTCCTGGGTCACCTTCCAGCATTCAGGGATGGACTCTTTCCTTTCCTTTCTGGTGCTCCTGTGTGACCACACACCGTGACCAGCTGTTGTACTCTCCTGGTTTTATCTGTCTCCTCCTAGACTGGATGTGTCTCAAAACCCAAGATAGGCCTTATTTATTGCTGATGTTGCCAGTCCTAGCAGAGTGCCTGGCCTGCCATTGGGTTTAGTACATGTTTGCCTAATTAATGTTGTGTTGAAAGGAAATTCTTTTTTGCATCTGCAATAGGCCTTTTTAAGGGGGGTTACTATTTCCCTTGATTTGAATATCTCATGTTTGTCTATGACTGGGCTGGGCCGGGTCAGGATGAATGTCCTCCTAGGTAAGAGATGAGCTTCTCTGCGGCCTTGTAGATTTGTATTTTTTGTTGTTGTTGTTACTGTCACCTACTTTGCACTCTGTAGTTTACCCCCAGCCTCCTGCTGTGCTGATAAAATCCTGGGCAATTAATACCTACTCCCAAGTCAATGGATTTGGCTGGATTGATTTTTTTTCCCCTGGCTAGTTTCCCCAACCCTGGCATTTTCTATGAAAGTAGAAGAGGTCTCAGAGTCTAGGCTCATTTAAATAACAATGTAATAAATATCACATGGGCTCAAACATCACCAAGGAGGTAAATGTATTAAAAAGCATCGATGCATTTCAAAGCCTGATACCAATGATTTTCAGATTATTCTTGGAATAGCTCTCACAACCCACACACATGAATAATAAAATCTGTGTATACACATACATGTGTCTGTGTGTATCTACATCCTAATTCTGTGGGTTGTTATATTTGTACCATTGATTATAGGGACGCAGCCTTGAACCCGGTAATTTAATCAGTTTTTGTTGAATGAATGAAGTAGTGAAGAAATGAATGGACTGGAGCCTGAGGGAGTACCTGTTTCTCCTCTCCTTGAAGGTCCAGCACTTTCTTATGGATCCTAGTGTTTGCATGAGCTGTGCTGGGTCATGGCTCTGGCTGTCGTCTTTCTCTGTTTTGGAGTGGCCGGTTTCTGCTGGAGGTTCCCTTCCACGCTGACGGGCTTAAGACCTTGGGTCATTTGCATTATGATGAGAAGACCCAGCTGGGCTATATCTAGGAGAAGTTACAGGAAACGGGGTGGGGTCGGGGGCGCTGGCAGGCAGCGTGGGAAGAAAGTTTCTGCAGCCTGCAAAGTAAAAAAGACTGGTCAGGGGTGTTTCCTGGACGTCCTTGAAACTGCCCAAGGAGGGTGAGGTGCCCCTCCTTGGCTAACAGATTTGGGCCCATGGCTCAGGTAGCCTTGAGGGAGGGTCGGGGTATGGTGACCATATGATTTAGCAGCAAAACCAGGACTCTTTTGAGAGTGGAAGGAGAGAGGGTGCTGTTAATAATTTGTTCCAGACAATAGGCATAACGAGACTATGCTGAGCAAATTGAAACATGTCTCCTAAGTAGAAGATGGGCCAGTTCTGGGGGCACCCCAGTTCCTTCCAGAGAGCACATATGGGTGGGGAGTGGCAGCATGAAGGACAGTGTTCTGAGAAGCCAAGAGATGGCCAGGGTGGAAGATAGGATCCCTGGAGCCACTGGTATGCCGTGGGGTCTCTCTCACTGGGCCTCGGGGCTCCTGGTTGACGTTAAGGATGGTGGCCTCTGCCGAGGATGAGGGGAGCCAGGGCTCAGTGCCTGGGCCCCAGGAGGAGAAAAGTGTCAAGGCTGAGTCACCCAGCTTGGCAGCTGGCCCTGTGCCCTCCTGTCCACCTAAAGCTGAGCTGCTTCGGGCTCATTCATGCCTTTGAGCCTTTCCTGACCTCCTCCTGGCCTGGAGTTCTGAGGAGAGCTGCATCTTCTGGAAGCCTTTCCATGGGCCTGCTTGGGCTCTCACGCTCTGCCTCTTTGACGGTCCTGTGGCGCTGTCACTTAGGCTTTGACCTCAGGTCAGTGTCAGAACCTTTCTGAGCCTCAGTGTCTTCATCAATAAGATAGGGATAAGAGCACCTACCCTGGAGAGCCGTCTTGGGATTAGATACAGGGTGATGGTGGTGACGATGATTCTCAGCCTGTCCACGAAAGAAGTCTTTTTTGTAGACTATAGAGAGAGGTAAGAAAAACGAAAAATGGGAGAATTATCCTGATAGCTAGTATCTACTTTAACTCTGCAGCTCTTGATTACAGATATTATTCTCCATTTTACAGATGAGAAACTGAAGCACAGAGAGGTTAAGTAACTTGTCCAAGATCACACAGCCAGTAAGTGTTATAGTGGCATTTGGACTCCAGCTTTTCTAGCTAACTTGCGGCTGGATGGGTCCCCATGCAGGAGTTCTGGGAGCTGGAGGGGCAGGGGTAGGCATTCAGAACTTTGGTGGGTTTCCTCTCCCACCCTGTACACACCCCTGTCTCACCATCTAGGTCTCCAGAATGTAGAGGAGTCATGATTTTAGGCACCAAGACTATGTGTCTGGCTGGGGCTAAGTGAGGCTTATTTATAAAAGGTTTTAATAAAATAAGCACTTTGGCTCTATTAACGTTCCCTCCCTCTCCTTTCTCCATCCCCTCTACTTGCCCTGCTCCCACATACTCACAGCCACACACAGACTACAGCACTGGTCGTGCGTGCGTGTGTGTGTGTGTGTGCGTGTGTGTCTGCAGTGGACATTTTTTGCCCCTAGAAGGATGTGTACCGGCTTTCCCCTGCAGTGTGAATGTGTGGTTCTGGCTCCAGGGTGGCCTCTGCAGGAAGGGCAGCTTGCTTAGATAGAGCCATCCAGAGCTGTGCTTCTGCCTGGTTCTGGAGTTTCTTGCTTGTTTATTTACTTACCGGGGGTGGGCTGGGGTGCCGGCTGTAAGGAGAGGGGGGCCTGCGTTCAGATTGTTCAGAGCCATCTGCTGTTTGCGGTAACTTGCCAGGCAGAGCTGCTGGGTGGCTGGCTTTGCAGTGTTCCCTGTAAATATTATGACTTTGAGGACCAGGGTGGGGTCCCAGGGACTTCAAGGAGACTGAAGGGCTGGTCCTCCTTTGTGCCTGCACCCTCTGACAGTCCTGTTGTCCCCCTTCCTCTCCCGGGCCGAGGGGTCCTAGGACAAAGGTTGGCTCCAGGAATAACAAGGAAATCAGAGTGGTACTAGTGGCCTCTTCATGCTTCCCAAGTTAGAAAACTTGGGATTCAGAGACTGTCTGCAGAGCTGCACTTCAGAGTGGGAAGGTGGGAAAGAAGAGGTGCCCTGGAGCTTGAGGCTAGTTCCCTTGGCTTTACTGGGGAGGGGGCAACACAGGAATAATCTGTGGGCGTAGTGAAATTTAGATGGTCCAGCAGTCCCCTGGAGCTTGGTTCTGGGGTCAGAGGAAGGGCAGTGTCTGTGGACACACCTGGCTTTGAGTCCTAGTTCCGGCCCTTGTGACCTGGGCAAGAGCCCGAGGTAATGTATATAAAGGGCATAGCAAGGAGTGGCGAAAATACCAGCAGGGCTTCGCTTCTGGGGCCATGGAGCCAACTTGCTGTCTGCGGGTGGCTGCACTCGCCCTGACCCAGGGCGACTCAGTCATTGTGCCAGAGGAGCCTCTGTAGCTCCATGTTTTTGGTTCCCCTGGGTTGGAAGATTCACCCTCAAGTCTAACCCAAGTCCTTGATAATATGTACTGTCCAGCCAACCTGTTCTGTTGTCAGAGGGGACAGCAGGTCCCACCTGTACTTGTGAGCTAAAGGCTGTTTATTTTTAAATCTCCCTCAGGGTCTTTTCTTGGGGCCTAGTGACATCAGGCCCTCTGACTCAGGAATCTTAAGGGTCACATGGTAATAACATTTGGGAGTTTCTTATTGGGTTCACAACTGCAGGGACTAAGGAGCAGTCATTACTGTCCCGGGAGCATGGACAGACTCCCTTACCCTCTGCAGGGCAGAAAAGATCATTTACAAGGCCACCCTTGAGGAAGGGTGGGTGTGTGTTTGTGTGTGTGTGTGCGCGCGCGCACGTGCCTTGCAGAAGGGTGTGTGTGTGTGTGTGCATGCCTTGAGGAAGGGTGTGTGTGTGCACCTTGAGGAAGAGTGTGTGTGTGTTTGTGTGTGTGTGTGCGTGCCTTGAGGAAGTGTGTGTGTGTGCACGTGCACCTTGAGGAAGGGTGTGTGTGCGTGTATGTGTGTGTGTGTGCCTGCCTGCATGTGTGGATGTGGATATGGGCTTGTGTACATTTTCCTTTCCCTCTGGGTTGCCCAGTAGTTTAAACCCCCTAGCTGAGATGTGCAGGGGGCTCTGCACAGGGAGCCGTCGCTGTTGCTGCTGTGGAGATGAGCCTAAAATTAGCCCCGTGGGCGGGCACTTTGCCATCTGGCATTCCTCTCCCTAAAGAGCTTGTCCATCTCCAGTAAGGTGGGAGCCTGGAATACCAGGGCAGCCCCTATCTACCTCACCGTGGCATTGAGGCTGAGCTGTGAGCATCTTCACATTTTCCCAGGCGATCAGAAGAATCTTACCCCTCCCCGCTAAGCCTTGACAGTTGCCACATAAAGCCATGAGTGGAGAGAGTGGGCCTTCGCGCTTGCCTCAAGTGCACGGCCACAGGGACGTACTTCACATTCCCGAGGAGGCGAGGAGGGCAGCTGTGGGCCTGGCTGCAGAGGGAATGATGCCTCCTCCCTCCCTTTCTGACACACACTATGGCTACTGACTTGGCTTCCCTGGAATTTCTAGTCCTGGGAGCAGGGCTCAGATTTCCAAAATGCGACTCCTCCCTACGGCCTGGGCTGCATTCCTGTTTACGTGTGTGTCCCTGTCTACCCACTCACCCCTACCAGGACGGGGCTGGGACTTGGCCATTGGTTGTGCGTGGTGGTCAGGGGTCACCTGTTAGCAAGGCTCGGGGCCCTGGGGTGGCCATGGGGTGGGGGTGGGGGAGGCTGAGGATGGCTGGTGGGAGATATGGGCCTGGAAGGAGTGCAGGGCCCAGAGTGGATTTCATGTTAAATTGAATCTTCCACCTATGCTGTTTTATTTTTCTTTATTTTGTCATAAAATGCATATGACATAAAATTTATCTTGTAACCGTTTTTAAGTGTGCCAGTCAGACATTACGTACATTCACCATGGTGGGCAGCCACTACCAGAATCCATTTCCAGAACTTTTTCATCATTCCAAACAGAAACTCTACCCATTAAACACCAACTCCATTCCTTCCTCCCCCCAGCCTTTGGTCATCTCTAATCTACTTTCTGTCTCTATGATTTTGACTAGTCCGGGTACTTCCCACAATATTTGTCCTTTTGTGTCTGGCTTATTTCACTTAGCATAATGTTTTTGAGGCTTATCCCTGTTGTAGCATGTGTCAGCATCTCATTCCTATTGAAGGTTGAATAATGTTCCATTGTGTATAGATAGCATATTTTATCTATTCATTCATCTGACATGGATACCTTGGTAGTTTCCATCTTTTGGCTGTTGTGAATAGTGCTGCTGGGAGCATGCGTGTAAAAATATCTGTTTGAGCCCCTGCTCTCAATTATTTGGGGTATATAATTCAGAAGTGGACTTTCTGAATCCTATGGTAATCTTATTTTTCATTTTTTGAGAAACCACCATACTGTTTTCCACAGGGGCTGCACCATTTTTTATTCCCACCAGCAATGCCTGGAGGTTCTGATTTCTCCATTCTCACCAACACTTCATACTTTTTTAAAAGGCTGGATGAAGTGTTGTCCTTTATAGATGAGATGATGTTAGAGGACTTTTCTGGCATTAAAAGGATATCTGGTCCTTTGCTTGGGGATGGATATCTGGCTTAAGAGTGTCCCATGCAGAAGCAACAGCCAGATCAAAGGCCCTGGGGTGGGAATGTGCCTGCCGCCTATTCAGAAGAACAAGAAGGCCAGTATGGCTGGAGCAGAGGGACAACAGGGGGGCCCCAGGAGATGAGGTCAGCGAGGTAAGGGAGGGAGGTAGACCGCGAAGGGCCTTGCCCACCACCAGCTGGACTTGGGCCTTTCTTCTCCCTTGAGTGAGAAGGGAGCTATTGCAGGGTTTAAGCAGAGGGGTGATGTGATTCTGACTCACATTTTTAAGGATCCTCTGGTTGCTTTGTTGAAAAGAGAGTACAGGCCCAAGGGTAGAAGCCAGAGAGCAGTCAGGTGCCCAGGTGAGAGCTGACGCTGAGGAAAGGTCTGAGATGTGCAGCCTGGATCTAGTGCTGGCAGTGGCTCTCAGGAGCGATGGAAGCCAGCGGGAGATGTGTGGATAAGCATGCTAAACCGGCAACATGATTTGTGGGACCCTATGCAAAATGAAAATATGGGACCCCTTGTACAAAAAGTACTGAGAATTTTAAGACAGAAACAACAGAGTATTAAACTCAGTGTGGAGCCCTGTGCAGCTGCACAGATCACACATGCATGAAGCTGGCCCTGTGGCTAAACCATCCAGCTTCTCCCAGACCAATGAGCAGGGCTGGGATTTGGAGATACTCACTGTCAATGTCGTGCAAGTGTAGAGTTGGCACCTGCCATTGAGCCAATTCCCAGCCACGTCTTTGGGGAGAGGCTTCTGGGATTGGCTTTTGTGAGAAAGAGGTATAGTGATTTCTTCCCCTGAATGTGGCACAGGCCACAGGTAAAGACTTCCAGGAGAATGGAGATGAAGGCTTGTGGCTGAAGCAGATGCCAAGCTCCTGCCCTGACCCCTGGTGTACTGTGACGGAGACCTCTTGGCTCTGATAAAAGGGAAAAGTGAAAATCCTCGGCATTTACTAGAAGAGGGCAGAGCAAAGAGACTACTGCGCTCCAATAATAGAAGAGCTGAAACAGAGTATTAAATTCTTTTTTAAAGTGTGCTAGCACTTGGCACATATTATTGCCTATACTACTTCAACCACTCTATGGGGAAAGCTGTCACCACTGTTATCCCCATGATACATATGACAAAACTGAGGCTCAGACAGGTTAAGTAACTTGCCCAGAGTCACCGTATGAAGTGGAAGGGCTAGGAATGGGACCCAGGCTTGCTGTCTCCTTAGCATGTGCTCCTGACCTGTCATTAACCCTGATAAGCGTCAGTTCCTATCCCCTCCCTCTCCTGGCAAGTATCTCTCAGGCCGGATCTCCCATCCTTACAGGCCCATCTGTGTCCATCCCTTTCTCAGCGGTAATGATGTTGATGACATGTTTATTGAGCACAGTTAGCACTTTACATATGATAGCTTATTTAAGTCTTACACTGACCCAGAGAGTGGGCCCCATTTCCCAGGAGAGGCAGCTGAGGCACAGACAGGTACTAGCCATGGGGAGAGGTAAAGCACCTTGAGGGGACCTTGACATTTGCATTTCTCATGGGGAAGGACAGGATCTGAGGAAGGTCAGTGGAGGTGGCCTAGGCTCTGGCTTTTGTGGTGTGTGCTTGCCTGCCCTGATTTTAGGAGGGTGGCCCTGCCGGGCATCCTGACTTCAGAAGAGGAAGCCAACAGTGCCTTGTGTTTAGAGGGCTAAGGCAGTGGGCAGTTTTGTAGGACATCGTTTAGGTCATCTGGGCTTACAGGCCTCTTCTCTCTGCATCTCCCCTTGGGAAGCCCAGGATCTAAAAGCCTCCAAACGCCAGCTACTCAGGGCTTGGTTGTGGGGGATGGGATGGAATCCACTTGAGGGCAGAGGGCCTGGTGGTCACTTTCCCCTACTCAAGCCTGTTCACCACAGCTGGCTCCCTGTAAACGTTTGTGGTTGATAATCACATGGATGGCATTGGTAATTGCAACTGGGATTTTTCTGGCTTATTTTTTCCTAGGAGACCAAACTGTGTTCAAATCTGGACTCCCTGTTTCTGAGAAGACTGGGGAGGGACATTTCCTCATTACTTCTAATTAGGGAAGTGGCTCTAAATAGGAGAATCTCATCCGTTGTTGGGAGGAGGAAAATCAGACCTAGAGATGTCTGGTTGTGTCCTTTGGAGTTAGAGGGCCCTGGATTTGAATTCTGACCCTGCCTTTGTATTTTATCTGCGTCTCCTTGGGTTGAGTTGGCTTCTCCTTTGAGTCTCCGGTTCTTCTGTAAAAATGAGAAGAATCTATTAGAGTAGGCTTGATTAGAAACCTGTGTATTAGCTAACAAGAAGAGAAATGCCATTCCAGAAGCCTTTTTAGGCTGGAGTCTGTGCTGTTCACAGAAGGTCTGATCAGAAGTTGGCTGAGACTTGGAGGCTCCAGTTGGATTTCTCAACTTCTGAAGTCCCGTCTCTGAGCACTGTGAGGCCTCCCCACCCTCACCCACACACCCACCCCCGCTCTGTGCAGTCACAGAGCCTCTCCTGACAGCCTCCATCATCTGCCTCACCCACCCCCTTCTCCACACCTCCTCTCTCCCTTCCCACTGCTCCCTGCACTTCACAGCAGCGATGGTGGCTGCCGGATTGCTGTTCTGGGCTCTCTCAAGGTTCTTGCAAACCCGCTGCTCCTTGCTCATCTCATGAGGCTTTCCTCCCCCAGGGAGAGAGATTGAGTGTGATTTCAAAGAAGCAGAGAGAATTGCTTGGAAACATTCCTCGAGGGGAGCTAATGGGAGGTCATGGTCCAGGAAGGTCATGCTCCCCCACTTCCCCAAACCCCACTCCGGGGTCCTCTATACCAGCATCACCCCCTAACCAACCCACCCCCAACCCCTGGAACTCCACCAGCAAAGGACCAGGTGAGAATGGAAAAGTGTCTCCCTCCGAGTGGCCTGTGTTCCTCGCTGGGGGTGGCAGGAACCTGTATGTGGGTGGGGGAGTGAAGTGCCAGTCCCATGACAGGCGTGTATTAAAGTGAACATTCACATCCACTGCCCTGGTCAGTCCCATGGTACCATGGCCAGTCCCCAGGACTTCATGCAGCTTGGAGAATCTCAGCCTTCGTGGAAACTAGGGTAGGAAACTCTGAGAACAAGAGTGTAGAGGAGGACAGGGGACTGACAAAATGGGCCTTTTCCACAGGGCCAGGCACCGCTGAAGGGAAGAATCTTCCCTGGGGCTCTAGGTGACATTCTCCATCTATAATAATTGATGTCACTTGCATGGGAACGTCATTTCTCACCTCTTCTTTAATCTGTACACTAACCCTGGCAAGGGGGAATGTTGGTGCCAAGCATCTCCTTTTCACCTTTGGGGAAACAAAGGCATGAAGAGACATAATTAATGACATCTGGCCAGTCGGAGCTGGGGACAGGACCTGCATCCAGGGTTGGTTTCCTAGGCCAGGGCTTCCCCTCCATGCCAGTCCTTCCACATCTCTGGCCAATGACCAGGATTTGAGCCTTGAGTTTTCACAACGAAGTGGGGCTTCCCTAAGACAGTGTCAAACTGCCCTCCTCAGGCCAGGCCCAGCGAGGCCATCTGGAGCCCGAGGAGTGAGATCTGGAGGGTCAGAGCACTAAGGTGGGAGCTCAGTCATCGCCTCCCTCCGTCTGTCCCTCTCCCTTCACTCTGCAGCCATCCAGAAGATGACGTGCTGATGTCTGGAAGAGTCTGGCCTTCCCCTTGAGCCTTCTCTGCAACTTGGCTTCCCAGACAGGGTGGGAAGTCTTTTCTTTCTTTCTTTTTTTTTTTCGAGGCCTGTGGCGTGGTCTCACCTGTTCTGACTAATAGAATAGCACGTTAGAGTCAAGGGTCCTGGTGTAGACCCTGCTGTTCTGATGCCTGACAGTGTGATCCTGGACACTAGACCCATTTCCTCACCTGAAGAAGCAGGGTATCCACCCCTCCCAGGGACTGGGATTTGGCCAGACTGTGAAGATGAGAGTTGAGTGACCACGTGGGTGCTGATTATCAGGATGGTGGAGAGGAACGGTTTCTGGGCTCATGGTGAGAATGAGAGCAGGCGACTGCTATACCTGAGCTGGTTATTAGCTTTGTTCAGAAGCTTTGGTTGAGTGCTTTTACTTAAAGCTTTGCAGAGTGCCCAAAGCTCATACCAGTTTGATTGTTTTGTTTGTTCATTCATTCATGTATCCATTCATTCATGCAATATTTTTTGAGTTTTTTTTTTTTTTTTTTTGAGATGGAGTCTTGCACTCTCGCCCAGGCTGGAGTGCTGTGGCATGATCTCGGCTCACTGCAACCTCCGCCTCCCGGGTTCAAGTGATTCTTCTGTCTCAGCCTCCCGAGTAGCTGGGACTACAGGCACACACCACCACACGCAGCTAATTTTTGTATTTTTAGTAGAGACAGGGTTTCACCAGGTTGGCATTGTGCTAAGCACCTTCTTTCTTCGTGCTGGGTTATGTCTCCTTGTTTGCCTCCACACAGAGAAAAAGCACTCCATGCTTGGAACACCAGAGGATGCAACTTCCCCAGGTGGTGAGCAGAACAGGCCTTGCCCTCATGGAGCTCACAGTCTAGCAGGGAAGTTGCACACTGATGGAAAATCACACTGGTCATGATAGAATGGTGGCTGACCACAGCACTCAGAGGGAGGGAGGTGTGGGCCTATGATGGCTGTTGTGGGGGGACCCACTCTGAGAGGTCAGAGAAGCTTTTCAGAGGAATTGAATATTGGCTGAGTCCACAGGAAGAGTAGGAGGTAACTGGGCAAAGAAAGGTGGGGTGGGGTTTTCTTGGGAGAGGGGCTGGCACATGCAGAAGCCCTGTTAGGATGGAGCAGGGACTGGAGCCAGGGGCAGTGATAACAAGAAGTGGTGTGAGATGACACTGGAGAGCAGAAGGAGCCAGATGACTCGAGCCCGGAGAGCTGAATTAAGGAGCTTTTATTCCAAGAGACTTGGAAGTTCTATCAAAGTTTGAAGTGGGAGAGGAAGTGCAGTTTACATGATCCGATGTGTGTTTTGAGAAGATCATCGTGGCTGCTGTGTGGAGCTCCAGCTCTTGTCTGCTGTGCGCTTGTCAGCTGGAGGTGGACAGGTGTGTGTGTGTGGCGGAGAACACGCGTGCAATTTTAGAAGGGCTGGAGCCGAGCCTTCCCTCTTCTTGCTGGGGCACATCTCCTCATTGTTTGGCTCAGCACAGAGAAAAAGCACTCCAAACACCAGAGGATGCAGCTTCCCCCAGGGGATGACAGGAGTTCACTGAATACAAAACCTAGTTCTTGGAAGAATGCTAGTGGAGAAAGGAACTATTGTCTAAAATTAGGCTTTGGGACTATTTCAGTGAAAAGTAATCTTCCTGCCTGGTCTTGCTGAGGGCTCGTCCTGGTTTCCCCCTCCTGCCTGCCCAGACTTTTGTTCCCCATTCTCATCCTCCTTCTGGCCAGTTCATCATCTTCACTCACGCCAGCCACTCTGCTCTGGGGCCACCTGGGACTAAGGTTGAGGCGTTCATTGTTATTTATTTTGGGCCTCTGTGGGCACACACATAGTAGGAGGGTGGCCCATTGGCTGGCGGTGATTTCCACTCAGCAGACAGTGTCCTGAGGCCCTGAGTGGGGTGAGACCTCTAGGAATAGGTGTCCCCTCCTTCTAATGACACTTTTCTCAAAAATATACAGTCTGGACTTGGAGACCACCCTGGGCCTCAGGCAGAAAGAACATATGCTCCTCCTTGAAGAAATTTTGATTTCTCTTACAAATGCACGAAGGCCAAGAACCCCTTAGCTGTCCTAGTGATTCTTAGGCACTCACTGTGAGGAAGACAGTCCACCGTCCCAGAGCTGGGACTCCACGCAGGCCTTTGGAGCGTGGCAGGAATCATGGCAGCGATGGTGATGAGGAGTTTTAACCCAAAAGCTGTTGAGAGCATGTGTGCAGTAGCCCCTTAGCTTAACTGTGGCCATCTCAGCTACACTCTTGGCATTTCCTTGCTCTTCAATTCTGTGGGCCCCCAAACTGAGGGCTGCCTTAGTCACAATCCCGCTGAAACAGGCAGGACTGCCCAGCAGACCTCCAGTCTCCCTTGCACCCGGGCAGCCTTTGCCCTGGTGAGCAGGCGGATTAAGGCCTTTCAGGGCTACTGCACACATGCTCTCAACAGCTTTTGGGTTAAAACTCCTCATCACCATCAGTACCATGATTCCCGCCATGCTCCAAAGGCTCGCGTGGAGTCCCAGCTCTGGGACTGTGGGCTGCCTTCCTCACAGTGCGTACCTAAGAATCACTAGAATAGTAGGACAGACATACTGACATGGACAGGTGAACAGGCATTCACTACCCAGGGCTAAATGAGGCCCTCGTGGTCACTCTGCCCAGCCTTTCAGCTATCCACTTGCTACACAAATGCCCTATCCAGCATCCCCCACATGCCAGAGTGCCCAGCACAGTTGGCCCTCAGGAAACACTGAAGGATGAAATAAGCTGTTAGAATGACTGGCCTGCTGGAGACCTCTCGTCCCTCTGACCCCTCGAGCATTCTTGGGGCAGACTCTTAGCTGAAGACATTCTTTCCCAAGAAGCAAGATGGCGCCAGCTGACCTTGGATTATAAATATCCCTCATTCTCCAGATTGCTCTGAGAACTGGGAATGGGGGGCCTGCCCCAGACTGGTGGCTGAGCCCAAAAACAGGGTGCACTGAGCTGTTGGGGTGATGCCTTGAGGACCACTGGGTCCCAGAGTCTTCAGGAAGCATGCCCTGCCAGTGCCCCCTTGGCTGAGATTACTGGCAACAGGACCTGAGAAAACTTAGCGTCTGGTTTATCTCTGTTTGTCGTCCACTGAGGAAAAATGAGAGTATGCTTCCTTCTCTGAGGCAGAGCTGTTTATATCTGCAGGTTCTTGACACACTCATGCATACTTTCACACACACAGACTGGAAGATAAATGAGTCCTCCACGTCGAACTTCTCAGCAGTGAGCCGACACTAACCAGATCCCAGCCCTTTCTCCTCGGGACAGATGTGCTGCCCTTGAAAAAGGGCTGGGGGCAGGGGTGGAGGTGTCACCAGGGGATGGGGCCTGTGAAGGGGCTGACAGATGGTGAGAGGCTTAATTCCTCTGGAGGGTAATTTGTGAAGACCTGGGCTGCAGGTGAAGTCTAAGTTAGAGGGAGAAGAGGAACTTCTCAAGGAGAGATATGAGTGCCCATTGATGGGCACTTCTCAACCCTTCAGTGTGAGCTCATCATGTGCCCCATAATTGGTGTCCTTCTCAACTTTCCGTCTCTGTCAAGGTCTCCATAAACATTCAAGTTTCCCCAGGCTTGGGTGGGTCAGTCCCAAATCTTGCCAGTACTTCCCTTATAGAATCTATTGGATTCATCCCTCCCTCCCAGCCCCAGCCCCGTCTCTTGAGTGCAGCAGCATTCCTAGTCTGCAGACCCAGCCTCCAGACAGATGCTGCTGCCCCCCTTTTGCCAAAGAAGACAAATAGTTCTTCCTTCTGGGGTGGAGCCAGTGTAGCACAGTGATTAAGACCATGGGTTTCAGAGTCAGTTGGCCCTGGTTCAAGTTCCAGTGCCACTACTTCCTAGCTGTGTGGCCTGGAGCGAGTTGCTTAACTTCACTGTGCCTCACTTTCTTTTTGTCTGTAAAATGAGAATTCTAATTACACCCAGCCCATAGTGTTGTCCCGAGGATTAGATGAGGCTATACCTGCACACTGTAAGCATCTGGTAGACAGTAGCTGTTATTAAATATCATGAAACAACCCCCATTACCAGCTTGTAGTGGCTCCTTATTGCTTGTGGGACCAAGCCAAGCTTCCCATCCTGGCAGACAGTGGTTCACCATCTGGGCCATTTGACTGATGCAGCTTCATCATCTGTCGCTCTCTGATCCTGCTATGGTGGCCTCTTCACTGCCCCACCTGTGCTGTGATTTTTTGAGGACTGTTGTTTTCATTCAAAAGTTTCCCCTCCACACCCCAACCCTACTCAGCTCCCAGCCCAAACCTTACCCCCTCCCTGATGCCTGTCTTGACCTCTTTGGCCGACAGAGGCATTTGCAATCTGAACTTAGCCATGTCATTCTTCAGCATCCACTTGTGTGGTTTCTCCTGTGTTTTCTACCTTAACCATGAGTGCTTATGTCCCATGGTGCTGCCCATGTACTGTTGCCTCCCTTAATATGGAGATTTGGGAGTTGACCATATGATCACTAGAAACTTCTCCATCGAATATGCGGAAGCCCTATCCTGATTTTATAGGAACCAAAAGGTAAAGAGATGTTTCCCAAGGTTGCCAAATCACCCTGTGGTAGAAATGGGAGTAAAGCTCCAGCCCAGAGCCTATGCTTCGCCAGTCCTGATCCTCTGCTACCTGCGGGGGGGTCGGGGGGGGGGGGGCGTGATGCTTCTGGCCTGTTGGCTAAATTCCACAGCTCAGCAAGTGTCGGTGATGAAAGCCGGGCCCAGCCTCGTGAGTGCTGGCAGAGGGCTTGTTTTGACAAGAGCAATTTAGCTTAAGTGACTTGTGCTAGCACTTGGGGTGCTCACAACAGGGACCTGACTCACTCCTTTGTCAAGGACCTCTGTCCTAACTCCCCAGCGTCCTTCAGGGCAAGGAGTCGTTTCTGTGAGACCCTATGGATGGGGGCGTGAGAATCTGTCCCTTCCGTGGCCTTCATCCTTCCAGTTCTGTTTTGGCTCTTGGGGCAGCCCAGCTGAGACTTGGAGACTCCAAGAAGAGTTCTCCATCCCTCTGGTATCAATCCAGTTTGCTGCATTAAGCAGGAAAGCCAATGGCATGGATAATGCCCAGCGACAGAGGACTTCTAAATGCGCTAGATGATTTATAGCAGACTTCCTCTCTTCATTATTTTTGGCTCATGCTGAAGTCAGATCAGTCTGTATTCCTCATGTACATACCAGCTGCCTGGAAATGGCTGTGATTGGGACACACCAGTCATTACTTGATTTGTGTGCCCCTGTTCCTACTCGAACATTTATTGAATACCTGCTGCATGCTAGGTGCTGTGGAGGTACTGGCAGCTCCATGAGACTTGGCCCCAGCCTAGCTGGCTTTGGAGGAATGGTTTGCTGTGGATAATTCCTAGAGTGAATGAGAACCTTAACCGGGCAGGAGAGAACAGGTGGTTGAGTGTTGCATTGCCACCTCTCGCAGTATCCCTGCCTTTTCCTCTGCTTGTCAGGGTTCAGCTTGTCTGGGTTCAAAGGTGGCTTTGTTGGCTCTACTTTCTGCTGTAGCTGTGGCCTTCTTTTAAAAAATTTTAAAAACCAGTTGACACACGTTCAGACTTGCCAATGCTGATTTTTTAACGGAGTGGTCATTTGCTTAGGATAGCAGAGTACAAAGGACACACCCAGGGTTTCTTCTCATAGCAGCTTCCTTGGTGCAGACTTTGACTGACAGCTGACTTTCAGGAATGATCCTGTTGCCAGCCTCTTGCCCAGATGGGCTTACCTGCCCTTGTTGCTGGTGTGGGGCACAGGCACCCAGTGGTTTTAGGGGTGGGAGGCAGGCATGTGTGTTTCTCTTGAGGTACTCTTGCTCTGTCATCTTAGGCATGTGGCCAGGAATAGCATCTGGTGTCGTGGGCTTAAATTCCACTCCAGTCTGCCTTTCTGAGGACTCGGGGCTTTTTCCCTCTGGGAAGGGGTGCTGCTTCCTCCAAATAGGGAGGAAAAGGGACACTCTCCTATCTCCTTGCCTGGGTGCCCTCAGGATGTGGGTGCCATGCGTGGGCTGATAGCCTGCCCAGTTGGGCATTGTGATGTTTCCCTGGATCTTCCTGCATCCTGGGGAATGTCATTCTCTGCTTATGTGTTGGGGGTCAGAGCAGTGTGGGCTGCTTCTGAGTCCTGGGAGAGAGGTGAGGGGGTCCCTGGGGCTGGGGGTTGATGGATGCCTGTCCTTTGGCAGCTAGGATTACGAGCATCAATGTTTAGGGCCCTCGAGCAGAGAACATGGGGCAAATTGAGGTGAGAGAAGTGTTGGGCCAGCATGGAGGCTCACCTTTCAGGAGACAACCAGGGCTCCTGGACAAGTCCAGCAGTAAGTGCAGTGTCAGCAAGTGCAGAGGAACACCAGCTGAATGAACAAGGGGCTAAGAGGCAAAGGTTCTGCATAATGGCCCAGCAGAAGGTGGGGCAGGGCCCCAAGCCCCCAAGCCCTCCTCTGTGCTCACTGCAGACCCCAGGGACTTCGCCTGCCCACCTTCTTCAAATCCCCTCACTCCCCTCTCCCCTGCCCCAAATCTGGCTTAGGAGCAGCCCAGGGCCCAGCTATCCCTGAGGGGAGGCCCTGGGGCACCTTTTGCTTTTCTGCCCTTCACTGTGTAGATATGCAGGGGTGGGGGTGGGGGACAATCAGGCAGGAAACTGAGCTTCAGATCCCATGCTACCCACACCTGGCCTGGCCTTCGCTGCTGATGGGGAGTGCCCTGAGGCATTGCCCACAATGGGTGCAGAAGTGGCAGCCTCATCCCCAGCTCTTGCCCCATCCTCCAGGCCTGGCTGAGAGATACCGGCTGCCATGTGCAATGCCCCGAGGCTCAGGACCAGAACCCGGCTTGGGTCCGGCCGCGTGCCACTTCCCCTGGGAGACAGTACTCTGGTAAAGCACCCAGGCCTGTGCCTGGTGCTTCAAGACAGTTGACAAATTGCCGATGTTCTTATCTTCTCCACTCTCCTCAGGGGACTGCGATCGACTGGTTGGAGCTCTCAGTTTCTTGCTTTTACTAAACCTAGATAGGCAGTGGAAGAATAATTGCTTTCCTGACATTTTATATTATCACCTTATTTAGTCCATCATCTTAATCTTTACACAGTCCTTGAGAAGTAGATAGTATCATCCCTATTTTGTAGGAGAAGATTCTGAGGTTTACTAAGGTTAAGTTACTCAGTCACCACCACACAGGGGAAAAAGGATGTGAACTTGGAGCTTTGATACCAGGTCCTAACCAGATCCCACGTTTTCCCCACAGCATGCTTCGTCTTCTTGAGATACTGCAGAGCTCACTCCTTCTTTCCTCTGGGCCGCTGTTTGTTACCGTGCAGAGTCTGGCCACTGTGCTTCCTTCCGTCTTGAGAATCAGCCCCTCTGTCTGCTTTGTCTCTGCTCTGGTTTCTGGGCTTAGTCCCAGGTCTTGTCAGGAGCACTGCTCAGATGCCTTCAACCATTCTTGGAGTGGCCTTAGTGTTTTCACACCTCCAGCCTCATCCTGCCTTCCCTTGGCTTTGTGTGCCCTGTGTGTTGTGATTTCTCCCTTCTGCCCCAGAGCACGTGGTGGGAAGGGAGGAGGAGGAAGTGGGGGAGGAACGGAGAGGGCAAAGGGGAGGGAGGGATGGGATAGGGGCTTGCCATCTTGATACTCAGACCTAGAAACCTCTGCTGTTTGCAGGTGTATTGGGGTCAAGGCTAAGCTGCCGTAACAAAGAGATACCAAAATACAGTGGCCTTAAGAAGATGGGAATTTATTTCTCTTGTGTCATAGTCTCAAAGTGATGGGGTCCAGGTTGGTAGGATGATTCAGTTCCATGGGGTTGCTCCACCACTTCTAAGGACATTATCCTCATTCATATGGTCAAAGCTGGGTTTGGAGCCTATCTATGTTGTAGCCCAGAAGAACGTGTTTGATAATGGGATGGGAGGTGACATGGGAGCTGCATGTAGCACTTCCATTCATACCCCACTGGCATAGTCATGACCACACCTTGCTGCAAGAGGGGCTGAGAAATGCTGTCTGTGGCTGGGCAGCCATGTGCCCAGTGACTGTGTATTGCCTGGGAAGAACAGGGCAAGGAATTTAGTTGGACAACTTACAGTCTCTGCCACAGCCTTTTAAAAATTATTATTTTTAAATAAAACGGTTAATCTTAATTATTCTAAAGGGGGCGGTGGTGTGATAATCTATAGTCCATCACTTGGACTTCAAACTGAGAATATATTTCCAGGGGCCTAGAGAGTATGCAGGGCAGGTGAGTCTGCAAATGAACATTTGCCACTCCTCCCACTGGCTGTTTTTATAGTCTTCTATCATAATGGTTGAGTTTCATGGCTCACCCTTTGGCATTAGGTCATGCCTCCATTGGCCCTGGGAGAGAAGACTTAACACTGTTACTCCTCATGCCCCAAGAATTAAGGCAGTCAGTGCTTCCCGTGGCCGTGGTGCCAATTCTGGTCACCCTTCCTACCCCCTTGTTAGCAGCACAGCCAGGAGAGAGTGGAGACCAGGGCAGAATCTCCTGGTTTCTTTCTGGGAGACTGAATCACATCACAGATAAGACTCCCCAGAGTCCTCAGGATGTCAGTGCTCTTGGGAAGCAGCTGAGAGCTGTTTGGTCACATTCTCCCATTTTACATAGAAAGAAACCTCATAGGACCCAGAGAGCAGAGGAGTTTGTTGAGCTGGCCCAGCCTGTGAGGAGAAGGGCTGCACTGCAGCAATCCAGGCCTCTTGCTGTTCACCAGGCCTTTCCAAGAGACTCGTTTGCACATTAGCTCATTTCTCCTATAGACTCAATCTCTTCTGGGGATTTCCTAGTGATATGCTCAAGGTCAGCCAGCAAATAAGGGACTCTCCAATACTTCAGGCCAGCTCTCCCAGTTCCCAGACACTCACAGGGACACACAGACTTGTTTCATGTCTCATCTCCCTGATAGAAACCATCTCCAAATGCTTAGTGGCCATGGCAGTTAGTACCACACTCATCTTTCATTTAATTCTGATGTGGGCCTGGGCATTCCTGCAGGTAAGGATTGTCTTAGTTCATTTTCTGTTGCTGTAACTGAACACCACAGGCTGGGTAACTTATAAAGAATAGAGGTTTATTTAGCTCATGGTTCTGCAGACTGGGAAGTCCAAGAGCATGGTGACAGCACCTAGCGAGGGCCTTCTTGTTCATCATGATGTGGTGGGTGGCATCACATGGCGAAACAGAGCATATGTGTGCACGTTAGCTCAGGTCTCTTCTCCTCTTCTTATAAAGCCACCAGTTTCATCATGGGGGCCCCACCCTGATGACTTTAATCCTTATTACTTTCCAGAGGCCCCACCTCCAATTGACCTGTGAATTTGAGGATTAAGTTCCCAACACATTAAATTTCGGGGTACATTCAAAACCATAGCAGAGACCCTGTAGCCCATCTCCCACCTTGTGTTTGATGCTCACCATCAGAGGCAACTGGGGGTCTGGGACTGTCTTCTCTTGTGAGTTGGAATATTCAAGGCCTTAAAGGTACCCTGCAGCCTTCAATTTTCTTTTCATCCATGTATTCATTTAACAAGAATTTATTGTGGCCTGCTATGTGTTAGCCTCTGTCCTGGATAATAGGGACACAACAGTGAGCAGAGGAGGCCTGGCTCCTATGTACCTTTTTTTTTTTTTTTGGAGACACAGTCTTGCTCTGTCACCCACGCTGGAGTGCAGTGGCACCATCTAAACTCACTGCAACCTCTGCCTTATGGGTTCAAGCAATCCTCCCACCTCAGACTCTCGAGTAGCTGGAACTACAGGCATGTGCCATCATGTCCAGCTAATTTTTTTTGAGACAGTCTCGATCTGTCGCCCAGCCTGGAGTGCAGTGGTGCCATCTTGGCTCACTGCAAGTTCAGCCTCCTGGGTTCAAGCAATTCTCCTGGCTTAGCCTCCCAAGTAGCTGGGATTACAGGTGCGCACCGCCATGCCCAGCTAATTTTTTGTATTTTGAGTAGAGACAGCGTTTCGCCATGTTGGCCAGGCTGGTCTCAAACTCCTGACCTCAAGTGACCCACCCGTCTTGGCCTCCCAAAGTGCTGGGATTACAGGCGTGAGCCACCATGCCTGGCCTCCCATCTACTTCTCAGCCCTCCCATCTACTTCTCAGCCCTCCAGATCTCTAATGGCATTGTTAGTCCCAGCCTGTGTTGGTTTACACCTGTACCGTGTTAGCATTGGTGTCTTATTCGCAGGCGTCATTAGCTCCATTATAGAGATGAGCGCATTCAGATTCCTGTAGGTTGCATGACTGGCTCCGAGTCACAAGACTGGCCCCTGGGGCTCCTGACTCCCAGCATAGCACTCCTCTCACTGAATCTTCCTGCCTCTCTCCCCCAGGCAATCTCTGGGGCCCCTGGATCCCTGCTGAGGTGCCCATGGTCCCCTCCATCCCCACAGGGCAGCCTGTGTAGTGCTGGGTAGGGCCCAGGCCTGTCCCACGGAAGACATGGCCCCATCTAGGTTCCGCACTCAGTTGGAGGTAAGGTAAGCACTTGGTGGCAGTTTCATTTTCTCTTTGGTGTTTTTTTTTTTCTTCTGGATTCTGCTGACCTAAAATGAGCCCCAGAGGTGAGGAATGGAAAGAGGGAGGAGATGTGGGCATGAGTGGATCAGGCTAGGGGATGGGGGAAGGCACGAGGGAAGCTGCACTTCACCTGTGTAGGGTGGGAACCAGAACTCCGAGTTCAGGTGGGCTCCTTCTTCCCGCCCCTGAATCTGACTCCAGCCTTTCGTCAGCCCCCTCCCTCCACCTACACGGCTGGCACCACCCTCAGCTGTCACCACTACTCACAGGAAACAATGAAGGTTTGCCTGATATTCCGGGAGAGGAGGAGGAAGCTGAGGGTGGGAGAGCTTGGGGGAGTGGGGATAATTATTCTCCAAGATGAGATTTTTGGAAGAGAGCAACTTGATTGCACTTGGAGGATAAATAAATTTCTAGCCCACAAAACCTCTTGCCAGGCCTCAAAGCAAACGTCTCCTTATCCCAGAGGTCAGAGAACTGCAGGAGAAGCAGTTTGTGGGTGGGTGAAGCATCATCAGCTTCCCTGGAAAACCTTTGCAAGGTACTCCCGCCATGCCAGCCTCTCTTTGTCCTCCTGCCCCAACTCATGTCCTTGGTTTGTATGGGAATGTGTCTGCCTTTCTCTGCTGCTTTGTATGTGTGATTCCCACGCCTGGTCCGGGGATGAGGTGGGGGCCGGTGCCTGGCATAGATTCTGAAGGACTCCGGCTTCCTCTGGGATTCCCCATGGATCTAGCACGGTTGGATGGGGGACTTTTGTACGACTTCCAGGTATGACAGGCCTTCTTAAAGCTGTAGCTTATATGCTGCAATGCTGAGCATTCCGTTGCATTGCAGGAGAATGGAAGGCAGAAGATTTGAAATCAGGGATTTCTCTGAAAGTCTTTCTAAGTAGCATCTCCATTTAGAGAGGAATGCAAATTGTCCCTGCTTGAGCAGCCAGAGGCCCAGGCTGTGGCCACTCCATGGACTGTCCCAGGTGGCAAAGACCTTGGCCATCACCCACTGCCTCTCACTTTTATGGATGAGGAAGCTGAAGTTCCCACAGGAAAGGTGACTTGCCCAGAGCCACATGTTTGTTGTTTGCAGATCCAGGCTGAGAACTCACACCTAAGTTCCCAGGCCTTTCTCCACACTGTGCTGCCTCTAGATGTTCATTCATTGCTCTTGAGGATGCCCTCCTCCCCATGGTTTTAAATTCGTATATTCTCCCCAAGCCCCAAGTTTCGTGGTGTGTAAGATAAGTGAATTTTCAGTCTGATACCCTTCTCTAGACTGTCCTAGATACCTCAGTCGTCATACCTGAGCCCCTGTCATATACCTCCATATCCCTTGGGCCTCACCTCCAGCCCCCCTTCCCTTTTCTGTCACCACATCTCATGTTTCTGAAAGCCACAGAGAGTGGCTGTGCTGGGTGTACCATCTGAAATCGGCCCTGAGCTTGGCAGATGAATCTGAGCCTTTGGGAATGACCCCCTCAGGGGGAAGTAAGGAGGCAGATCACTCTGTGGGCCTAAGGTGGGCCACCAATGGCTCAGCAGTTTGATATTCTGCAAGTAACCTGGGATCTGTCCCTCATCCACTATGCTCCAGGTCCCTCCTGTCCTGCCTCCCCTTTGTACAACAGCAGTGCTGTCCAACAGAAATATATTGAGAGTCACATATATCCTTCCAGCTATTCCAGTGGGCCAAAAAGTAAAAACAAAGAAAACAAACTAACCCATGGGTGAAAGTAATTTAAATAATATATTTTATTTACCCAATATATCCAGAATATCATTTTATCATGTAATGAATAAAAAATAATTTCAGACTCCAGTGCGTTTTGTATTTACAACACCCCTCACTTCAGACCAGCCACACTGCAAATGTTCCTAGCCATGTGTGGCTAGTGGCTCCCCTGGTGGACAGCTCAGTTCTGCAGGGAAGTACGGTGCTGTCCTCATTTACCTCTTTGGCCCCTCCCCTCCCTCTGCCTCTGGATAAATCAAGTTTCCTAACCTCCATGCTGTATTCATTCAAGCTGTGACCCACTCGCTGTCCCTTCACTGCCAAACATCCAGAGTCACCTTCATTCACCGTCCCCTCATGACCTCATGACTTAACCCCCTTACAGCTCAACTCCTCCTCTACCCAGTCTGCTTATCCATCTCTTTTCAGCCTCTTCCACAACACCTGATTCTGTTGACTTTCCTACTCTTGCATTTAGCTTTTGTGACACTTTATTACTCATAACCCACTCACTCCAAAGCCAGCTCCTCCCGGACTTCCCCTAAGTGGATTAGGAACCGAAGCTCTCTTCTTCCCATAGATACATCACCCAGGCTCAAATACTCCTTGCAGATGCCTTGCTTGGGGGCCACTCTGCTTTCCCTTCATAGAGCTCCAGCCTCTCCCAGGCCCTTGGTGCTTCTCGTCTGTGCTATTTCCACAGCCCTCTTTTAGTCTCTCTACTTCTAGCATCTTCCTCTTCACTGCCTCCTTTCCAGCTGTCAATTTAATCTACCCAAAGTTCTGCTGTGATCACATTTCCCTTTTGAAAGCTGGCAGCATTAGAAGTTGTAATAACAGGGGAACATGCTTACGTTACAATATTAAATGAAGGCTGGGCGCGGTGGCTTACGCCTGTAATCCCAGCATTTTGGGAGGCCAAGGTGAGTGGATCACCTGAGGTCAGGAGTTCAAGACCTCCTGGCCAGCATGGTGAAACCCTATCTCTACTAAATATACAAACCTCGTCTCTACTAAAAATACAAAAATTAGCTAGGCATGGTGGTGGGCGCCTGTAATCCCAGCTACTCGGGAGGCTGACACAGGAGAATTACTTGAACCCAGGAGGCAGAGTTTGCAGTGAGCCGAGATCTCGCCACTGCATTCCAGCCTGGGCAACAGAGCAAGACTCCGTCTCAAAAAAAAAAAAAAAAGTGAAAAACACAGGATACCAAATTATGCAAACAGTAAGAGCACAGTTTTATGAAAGCAAAAACAAAAAGCCGTAAGTAGATTTTTTTAAAAAGGAAGTAAAAGAAATAAATGGAAACGTTAATACTGGTTGTCTTTGGGTGATAATTGATTTTTTTTTCCTTTTCTATGATTTCGAAGTGTTCCGTAATGAATGTACATTTTATAATTTGGGCAATGAATATACTTTTTATTTTTGTAAATGCGGCCATCAAGAGGTTTTAATGCCTCCTAGATTATGTGCTGGCTCCTTACTCTGCCATAGAAAAAATTCTTTCATGATCTGGCCATGAACCCCCTTGTCTCATCTCTGGCCAGTCCTCTCCTTGCTTCTGGTCAGCAGTGAGTACCTGGTGTTCCCAGTGTAGCCCTGGACTCTTCTTCCTCTGCCCCATCCATATTGATGCTGTTTGCATCATCTGTATGCCCCTCCACTGGGATTCCCGCTGGCCAGGTCCTGCCCATCTGCAGACACTTCTCCAGGAAGGGTCCTAGTCCCCACTGCCCAGACATGATTCCTTTTTCTATTTTGAATCTCTTTTCCCATTTGACTTATTCTCTCTGGTTTTACAGGCATTTTCATTCTCATTTTATCTCTTCTGTCAGAAGAGAAGATTCTTCAGCCAGCCGTGCTCATAGCACAAGCATGTACTTTTTTCTTTCTTTATGTAAGTTTATCAGTATTTCTTTTTAGAGTAATATGTACAATAGAAACATTGGAGAGTATTCATTGGTATAAAGAAAAAAAGTAAAAAAGCACTTATCATCCCACCACCTAGAGATACTCCATCACTGTTAACATTTTGAAATGTATACATGTGAAAAATTGGGATCATGAGTTATATGCAATTTCATATTCTTTTTCTCCCCCACTTGACATTGTATTTTGGAAAATTTCCCACAATGTTGAATGTTATTTAAATAAGACATTTTAAAGGCTTTGAGATATTCCAGGGTATTGAGCACCAAAGTTTTATTTTATTTCATCTTAATGCAGAGTCTTGCTCTGTCACCCAGGCTGGAGTTCAGTGGTGTAATCGTGGCTCACCGCAGCCTTGACTTCCTAGGTTCAAGTGATCTTCCCACCTCAGCCTCCCAAGTAGCTGGGACTACAGGTGCATGCCACCATGCCCGGCTAATTTTTTATTTCTTTGTAGAGATGGGGTCTCACTATGTTGCCCAAGTTGGTCTCAAATTCCTGGCCTCAAGTGATCCTCCTTCCTTGGCCTCCCAAAGTGATGGGATTACAGGTGTGAGCCACTGCGCCTGGTGACAGCACCATAATTTATTTAACTGTTCTCTAGTTTTTCAACATTTAGCTGCTCCTAATTGTTAAATTTTATAATCATCCTCGGACATAAAGCCCTGTTCAAGCTACTGAGGTTTCTGTGGCATAGATTCCTGGGAGGGGACTAACTTATTGGGTCAGAGGGTATGAATATTTGGAAAGCTCTTCATACATATTGCCAAATTGGTTTCCAGAAAGGTTATGCCGATTTGCATTCCCACTGATAATGTAGGAGGGTGCCTATTCCATTGCATTCTTGCCAACATTATTACTATGAAAAGAAAGCTTTGCTATTTAAATAGGTAAAATACTGCTTTTATTGTTATTTCTTTGCTTACTAGTAAGGGTTAACATCTTTTGATATCACACATTTATAAGTCATTTGTATTTTTACTTTGAATAGCTTATTCATCCACATTACCCATTTTTTTTTTTGTTCTTCAATTCCTTTTTTTTTTTTTTTTTTTCAAGAAGGAATCTTGCTCTGTTGCCTGGGCTGGAGTGCAATGATGTGATCTCGGCTCACTGCAACATTTGCCTCCTGGGTTCAAGTGATTCTCCTGCCTCAGCCTCCCGAGTAGCTGGGATTACAGGTGCGCACCACCACGCCCAGCTAATTTTTTGTGTTTTTAGTAGAGACAGGGTTTCACCATGTTGGCCAGGCTGGTCTCGAACTCCTGATCTCATGATCCACCCACCTCAGCCTCCCAAAGTGCTGGGATTATAGGCATGAGACACTGTGCCCAGCCTTTTTTTGTTGTTAAATTCTACCCATTTATTGTTAATTGGCAAAATACTTTGTATATTAAGGGTATTTCCTCTGGCATATTCTTTGCGAACTGAATGTTTATGAAATTAACTTGAGGATAGAGGATAGAGGTTGTGGAGCCTGCAGAGTTTATGTCCTCCCAACCACTTCCGTGCCTTGTCTGACTTCCCCACCAGATCTGGAGTCCTAGAGGGCAAGGTGGCCAGCAGCATGGTTTCCCAGTGCTAGGCACTCAATCAGTGTTTGTCTTGTTCATGTAAGCACTATTACATGAAAGCTGTTATTTCTCTCCGGTTGCGCAAAGCGTGGGGTCTTCCTAGGAATAAGTAATTAAAAATAACAAAACATAAAATGTACAATGTGGCCACTTCTCTCTAAAGGCACAGCTGTGCAAGTTATAGAAGACATTCTCTCCCTTGTAATTGTTGCTATTTGCTTTACAAATTTAAGGGCATTAAAACCACAATAAGATACCATCCTCACTCCTGCTAGGATGACTATCATGAAAAAGTTAACAAAATAAGTGTTGGCAGGGCATGTGGAGACATTGGAACCCCCATGCAATGTTGGCGGGGATGTAAGGTGGTGCAGGTGATTGAAAGCAGTTGGGCAGTTCCTCAATAACATAGAGTTGCCGTGTGACCCAGCAATTCTGCTCCTAGATATATCCCCAAGAAAACAGAATATATCCATGTAAAAACTTGTACATGAATGTTCATCACAGCAACATTATTCATAATAGCCAAAAGGTGGACACAATTCAAATGTCTATACCTGATGGTGGATAAACAATATATGGTAGATCTGTGCTGTGGAATATTATTTAGCTGTAAAAGGAACAAAATACTGATACAGGTAGAGAGCATCCTGAATCTGAAAATTTGAAATCCAAAATGCTCTAAAATCTGAAACATTTTGAGCTCTGACATGATGCCACAGTGGAAAATTCCACACATAAGTACTTAACACAAACTTTGTTTCATGCACAAAATTATTTTAAAATGTTGTATAAAATTACCTTCAGGCTACATGTAGAAGATGTTTATGAAACATAAATGAATTTCATGTTTAGACTTGTGTACCATCTCCAAGATACCTCATTATGTATATGCAAGTATTCCAGAATCTGAAAAAATCCAAAATATGAAACACTTCTGGTCCCTAGCATTTCGGATAAAGGATTCTCAGCCTGTGTGTGCTACCATGTGGACGAACCTTGAAAATATGCTAAGCGAGAAAAGCCAGACACAGAGGCCACCTATTGTTCACTTCCATTTATATGAAGTGTCCAGAATAGGCAAATCCACAGGTGTGGAAAGTAGGTTCGTGGTTGCCAGGAGCTGGGGGAGGGTGGGGTGGGGAATAGGCAGTGACTAATGGGCATGGGGTTTCTTTTGGGGATGTTGAAAATGTCCTGGGGTTGGTAGTGAAGATTGCACAGCCTTGTGAATACACTAAACGCTACTGAATTTTGCATTTTAAAGGAGTGCATTTTATGGTATGTGAATTGTATCTCCATAAAAAATAACGAAGGGAAGCTACACTAGAGTAAGACTTGGCTTTGTGAGACAGGTGGGCCTTTCTCACCCATAGCCATGAGTTCCCTGGAGAGTGTGCCCCCGGAGGACATTCATTGAATCTGGCAGTGGCTGGGAGTAGGTCCCTAATCAGCAGTACTTTATGTGACCAGGATCTATGAAGAAGGCCTAGGGCGCCTGGGACAAGGGTGAGAGAAAGTTGAGTGTCTCTTTATTAAATAGAATAAAACAAAACTAGATCTAAATTAGGTTGGGATAAATAACAGCTTAGTACAGTAGAGTAGGATGAGCTGTGAGCTCAGAAAGAGATGGCTGTGATCCCAGTTCTGCAGCTTCCTTTCTGTGTAATCCAAGGCAGGACCCCTGCCTCGGGCCTCAGTTTCCTCATTGGCAGAGGGGGATGATGCTGCCTAACTTGCTTATCTTACAGGGATTTGATGAGGGTGAGATGAACTACATGTGAGAAAGTGTTTTGCAGACTATATATTGCTGTACCCAATCATTCCTAGATATTTGTCTTTCTTCACATTCTAGTCTATTTTGTTTTTCCTTAAAATGTATTAAGCAGATGCTAATTGTTGATTTGTCAATATTTCATGCTCTAATTTTAGTAACATTAAAGTTGTATTAAATAAACATTACACTTTAGAATCGTATTATAGGTTGGTTTTTTTCAGACACAGTGAGTAGCTGGGGTAGGTGTGAGACAGGGAATGTGGTCTATGATAAGACTTAGAGGGCATTAATGCCAGCACAGGAGTTTGGACTTTATCTTACTGGTAATGGAGAGTCCTGGCAGGTTTTTGGGTAGGAAGATGTCATGATGTTAAGGGTCTCATTTGAGGATCTCTGGCATAGAGAATGGTGTTTACAGAGGCTGGAGGCCCCTCAGGAGGCATCCTAAGCTCTTGATGGGGAGTTCCAGAGCAAGGGAGAGTGACAATCCCAGAGCAGCTAGATCCTAGCTGGAAAGGAGAGGAGAAAGGCGATGTTGTCTGGGCAGGACCCTAGTGAGCAGAGAGATGGGCTTGATGGTGTTTGTCCAGAGCCAGTGGTATAGAGCTGGCCACCTCCTTGAAAGAAGACCTTGTCACAAAAGCCCCCAAGCAGAGATAATGCAGCTTTGATTACCAGAAACACATAACAGCAATCTTGATTCTTTGTGAAAGGAAAAATTTTAGAGGTGTCACTCATTATGATTAGAAAAACAGTTAAAAATATGTAATAGTTAAAAAAAAAAAACATTAAGCACCTAATTGAGCATGGTGCAGTGTACAAGGAGCCATGCCGACATGCCTTCTAAGAGTATATAATTTAAGATTATTCTTCCTTGAATTATTTTATATTATATCTTAATGGGGTTCCACTGAGGTTCCCTGAGCTTCCCACCACCACTGTGTAAGACAAATGAAATCCAGTGTAGGAGGAAGGAAGTCTTGCCAGGATGTCAGCTTCTTTTATTTGGGACTCATTTCGTTGTTAGTTTTATGTGTTTGTAAACCGACAAAGGACTAGAACAGGAAGGAGTTGTGCCTGTCTTTAGGGCTGGGGCCAGGGGACACTTTGCGGGAGAGAGCCTCTCCTCCTTTTCTACTGCCCAGAGCTTGGGGAGCTGGTTCTCTGCCCCCAGGGTCCCTGAGGTGGTCCAGCCTCTTGTGGTCTTTGGATGGATTTGGAAAATCAGATCTTACCTCTTTGGCTTGCACTTCATTGGGGTGATTGCAGACTCTGATGCACACGGAAAACGCTGCAGTCTCTCTACTCTGTCCTCATAGGTGGAGGAAGATCTGGAAGAGGGAGTAGGGAAGAGTGGGCAGGAGCTTGGGGAGAGGGTTGTCACGACTGGGGGAGGGCAGGTGTGGTTTGAAAAGGACCCCTGGTAGGGTTGCCCAGTAAAATATGGGTCACTCAATTATATTTGAATTTCAGATAAATAATGAATATATATATATATATATATATATATATATATTTTAGTATAAGTAGGTCCCAAATATTGCCTGGAACCTACTTATACTAAAAGATGTACGTGTTGTTTGTCTGTAATTCAAATTTAACTGAACATCCTGCTCCCTCCCCCATCACTAACTCTGGCTCCCCGGGAAGTTCTGATTCCCACCACAGCCACCACCATTCACCTGTGAACCATATTGCAAG
Organism: Homo sapiens; assembly: GCF_000001405.40. Classification (NCBI taxonomy): domain Eukaryota; kingdom Metazoa; phylum Chordata; class Mammalia; order Primates; family Hominidae; genus Homo; species Homo sapiens. The sequence goes on along the minus strand of NC_000003.12, from coordinate 123,359,146 downwards.
GGGCAAGCTGACTTACCGGGAACAGGAACCGCATAAAAGAGCAAACTGAGCAGGGGTCTTCCCCAACCCTAGTCTCCAACTCATTTCCTTCTACTCCAAAACCATGCATTTCTCATTCCCCTTTGCCTTGCACCTTTCCCAGGATTATCCAGTAGCAAGCCTGTTGCAGTGGGCCCATGGAGCCCCCTGAAAACTCAGAGAGGAGAGGCAGAAACGATCACAGTGCCTGAGGCCAGTGGCTGGGGTTTCTTTGAGTCTTCCCAAGGAGACACTGCACGAACCGAGCACTGTAACTTCCCACTCTTGGCTCAAATCAAACCTGCAGCCTGCGGGCAGCCAGAGATTGGGTTTCAGAAGTGCTGGGGTTTTAGAAGTATTAAATATTCATAGGCATCTCCCCTCGGTTTTGACTCTGAGAATAGAATTCCAAACATTCCCCCTCTAGTGGGGTCTCTCCTGGTGTGGTCCTGGGACCCCCTGGACCTTGTCCACTCGGACCCCATCCATCTGCAGGGCTTGTTTTAAACTTTTTGTTGTTGTTGTTTTGGAGTCAGAGTCTCGCTTTGTTGCCCAGGCTAGAGTGCAGTGGTATGGTCATAGCTCACTGCAGCCTCTATCTCCTGGGCTCAAGTGATCCTCCTGCCTCAGCCTCCCAAGTAGCTGGGACTACCTGGTGAATTTTTATTTGTTTTATTTTTATTTTTTGTAGATATGGGATATCACTGTGTTGTCCGGGCTGGTCTTGAATTCCTGGACTCAAGTGATATTCCCACCTTGGCCTCCCAAAGTGCTGGGATTCCAGGTGTGAGCCACTGCATCCGGCTGCTTGTTTTAAAGCAGATGCTGAGGCTACTCCAGGGCTGCAGTCTGCTGTATTGTTGGGTCTCCTTTTCACTCCACTTGGTGTACTGTGGGTATATGTCACGTGCTCCGCCATACCACCAACTCCCTACACACACACACACACACACACACACACACACACACACACGTGTTCCATGTGGTTAGATGTGTCCCGTGAGGCCAGCACAGGGAAAACCAATAAACCCTTAATTAGGCCCTGTTTACCTGCTGTTGTGAAGCCTCAAGAGTGACTGATATCTGTTATTATTTACTAATTAGGTCCTTTACACAAGGACAGGGTTTATACTTACTTTTACTTTGCCTGTCTTTATGGGGGTGTAAGAAGGGGCTCATTATTTGATCACTGAGTGGAGAAGAGAGCCTGGCAGCATTTGGACATACCTTCCTTGTCCCCAAGGTGTGGGATCATTTTTAAACTTCAGACTCCCTCTGTGTGTAAGCAGAATTCCATCAGATTTTACCGATACCTCCCCACTATTCATAAGCGGAGCATCTGCACAGGGACCTTAGCACCCTTTAAGACCTGGTGCCCAGATTCCTGCTTTTTTGGCAGATGGTGTGAGTGTGTGTGTGTAAGGCAGCTATTAATCTCTTTTTCACTTTCAGGTCCAACTTGCTGAAATCCCCCTTTCCAATAGCCTTGCTCAAGACCCCACCCTCAAACCACAGCACCCTCTTTCTGCCTGCCTGGTTTTGTGTTTAGTGAAAGAGAGATGAACACCAAGGCACCCTAAGCTTAGCAAAGCCATTTGGACGGCTATTGGGTTACCACGCATCTTTTTACCTGGATTTGCACTGTCTGTTGCCATTGGACTTCTGGCTATAGGAGGAGTCAGATTACAGCAGGAGAGACCCGGAGGATTAGTACAGAGATGCTGCAGCAGACACTTGATAATTGCTTTGGGGGTCATGCCTCCAAATAGACTCTGGCCTCTCTTTCTGGCCTCAGAAAGAGGGAAGGCCACTCTTTCTCTGTCCAGCCATCTGCTTACATTTTCTCTCTTAGTCTCCTGGATATGACTCCTGCCCTTTTTTTTTTTAAATTAAGGTATAATTTACATACAGTAAAATTCACTTTTTTAGTGCATTGTTCTGCAGGTGTAACAAATGCATACAGATGTGTAATTGCTAACACAATCAAGATACAGGACAGTCCCATCACCCCAAAAGGTTTCCTTGTGCTGCCCCTTTGTTGTCAGCCCTACCCACTGCTCCCTGGCAACCACTGATCTATGTGCAGTGCCCACAGTTTTGCCCACATCTAAATGGAATCATGGTCTGTAGGCTTTTGAGTCTGGCTTCCTTCATTTTAGCATAATATATTTGAGATGCATCCATGTTGTACATATCAGTGATTTGTTTCTTTTTATAGCTGAGTATTTATGCAAAGATTTTTGTGTGAACATAACTTTTCATTTCATTTGAAAAAAAAAATACCTAAGAGTGAGGTTGCTGGGTCATAGGGCAAGTGCATATTTAACTTGATGAGAAATTGCTGAACTGTTTTCCAAAGTAGCTGGACCATTTCTCATTTCGACCAGGAAAGTATGAGTTCAGTTGTTCTGCATTCTCACCAGTACTTGTTATTTCATTCTTTCTTCTTTTCTTTCCATTTTTAATCTAATTTAACTTCAGCCATTCTAATAGTGTGTGATAGTACTCATTGTTTTAAAAATTTGTATGATAGGTTCTGCAGTTAGGCCTCTGAACCATTGTGAGTTAATTTTGTATATTTTGTGAGGTTTGTTTTTATCATATGAATATTTAATTGTTCTAGCACCACTTTTTTTTACTCATTGCCATACAAGTGAAGATCTATCACGATTTTTTAAAAGACTCCTTTCATGTAATTGCCTTTGTACATTTGTCAAAACTAAAGGTGTGAAATATGATTTGCAAATATTTTCCCCATTCCGTGGGTTGTATTTTCACATTCTTGATGGTGCCCTTTGAAGCACAAAAAGTTTTAAAATTTTGATGAAGTTCAATTTATTTTTTTCTTTTGTTATTTATATGTTTGGTGTGATATATAAGAAATTATTGCCTAATCCAAGGTTATAAAGATTTATCCCTATGTTTTCTTCTAAGGGTTTTATATCTATAGTTCTCATATTTGGGTCTCTGATTCACTTCGAGTGAATTTTTGTGTATAGTATGAGGTAAGGAGTCCAGCTTCATTCTTTTGCATGTAGATATCCAGTTTTCCCAGATTACTTGTTGAAAAGACTGCTCTTCTTCTACTGAATTGTCTTGGTACCCTTGTCAAAAATATAAAGGCTTATTTCTAGATTCTTAAATTCTATTCCATATATCTATATTTCTACCCTTATGCTAGTACCACATTGTTTTAATTACTGTAGCTTTATAGTAAGTCTTGAAATTGAGTAGTATGAGTCTGCTAACTTGATTGGCAATCTTTTTCAAAACTATTTTGGCTATTTTCATTGCTTTGATTGTGATTGTGTTGCATCTGTGTATCAATTTGGGGAAAATTGACATCAGAACGTGGTGTTTTTCTGTACATGGTATATCTCTCCATTTATTAAAGTCTTTTAAAATTTCTTTCATCAGTGTTTCATAGCTTTCAGTGAATAGGTCTTAGATAAAGACCAATTTTAGATTTTTTGTTAGTTTTTTTTTTTTTAGATTTCTACTGAAGTATTTCATGGTTTCTGGTGCTATTTAAATGGTGCACTCAGCCCTCTGTATTCACAGGGCATTGGTTCCAGGACCCCCTGGGGATATCAGAATCCTCAGATGCTTATATAAGTCCCTTATATAAAATGTCATAGTACAGTTGGCCCTCTGTATTTGTGGGTTCTGCATCCACAGATTCAACCAGCCATGGATGGAAAATATGTACAGTTGCCATATCGGAGGGTTTTGATCCAAGGTTGGTTGAACCTACAGATGCAAAACCTGTAGATACAGAGAGCCAACTATACCTTTAAAAATTTTACTTCCAATTGGTATTTACTCATATATAAAAGTAGGTTGCTTTTTGTATATTGATCTTGTATCCTATGACTTTTCTAAACTTGCATATTAATTCTGGTAGTTTTTAAAATTTTTTGAGGTTCTTCTACATAGACAATCATGTCATCTGCAAATAGAGACAGTTTTATTTCTTCCTTTCTAATCTGTGTGTCTTTTGTTTCTTTCTCTTGTCTGATTGCATAGGCTAGGACCTCCAGTGTGATGTTGAATAGGAGTGACGAGAGGGAACAACCTGGCTTTGCTGCTGGTCTTAGAGGAAGGCATTCAGTCTTTCACCATTAAGTTTGATATAATTTAGCTGTAGGTTTGTGTATATGCTATTGATCAGATTAAGGGACTTCCCTTCCATTCCTAAGTTGGTAAGTTTAAAAATTATTAATGTATGTTGCATTTTGCCAAATGATGTTTTAGAAACTGTTGAAATGATCATATAGTTTTTAAATTTTAGTCTATTAATATGGAAAATTACGTTGGTTGCTTTTTGAAGTTGAACTAGCCTTCATTCCTGGGATTAAGCCCATTTGGTCATGTTGTATAGTATTTTCATGATGCACTAGCCTGTCTGAGGCTAGCTCCTCATCTTCTTCTTCCTCCCAGTTTCTCCTGTCTCACTCCTGTTTTTATCACTGAGAACCTTCCTCTCTTTTCACACAGATCTCCTCTAACTAGATCATACTTCAGAATTCCCTGTGGCCTACCCCTCAGCCTTCACTTCCTCATCTCTTCCTCCTTATCCTCTCCCAGTGGTTCCCAGTGACTTCCCAGAGGCCTGTTTTTGGGGTCTCACTTCATAATCACAGCATTGGTTACTACTTCAGGCCATGGTCTATTTCTTCCTGGACTTTCTTCTCCCTGGTCTTAGGGGCTCTTCCTTCTGAGTCAGCTCTGCCCTGAATGGCTCCCAGCCACACGCAGGTCTTTGTTCCCTCATGCTTTGGGCTTCTGTGGCAGCATCTGGACCCGTCTCCCATTCCTGCACTCTTGCCTCTGATGAATCTTCCAGAAGCCGTGGGCTCAAGCAGCCATTCTTTGGTTCAGCAGTCCTTTTGGGGGACACAAACATTCCATCTATAACACTCTTCAAGTAGATTGTAAGTTTCTGAAGAGCAGGGGTCTTTCCTTATGATAAATAGGTTGGCTTTTCCTATGCCATGTGTTTACATAAAATGACAGCAATGGGATGCTAGCGTAGATGGGGTTGGAGTGGAAGGATATGGGAGTTATGAGTCAGCAACAGTAGTCGTCTGAGTCAGTGGAGCTAGAAATCTGAACTTGCCCCTTCCTGGAAGGCACATCCAGGAGACACATGGGGAGCTCAGGGCATTCTTCAGCCAGGAGGGAGTGAGAGCCTGAAATAGGAAAGAGAAAGTCTTCATGGACCGGGGCACACACACCATGGGATGTCTCCAGGGAAAGATGGTACCACATTCAGCAAGGAGCAAGAGCAGGACCATCGCAAAGCTGTGGTGGGCAAAGCCTTCTGGTAGAAAGCAGACCTGAGTCGAGAGCCAAGAGGCCCCTAGAGAAGAGCGTAGGAGTCATCTGCCAGGGCCACTGCCAGGCAGCCGACGTCCCACAGCAAGACTCTTTGGGATCCAAATGGCCAAGTGCCCTCCTTACCCCAGGACTTGGGACTAACACAGGCCTCCTGAGGGCTAAGGGAGCCACAGCAGAAGGTGCAGCGGCTGACCCAGGCTCCTTTTCTGGAGCTGGGACTAAGGAAGTTTTTGGTGGGAGTAACTGAGGTGCAGCTCAAAGCCCCCACAGCCTAGGAGCCGGAGCATCATTGTGTGGCTCTGTTCCATGTGGCCCCAAGTCAAGGACAACAACAGGACCCATGTACTCAGATATCCAGGAGCTCTACCTGCCAAGAGAAATTTTGCCTACACATCACTCACTGGGATCTGAATGTACCGTATAACCTTGCTTTCCGTGTCGTGTTGTATTGTGTTTCATTTTCCCTTAGCTTTTCAGTAAGTATTCCCTTCAAAAGAATTCCAGCTTTGACTTTGCTGACCTGGAGGGTCAGTGGTGTTTTTCCACACACACATCTCAGTTGTTGGGGAGCGGGGGAAATGGCAGGCACTGGCCGGCTGGTGCAGTGGTTGTCAGAGAGCTGGCAACAGAAAGACCAGAAGCCTAGGGAGGAAGGAGTGGAGACCCACTGTGGCCATGGACCCCGACTGGCCAGCCTTGCCCTTTTGTTCCCTAGAGCATTTAGCACAGTGCTGGGGACCTGAGGGGATTCGAGAATCCTTGATTCATCGGAGCTGATCTCTGGGGGAGGGTGGCCCCTTGTCCTGTACTGGACTCTATCACACTTTCAAAAGTGAAATCCCAGCACCCTTGTGGCACCTTCCTTGCAGTGGCCCTCCTGCCCCGAGCACACACACAGCTCTGTCACAGTACATGTAGCCTTTTAATTTCTGGTACTATAGGCATGTTTAGTATGATTATTAGGTGATTCAGTGTCTTTAGAGGACATATCCCATGACAAGCCAGCCAAACTTCTGGCTTTGAGGACATCAGAGAGCCCGATCGATTATGCTCGGCTGCTCACAGTGGTTGGCCGCGTGTGGGGTGCCCTCAGCATTTGTTTGCTAGCGCCAGGTGTGAGTTTGCTGAGACAGGGGCTGAGGGCTTCATGCTTTGGGGCCAGGAAGGTCAGGATCTGAGCTAGGTGTGCTCCTCTCTCCCTCTGCAGCTTGTCTCCAATGTTCTCATTTTCTCCTGCACCAACATCGTGGGTGTCTGCACCCACTATCCGGCTGAGGTCTCCCAGAGACAGGCTTTCCAGGAGACCCGAGAGTGCATCCAGGCGCGGCTCCACTCGCAGCGGGAGAACCAGCAGCAGGTGAGTGAGGCCCCTGCCCTTGCACAGTGGGACGGAGTCGAGCCCTGAGATGTACCTCAGCTGAGTGCCTGGCCTAGGGCGGGCAGTGCTTATTACGGCTGCCAGCCCCACTCCCCGGGAGGGGACCAACCCATGGGGAATGTTTCCCCTGGAGAGAGTCCAGCATTCCAGGCCCTGTGGGAAGTGAGTTCTACCCAGCCCGTGCCCAAGGCCTGGTGCCCATAGCCATGTGGCGTCCCTGTGGTTTGCAAACAAGCCCAGCAGCCAGAGGGTCCCTCTCTCCCTCCCCACACGGCCCCCACTCCTTCCCCACACTGCTCACCACTCCCTCCCCGCACTGCACCCCGCCTTGAGTTGGAGTAAGGAGAGAAGCCAGCATTCCTAACTGGGATTAAGGTGCTCCGCAGGGGAGGGATGAGGGAGAAGAAGAGGAGACAGGAGCTGTCATCCCCTGAAACACCCCACACCTGGCTATTCCCCTCTCTGAGTTCTGGGGTTTGGTGGTTCTGAGAAGGAAGAAAGTCCCATCTCTTCCTAGACCGACTGCCTGGGTCAGGGAAGGCAGGCCATTCCCAGGGCCACAGATTCCTGGTGCAAAGAGGGACCTGCCCTGTGTGCACCACTCTTGGGTGGGGTGGGAGCAGGGCTGAGGGCCACATCAGGGGTCCAGCCCTTCCCTCTTTGGGGGCGGAGTCCTGTTTGGATTCCAGGTCTGGATCCCCACTGTCTCCTCTTCTGTGTGTGAATCAGGTAGGGGTCTGGTGACTCTGAGTCATGGCTCACACATGGGAGGCCTGGGGGGCTGTGTGGCCTAGGGGAGAGAGTGGGCGGGTCTGCAGGGTGATGGGGCTCCCACTAGCTCCTGTGAGATAAGGTTGCTCCAAACCGGAGGCCTTCCCTCCCATCTTAGATTACCATCTCCCCAGACCCTCAGCAAGCATCAGTGGAGCTCATCTAAGTGCCGCATGCTGCGTCAGCCCCCATGGCTGATATGAACATGGAAGGTCTGCCTTTGAGTGTGGGGGACACGGAGAAATGGCCAAGATGGCAGTGGTCACTCATGGCTCCAGGCTGGCACGGAGCACATGCTGTGGCCACCCTGAGTGCAGAATGTTTTAGTACTGTGGGGGGTGTCCTTGATGCCATCTGGTTGCATCCTAAGTGAGTCACAGTGATATGGCTGGTGACATCCAGACAGCCAAACGAGGGGGCAAAGCTCTGTAGTACCTCTCCAGGCCCCCCAGTCCCCACCTGTCTCCACTTCCCTTCCAGCGCTGCCTCGGTGGTCGCCATGTCTTGTCAGGTCTCCACTTAAGCTGACCAGTCCCCAGCCTGGCTCTCCCCATTCACTCTGGCCCTGTCTGAGCTTCTGGTCCAGCATCTTGAAGGAAGCCCTTGCTGGCAGGGTCCCTGGGGTCCTCCCACTGCCCTTTATTAACACATGTACCTCGCCTCTGGCACACTGCACCACACTCACCCCCAGGCCTCAGCATTCCTGAAAAGCCCCTCATCATCCCCATTCCAGGCCTCAGCATCTCTCACCTGAGATCAGGATACCTCCTCCTTCCATTTTTGGGGCTGTGCCTCTCACTTCTCCAGGGGAATTACCATTTTACAGCTTGCCACAGTTTCCTTGCTCTGCCCGGGCCAGTCTGGGCATTCCACCAAATCCACAGGGATTTAGGGGAGAAAATATTTTTGCCATTCCATATTCGGAGCCAATGTGCTGAGGAGGGGAAGCTTTCTGCAGACAGGTGCTTCTCAACCGGCCATAGCCAGCAAGGCGTGCAGAAAGAGCTGCTGGGGCTCCCTGGGGGAAGCTTCTAGGTGCCCTGTGATGAGTGGGCTCAGAATTGTTCCTCAGCGGCCCCCTGCCCACCCCTCCTGGCCCTCAGCCCCAGAGGTGGTTGTAAATGTAGGAGGGCCTCTCATGAAGCCAAACGGTTTGTAGCACGGTCTCTCCCAGTCATCCCACACTGTCTTTTAATTCCTATTTCTATCACCAGTAACTATTTACTGAGAGTTGGCCTTTGGTGGTCGTGTTTCCTGCTGCTTGGGGAGACCAGACCGACCCACAGAGAACACCGCCCTTCACTAATGTGTCAGCTTCTCGAGCATAAGGCTCTGGGCTGTGGCACTGGACAAGACGCAGCTCCGGTCCCCAAGGTGGCCTCTCCTCACACACAGTTAACAGGCCACTGATGTGGCGTTTCAGCGAGTGGGGGAGGGGATGCCAGCAGCCAGAATTGGACCTCCTCCTGGGAAAAGGGAGACCCTGAAGGAGGGTGAGGAGCAGCGGAGGAGGAGGGTGATGCCAGCTGAGGAGCTTGTGCACAACAGCAAGAAAGACCCCAGGAAGTGTGGGGGCCTCTGTGTTCTGCTCTATCTGGAGTGGAGTGTGGATTTCATTTCAGTGCTGCTGGGACAGCAGGTGGAAGGGCAGGGAGGAGTCAGGTCACGGAAACCTCCAGGCCAGGCTGTGGGCGTGGGCTGATCTCAGCAGTGTCAGGAGGCTTAGAAGGCGACATGGTCTGGTGTATTTTAGGAAAAGCAGTTGCTTGCTTGCAGTGGGAAGGATGGACCAGAGGCAGCAAGCTTGGAGACAAGCAAAGTGATCTGGAGGGTACCCTGGTCATCCAGTCTGGCCCTGAAGGTGGCCTGGGCGGCAACAGGCTGAGGTTTGGGTGGAGAGGGTGCTTCAGCAAGGAGAGGAGCAGCAGCCAGTCTGGGGGTGGCAGGAGCGGGCCAGGCAAGCATGAGGCATAGCAAGGGGGTAGGGGGACATGGGCTTTGCTTTGCAGTGGAAAATAAGGAAGAGTGAGTTCAGCGGGTCTGGAAGAACCCATATGTGATGTGGCTGGTGAAACTAGAAAACCTGTGGAGGTGTTGAGCACAGGTAGTGTTTCAGAGAGATCGGGGCTGTGCAGGCGTCAGGGAGGGCAGAGGGAGGCTGTCGGTCCAGGGTGTCGCGACCAGAATCCAAGAGCCAGGCGAGAACTGCATGTGGGCAGTGGAGGAAGGCACAGAACAGAAAGGACAAGTGTGAGAGCTGTTTCCAGATGAGCAGGACTTCGTCAGTGCTGGACAGGTCCTGCGGCTGAGGGGAAAGGAATGAGTGTCAGAGGGAAAGATCTGAAAAGCAAAAGCCACTTACGTGGGCAGGATGTTGGCACTGGTGCAGCAGAATGGGGCTGTCCCAGGCAAAGGCAGGGAAATTGAAAGAAAAGTGATTGGGGAATGACAATGTGGGAAAGCGAGTGTGGTTTGGGTGTGATGTCAGGGTGGTGGTGGCAAGACATCCAGGTGGGCAGCTGGAGGCTGGCAAGCCATGGACGGGAGGTAGGGATGTGGGAAATGGCTGATATAGCCACCTCTATAGTGGGAACCTTGGCCATGGACTTACTCCCAGAGTGCAGGCGTGAATGGGGCGAGGACAGAGGTGGGACGTGCCATGTTTGGGGCCAGGTGGAGGGAGACGAAGCAGAGATGACATAGAAGCAGAAGAATCTCAGGACCATGTGGGAGGGTGACTCTAGCATCTGGTGCAGAGTGAAGGGCAGGAGAATGAGGAGGGCTGGAGGCAGCCAAAATGAAAGGCTGGGGATGAGCGAATGATGTGCACCAGCCTGATAGGGAGCCTGGCAGGGAGGCAGCTGGGCATCTTGGAGAAGGGCAGGCCCGGGAGAGGAGCTCAGAAAGAGAGCATAGTCCAGACTCCGTAACAGGCTGACGTGAGCCTCCGTGATGTGGCCTGCCCCTCCACTTGCTTCTCTCCCACCTCCCCTGCCACTGGTTGTGACATGGTTTCTCTGAGTCAGTTTGCTTTCCCACTCTCCTGGGCCACTGTCCCCCAGGTGGAACTGGAGCACCTCCTCCCCACCCCATCCTTCCAGTCTCCAGGAAGCCGTCTCTGACTACTCCAGTGGAGATCAGGTGTCCCTGCTCAGTGCCCCCATAGTGGCACCCCAGACCCCCATGACACCGGAAGCTTTCTGAAGGAGGAACCTTGCCTGTCTCACTCTTGGTGTTAACTCACTTGGTCCCCAGAATAGTGCCTGGCACATGGTAGGTGCTCAATAAGTATTTGATAACTGATGGAGTGGATCTCATTTAATGCTCTCAACAACTCCATCCTCATTTTACAGACGAGCAACCTGAGGCTCAGAGAAGTTTGGTAACTTGCCCAAGGTCACGCAGAGTCTCAGGGGACATCCAGGATTCTAACCCGAGGTGCTCAGTACTCACAGGTTCACCAGGAGCGCTTTTGCCCGAGAAATGTGGCGAGGGAGGCGGAAGGATTAGCTGGTGTCCCGGGGAGGGGAGATGGGGGACAGGTATCCTGCACACACATACACACACATGCACAGACACACACACACACACACACACACACACTGTTAACCCAGGAGTCCCGGGAGAGCCTGAGAGGTTTTCCAGGGCCCTCAGGCAGGGGCACAGGTGTGGAGGAGCGAGCACTTGCCAGGCAGGTAGAAGGCGTGGTGATGAAAGCATGTGCTTCCCTCTGCAGGAACGGCTCCTGCTGTCTGTCCTTCCCCGTCATGTTGCCATGGAGATGAAAGCAGACATCAACGCCAAGCAGGAGGATATGATGTTCCATAAGATTTACATCCAGAAACATGACAACGTGAGGTAGGGGTGAAGCTGGGGGAGGAGGATGGAAGGGAGGGAGAGCTGGACCCCTGTGGAGACATCCCACTTCCTTTCAAGTGGGCACAGCCCGACAGGGTGGCTTGGTGACTTTGGAGTGTGTCATCTAGAGCATGCCAGCCCCACCCCTCCAGGTGTGTTAAATGAGTGAATTATCATGGTGTCCCATGGAGCTTTTTTGGGGGTGGGGAGAGGGAGGGACAGTGAGGCTGCAGGGAGAGAATAAAAACAGGAGGAGGAGAAAGGAGGAAGCAACACCAGCCGCTTTGGGGAGGAGCTCCTAGCCTACCAAGAGAGATGGAAAGCATAGACTGGGACCCGAATGTCACCACCATCATCTCATCTTCACCACCATCTGGCAGCTTCCATGCCTCCTAAGCCAGTGCGTCCCAGGCACTGGGCCAGGCTCTGCCCACCTTATCACCAGTCCTCCTGACAGCACTGCAAGCCAGCTACCTTTATCAACACACCCGGTTGATAGATGGCTCATGTATGCTATTTACTTCATGTATACTCTATTTGAAATTTTCTGTAATAAAAAGTTTAAAGAAAAAAACACATCACCAAGAAACAACTGGACAAATCCAGAACGTGGGACAGTCTACATTGTGTACTCTTTAAAAAGCCAGTCATGGAGAAAGAAAAAAGGGTGGGGAATGCATTCTAGATTAAAAGACTCAAGGGCTCAAGGTCCCCGAGCCAGCAGTGGTACAGCCAGGCTGCACCCAAGTGGCCGCTCCAGAGCCCACGCTCCTTTCACTGCGTGTTTGCCGCCTCCCTAGACAGAAGCTGCTGACAGCAGGGACGTGCAAACAGATGTAGATTAATAGAGTGCAAAATCTGCTTATGAGTTCCACGGGGACACGAAGCGATACAGTGGCCTTCATCCAGCATGGCTTCCTGGAGAGCCTGATAATCCTCCCATATGCCCAGAAAAGGAGCTGCTGTGTTTGCCTTCCGGAGAGTTCCTTCTCCCCAGGCAAGTTTCCCTAGGACTCACGAGTCCTCTGAGGTTGGTGTAAAGAGGACTCTTTGGAGGCTTGGCCTGCGTTTTCAAGAAAGTGATTAAGTGAAATAGTGCAAATTATCTCTCTCTCTCACACACACACACACATACACACAGAGAGAGAGAGAGAGAGAGAGAGAGAGAGAGAGAAGGTGAGGCTGACAGCAGTAGGGGTGAGGGAAGCACTGTTTTCTTCAGGCAGAATGAGAACTGCCCAGTTCCCAAGTCTGCCCTGGGATCCGAGACTGTGGATCCTGACTGCATGTCTTCCATCTGTCTCTCAAAACTGAGACTCTAAGCCTTTAGGAGAGACATGTATCTGCATAACACATTGGCCCCCAGTTTTGGGGGTCTCCCAACCCCCCATGCTTCTCTGTCAGGTAGGGACAGTGTAGGCAGCAGTCACCTTGGTCTCCCAGGAAGAAGGCTGCCCCTGGCTGAATCTCCACATCCGGGAAGGACCTGAGGGGGTTGCAGCTGAGCCCAGCTCAGGGAAGTGGAGTTGGTGGCCGGACTTCCGGGCTTGAGCCCTTCAGGCAGTGCAGATGTGCCATTTCCCTGCTGCTTCTCCCACCCACCTTGGCCCTCCCATGGTGGAACGATCACTAGCAGTGAGAGGTCACACCTACGCAGAGCTTGCCTGAACCAGCCACCGCCCTACGTGCGTTCATCTACTCACTTAAACCCACAGCAAAGAAGAGGGCTGTACTGTGATTATCTCCATTTTACAGGAGAGAAAACTGAGGCACAGAGGTGAAGTAACTTGTCCTCTCGTTGGTTAAGTGGGAGAAATACCCTGGAACGCTTTCTGGTACTAGTTTTTACCCAGCCTGACTACCAGACAGATGTTTTTACGTGCCCAGGAGAAAGGAGTGTGTCCAAGGAATCTGGGAAGGAGGTCTGGGGAGCCCTCAGGCTAACAGGAGACTCAGAGGAGAGGCAGGAGAGAGATTTGGTTTCCTGTGTGTGTGTGTGTGTGTGTGTGTGTCTGTCTGTCTGTCTGTCTGTCTGTCTGTCTGTCTCTCTGTCTCTGTGACTGAGGAGCCACCAGGGGCCTTTCCTGTCTGATGGCAGTTCTTAAAATCCAGGGGTCTCCCCCTTAGGACATGTGAGGAAACAGACTTCCCTATTAGAACAGATCCCATAGGCTCAGGTTTAAAGTGGGAAGGGGTAGCCCACCAAGTGGTCCCAACATATACGAGCCAAGTCACTGAGCTCCCCCTTCTGGAATTTTCTCTCCTGGTCCTGTCTTTACCACCTCACTGGCCCAGGCATTGTCCCTGGCACCGCATGGACAAAGGTGCTTTCCTTGATTGCTCTCAGCTCCGCAGAGCTTTGTGCAGGTTTCGCTCATTCAGTGGAACACAAAGGAAATCCAGAAAATTTGCTGCTCAGAAGCAGTCTAGCACCTCCAGCACAGCTTCCCAGCCTGCCTCGGCCAACACAGCCGGCTCACCGGCCACCCCTGCGCCTCGGCCCAGTTCTTGCCCTCTCTCACCATCTCTTCTCCCACTCAGCAGGCATCTTCCTATTCCTCGTTCCACGGTGCTGGCTCTTGGGCCCCCAGCCCTCCAGCAAGGGTGTTTGGTCAGAGGGGCTGACTCAGGCCTCTTCTACGGTGACTGCCCTTGGGGTGACTCCTCCCTCTGTCTCTCTCCCATGGAGGCAGTGACTTTGGGTTGATAAAAGAACACTGCCCTAATCACAGAGTGGCCTGCATGTCAGACCCCTGCCACAGTGGGGGTATTTCTCTCTGGGATGTGCCAGGATCAATGACAGCAATCAGGAAAGAGATGAAAGGAGAGAAAAATCAAGATGCTATAATTTTCATGGGGACAGAGACGATTCTGACTCTGACATCGCCAGGGACAGAGGTGGCTGGTACACATCAGAGGCCAACTGCAAGCAATCATATGCAAATGTCCCTCTGGGGCCTCTTTCCCTGTTACATCAGCAGCACTGGTTGTAGCCCTTGGTAGAAACACAGTGCTTGCTCTGGTCTCTGTTTTGGGGTTGAACTTTTGGCTTGGGTTGGTGGTTAAGTAGGAGATGGGGGGTGACATCATAGTTTAAAAACACCCCTTGGGGCTGGGCTCATGGGGCGGGGCACAGTGGTTAGGCCTAGGCGCTGGGGTTAAGCAGTTCTGCACATTGCCCCTACTCTGCTGTTTCCTGGCCATGTGACCAGGACAAGTTACAAGCATTGAGCCACTCTGAACCTCAGTTTCCTCATCTGCGTAATAGGATAGGAAGAGTACCTACTTAATAGGGTTGCAAAGAGTAAATGGAATAATGTGGGGAAAGTGCTTAGCATAGTATCTGGCACATAACAAGTGTTCGGTAATTGTGAGCTGCCATTATTATTGTTACTGTTATTTTTATGATTATGATCACACTCATATCAACAAAGAAAGGCCTGGGGATTCTCTAGTTGGCGAATGGAGGGTGATGAGTCACATTCATCAATTCTCTGCAGAGTTGTAGTATTTAGAGAGGGTGATGACATGCTGTTCTCTAGCCCCACTGAGAGCAAGGCCACAAGAAAAATAAATCAACTCCACAGCATGACAGGCTGGGCCTGGATCTAAGGAAGAGGAAGAGACTGATGGGGGTTTGGGGAAAAGAGTTTGTCTTGGATAGGGCGGGGTGTCAGGCAGGGGCCACCACTGTCCATGGCCTCATTCTCCCCTGGCCCTGAGGAGAATAGTTGTGCAGCACACACCACCCCGGGGCGCAGCCAGGGACTGGCCAAGGAGCCTGTAGGATGTTTTGATGCTGAGCCACCACTGGCCGTGGGCAGACGCAGGCCAGAGGCCAGGGGACCCCTGGAGACCCCGGAGACACTTAGTTGTCTCCCCTGTCTGACGTGTGGTGACAAATGGAAATGTTTCAGCCTTTCTGACGGGGCGGGGGGTCAGCTGGAGCCAGGGCCCATGCTGGGATGTCCACCAGTGGCTTGCAAGCCCTCCTGCCTGTCCTCCCCCACCCCAGATACCAGCACTTGCTGCAGCTGACAGCGCCAGGGCTGGGGGAGCTGTGCCCTCCCCACACCTGGGAGGGACAAGGGCCTCTGGGACATGCCAGCAGAGGCATTCTGGAGGGAGGGACAGCTCCTGGAGCTCTGCCTGGGGAGGGGAGAGCTCAGTCAGCCTCAGCCTTCTCAGCCAGAGAAGGCGCCATACCACGTGGGTCACAGCAAAGGTAGATGCAAACAGACCTCGGCATCAGCAGCTCACCCTTGCCCAGGAGTCAGTGGAAGGGACCAAGATGAGCACCTGTGTTAAGCAGACAGGTCCACACCCAGCTCTGCCGCCTGGTGGCTGTGGGAACTTGGGCAAGGCACCTAATCGGAGCCTCAGTTTCCTCACCTGTAACATGGGGTGGGGATGGTCCTCAACTGTAACATGGGATGGCCATTCACTCATCCATTCAGCTAGTGTGTGAACTCTGCCTCATCAGTGGGGACCACCAGCCACATTGCAGGACACTCAGCTACAGGCGGGCAGTGTGACATGGATTAAAGTACACATCATCACTGGCATCATGAAGCTCATCTTCTGTTAGAGAAGACACTAAGCAATGAATAATTAGTCAGCTGAGTTTATCACATTCTTGTGGGAGCTAGGGTTTAGTGACCAGGGGACACAGACTTCACAGGGTATTAATGTTAGACAACGTACTGCTCTATTGTTCTGTTATCATTGTGATAAAAGGCACAGAGGAGCAGCATCCGTAAGAGGGTGCCCAGCTAGCTAGCCCAGGACTCCTTGCAGGGCTGCTGGGAGCTGAGGTGAGGTAGGGCATGGAAGGTCCCCAGCCCCGCGCAGCGCAGGAGGCTGCAGACTGATTGCCCTTGAGGCAGGGTGGACGACCAGAGAGTCAAGGTCAGGTAACTCAACACCCCAAAGGTTTCAGGGGCCAGAGAACGCCCCAGCCAGGCCTGAGAGGGCTCTGAAGGATTCTCTGCTTTCACAGGAGCTCCTTCTTACTGTGGATGACCCTGCACTGACTGGTCTGTGCCTGAGCTGGAGCCCTGAGGTTTTAAAGGTCGTAGGTGTTGGGTGGGTGAGAGATCATTCCAGACTCTTCTTTGTGTGAAGGGCGAGAAAGCTGTCTCCTCTAGTGGGTGCTGGTCCTTTGCCTAAGAAACATTCCCCGCAGGGCCCCAGGGTTCAGGATGGGGCACGGGTTGGGGGATCTTGGTTCACCAACTTGGATCAGGCACCCGAGTCCTGTGGATCTGCAGCCAGGGTCCCGGCAGAGGGGCTGCCAAGTCTGGTGTGGCAATGAGGTAGTCAGCCCCGCTCCCCACACATCAGGGGTGGGGCAGGGTCTTGGGGAGAGATCCCCTGTCTCCTCAGTCTTTCCCCAACACCTCCCACTTTTAAGGTTATTATCTCCTCTCCTGTCTCCTTCAAGGACTTGGCTGCATTCCCCAGGTTGCTCTGGTGTCTGGCTCTGCTGCAGTGTGGTTCTGAATTATAATGACCACGCGACAATGTCCGAGATACTCAGATACCTGTGGGCGGATTGTGCACCCTGTAGGCAGAGGGTGGAAAATGTTTACCTTCCACTCACACCCTCAGCCAACAGACCACATGAGGAGGGGCCGTGAACATCCTGCATTCCCGTCTCAAACCTGACATGAAGAAAAGTATTCTGGGCCGGCCACGATGGTTCATACTTGTAATCCCAGGCCCAGAATACTGGGAAGCTGAGGCAACAGGATTGCTGGGGCCCAGGAGCCTGAGGTTACAGCGAGCCAAGATCTTGCTGCTGCTACTCCAGCCTGGGCAACAGAGCGAGACCCTGTCTCTATTTTTTTTTAAGTATTCTGAACTCTACTCCCGTACCAGTTATAGATATAAATGGTCTTTATGTTATTATTTTAGTCATTCCACAAACATTTACTGAGCTGCTACTATATACAGCCTGCCAGTATGAAAAAGACACTGTCTCTGCTCCTTAGGGAATATCCAGCCCTCACAGTGAGGGAGTTAAGTGCTATGGGAACAGCAGCTTGACAGCCCAGGGGGCCCTGTTGGTGGAGTCAGTAGGGTTGGGTCTTTAAAAAAAAAAATTAATGGATTATTTTAGTTGTGATAAAAATACATAGCATAAAACTCATCATCTTAGCCATTTTTAAATGTACAGTTCAGTGGCATTAAGTACATTCAAATTGTTGTGCAACCACCATCACCACCGTCCATCTCTGGAACTTTTTTTATTTTCCCAAGCTGAAACGGTATACCCATTAAGCGCTAACTCCCCATCCTCCCTCCCCCAAGCTCCTGGAAACCATCATTCTATTTTCTGTCTCTGTGATTTTGACTACTCTAGGTAGCTCATGTATGTGGAAACATATAGTATTTGTGCTTTTTGTGACTGGCTTATTTCATTTAGCATGATGTCTTCAAGGTTCTTCCATGTTATAGCATGTATCAGGATTTTCTTCCTTTTTAAGGGCTGAATAATACTCCATTATATGAATATACCACATTTTGTGGATCCATACAAAGTGTCCATTGATGGACACTGGGTTGCTTCTACTTTTTGGCTATTGTGAATAGTGCTTCTAGGAACATGGGTGTACAAATATTTTTTTCATATCTGTGCTTTCAATTTTTTTTTTTGAGATGGAGTCTCACTCTGTCACCCAGGCTGGAGTACAGTGGCATGATCTTGGCTCACTGCAACCTCTGCCTCCTGGGTTCAAGCAATTCTCCTGCCTCAGCCTCCCTAGTAGCTGGGATTACAGGTGCACACCACCATGCCTGGCTAATTTTTGTATTTTTAGTAGAGACGGGGTTTCACCATTTTGGCCAGGCTGGTCTCAAACTCCTGACCTCAGGTGATCCGCCTGCCTCAGCCTCCCAAAGTGCTGGGATTACAGAAGTGAGCCACCATGCCTGGCCTGTGCTTTCAGTTTTGGTGGGTGTATATCTAGAATGGCATTGCTGGATCATACGGCGATTCTATCTTTAGCTTTTGGAGGAACTGCCATCCTGTTTTCCAGAGGGGCTGCACCATTTGACCTTCTTCCCAGCAGTGCACAAGGGTTCGAATTCCTCCACATCCTTACCTGGGATTGTGTTCCAACAAAAGACCTCAGTTTGCCTTAATTGGTGGGGACTGGAGCCAGCAGCCAGCAAGAACTTACTATTTTAGCTCTCTGGACTCAAAATGAGGGGCCCTGTGGGAGATAAGAAGGGAGGGAAGACAGAGCAAAGAGGCGCTGACCAGTTGAATTTGCCCGGCTATGTCTTTGAAACAGCTGGAATCAGCTGTTATGTATGATTACGATTCTAATAAAAGTTTAGACATAAGAAGTATTATTCTGGGCTTGGGTAAGTCAAGGAAGACATCATGAAGATGGAAGGGTTAGAATCAGGCCCCAAAAGAAGAATGTGATTTGTTTTTTACCTTTTAAAAAATAAACACTTTTCTTTTTTATTCTACTTTTTTTTTGAAACAAAGTCTCAGTCTGTCACCCAGGCTGGAGTGCAGTGGTGTGATCATGGCTCACAGCAGCCTAGACCTCCTGGGCTCAAACAGTTCTCCCACCTCAGCTCCCAGTAACTCGGACCCCAGGTGCCTGCTGCCACACCTGGCTGATTTTTAAATTTTTTTTGCAGAGACAGGGTCTCACTATGTTGCTTAGACCGGCCTCCGACTCCTGGGCTCAAGTGTTCCTCCTGCCTTGGCCTCCCAAAGTGCTGGGATTATAGGCATGAGCCACTGTGCGTGGCAAAAAATAAACATCTTTATTATGTGAAGAATATATGTTCTTTGTAGAAAAATTGGAAAATAAGAGCAGTATGGAGAAGAAAAAGCACTCATAGACTCCCCCCTGAGGTCACTAACTATTGCTAGGTCTTGCAGTTTCTTCTTCCTTTTGTGTGATTTTCCTTCAGGAAGCATTTCCCTAAATCTTTCTAGACTTTCTAAACAGAATGTCAGTAGGTGCTATGGGGTGTTCCATTGTATGTACAGTAGGGGTAGGATTTGGGTAGGCAGAAACGAGAGGGGTTTGGGTGGGTGGGAGGGGGCCTGCAGGAGGCCCTTAGTCGAATCTAGGACATGCCTCGACCTAGGACCCCTGGACCCAGTCCTGACAGCCCCTTGTCTTGGTTTCCACTTGCTGAAGAAAGGAGTCCTGTTGTCCTTGTGAGAGTGGAGAGAGCACGGTTGTCCCAGGGCAGGCTCTCCCTGTTGGTGGACTTTGTGCAGGCATTCTGTGTCCAGCAGGCTCCCATAGGCCTTTCCCCCTTTCCCTTTCCCAGCCTGTGCCCCTGGATGGGCCTGTGGCTGCTGCCAGTTCACATGCCCCTCTCTCATCTTTTTTGTGCCACTCCTTGGAAAACAGCCCTCTGGTGTCTGACCTCAGCCCAGTGTTAATAAGACCACACCTGATTGTGCTAACTCCCCTAAAGGACATGAGTGACTCCTTGCTCATCTTGTACCTTACTAGGGACATGTGAGCCCAAAGGATTCTTCAGGTTGGATGATGGGGGGCAAATGGAGGGGGCACGCTGCAGGGGACAGCACTCTTGGTCAAAAAGAGACCACTGGCCCATCCAGAGGTGTGGCCACTTCAGCCTCCCCAGCCCACACTGGACACTTCCGGGTACTTCCCCGGCACCTTCAGCTCCCAACTTCCTGGGAGTTGGGCTGAGACCTTGCCATACTCCCTTCCCACCATCCACCACTCAGCACAGTTCTTGATGTGGTCCTGTAGCTCTGACGATGCCAGGGGCTGCAGGAGATCAGAGGAGCTGGTGATTAGCACTACAGGCCCCCCTAGACCACTAGAAAAACTCAGCACCTGGGTGTCCAGGGTGCTGCAGGATGTGCACAGGAGCAGGGCCAGGCTCTGACAGCTTCATAAAGTCATGGGCCTGTTGGCAGCAAGATGGAACAACCACGAGGAAATGCACTTCACCAAAAGTGCACGTGGTTTGGAAAGCTGAGCCAAAGCTGCTGTGGAGGGCTGAAGGGCCTGTTGTGGTAACTGGGACTCTGTCTCCCACTCTTGCCCCTGGAATAGAATGCAGGAGACTGTGAGTGATGGATGGCAGGCAATTAGGGAAGCGTGCACAGCCAGGGTGGCCCTATCCCAGTTCTGTGCACCCGCCATGAGGGCCTGATCCTGTTCCCAAGAGGAGCTCTCAGATGGGAGCTAATAGATGAATTAGCACCTTCCTGCACGTCTGGGCCAGCGCTGAGTTGGGAAATGGCCTTCAGAGTTACTCCGGGGCAGATCAGGAAATCCTGGCCAGCAGAACAGACAGTCTGCTGTAGGGTAAACCTTGTAAAACCCAGGAGCCTGCAGAAGTGACAGTCATTAAGCAGAATCCTCCCCCAAAGCTGCAGAGAAATGTGACTTTGTCTCTGACAGGAGGTGGGGGAATGTGGGGGTGGCAGGATTTATATAAATGTGTGGTGAGGCTTTGGGGGCTTCACAGTCAGGGCCTCAGCAGCAACCTTGCCTGGGTTTCCGCACACCTGGCATAGATGCCTTGCTTTGAGTGGCTCTTTCCTGGTGGGTGGTGACCTGCCCCTCCCTGGTTCCTCAGCAGCTGGCCAGGAAGAGTAGATTCCCAGGAGGCTGCAGGGAGGTGCAGGTTTTCAAAGGCACGTGGAGCTCCTCACATATCAATGTTGTTTCTCATGTCTCCTGGCACACAACCAGAGGCCACTCATGTCCCCATGTCCCTGGTACCTGTTCAGCCACTGGTTCCGTGCATATGGCTGGGAGCGTCTGCTGGGGGACAGGCCGTGGACTTCATGGGCTCCTGTCTCAGGTGACATGCTTGAGACTCCAAGAGGCTTTGTGGGACAGAAAGAAGAGCTCACAATTTGGAGTTACTAGTTGTGTCTCTTGCTTTGGAAACAGGAAAGTTTCCTTCCTTTCAACAAATAAGTATTAGGCACTGTTGTGGGTTGAATTTTATCCCCCTAAAAGAAGATACATTGAACCCCTGGTACCTGTGAATGTAGTTTTATTTGGAAGCAAGATCTTTGCAGATGAAATCAAGTAAAGATGAGGTCATACTGGAGTAGGATGGGCTCCTAATCCAATAGGAATGGTGAACTTGTGAGAAGAGACTGCCTTGTGAAAGCACAGACACACAGGGAGAAGTCCTGGTGAGGACCAAGGCAGAGACTGGAGTGATGCGGCTGCAAGCCCAGGAATGGCGGCTGCCTCCAGAAGCTAGGAATACACAAGGAGAGATTCTGTTGAGTTTCAGCGGGAGCAGGGCCCTACCGACTCCTTGATCTCAGACCTCCAGCTTCCAGAACCACGAGACAATAAAAATCTGTTGTTTTCAGCCACTTGGTTGGTGGTGCTTTGTTACAGCAGCCTGAGGAAACTACCGGGGGCACCTTTCATGTCTGGGTGTTGTGCTGGGTGTCAGGCAGGGTGCAGAGCAGAGGCCAAGGTAGGCATGGCCCGCCGCATCCAGGCCGTCATTCAGCTGCTTGTTTCCTAAGGGCTGGGTCGTAGCCGTGAATCAAGTAGATAAAATCTCTCCCTCAAAGAGTTTACATTTGAGTGAGAAGAGACAGACCGGAGCATAATAATAAACAACAGTAATACACAGCATAGTCAGTGGAGAAAAATATGGTGGAGAAGGGAGATAGACAGATGGGAAGGGTTGTAAATTTAAATGAGGTGGTAGAAGCTTTCTTGAGGCAACCTTTAAACTAGTGTGGTGGTTCTCAACCCTGGCTACATAGTGCAGTCACCAGGGAAGCTGAAAATAAAACAGAAAAAGACAATCAACAGCAGAGCCCACCCCAGACGATTAAGTCAGAATCTCTGGGGCTGGGGGTAGGGGGCCTCTCCAGGTAAGAGCTCCCCAGGTGGTTCTACGAGATGCCTGGTCCCAGGACCATATGGTCTAGTGTGACAAGAGTTGCCATGGAAGAATGCGCTTGCCAAGGTCCAGCAGGGTCATCTGTGGAGAATGAGTTGACCACAGGCCTGGCCATCCAGTGCACGGGTGGGCAGAGGCCTGGCCCACCTGAGTGGCTGGGTCAGCCAGGCAGGCACAGGAGGTTGGAGTGCAGGGGAGCCCCTGGGACCACATGTGTCTGCCTTGTGTGTCTGGGGCGCCCCACCCTCCCTCTTCTCACCTCCTCTGCTCTTCCTGGTGCTGTGTGTTACTCTGCTCGGTGGCAGTCCTACCTCTGCTAGATTAGGGGACTTTTTCCTTCCTACCCCGGGGGCATCTCCAGCCCCCAAAGCCAGGCCTTTGCTGCATAGCCTCAGGCTCGGGGTGGACCAGCCACTGGTCGTGCTGCCTGCCAGCTTTGTGTTTGAAGTACTGGTGTTGGCCAAGGGGATACTCACTGAACATGCTCCTTGACTCATGTGCAGCCAGTCTGGACCCCAGCTTCCCTTGGTTTTGATTTCCTGAGAGATGAAGAAGAATTTCCAGAACAACTATGGAGTGGGTGCTTTCACAAACTGTGGGAGAGACCTCCTCCTTCTCCCTGGGTGGAGGGGGCAGGTGCCTGGGAGGCAGGGAGGCGGAGGGTGGGCCAGGATGGGGTTCTGCAGGCACCCTGCCCCAGGCATGCACACGCCAGCATAGTCTACCTCTGGGCCAGGGTGGTGGGCCCACCAGCCACACCAGATACCGGGCATGAGAGCTTATGGAGAATCCAAATTCCCTTTCATTTTCTGGGCCCATCCCACAGCTGCACACGCTGGAGCAGCTCTCTGCTGTCCTGAGTCCCCTGGCCTGGCAGGATAGGGCCTGTCCTCTCTGCTCCACCTCCTCACCTTTTCTTCTCTCCCTCTCATTTGTTCCATCTCTTGTCCCTGTCCCCATTTCTCCCACTCTGACCTCACTCTTACAGTTGCCTTGGTTGTTCTATTGAAGTGGCCAGAGGAGCCAGGATTTGGGGAAACAGCAGTGGTTGGGGGCTGCCCTCCTGTGCTTCTCCTGGGAGGTGGGACAGCCTGGCTGAAGCCTTGGGATGCACTCCCTGGTGGCCCAACCTGTTTCCACAGGCCCTGTGGAAAAAAAGAGGTTCTCTTCTTGTGAGCTGGTGAGAAGCTGCTGAGAGTGACCCCTCTCAGGGGGGTCCTGTACCTGTCCGGTACCACAGCAGCAGCTCCCAGGGGTCCTCCCACCTCCCTCACAGTGCCAGGGTGTTGGATCATACCTTTACGCATTTAAGATGTCTGTGGGGCCTACAGACAGCATCATCTTGATTGGTTCAACTCCTAAAGTGTGGAGCCAGTGCCTGTGTGGCCTTGGCCAGGTGACTTTTCTGTGTCCTCATTTCCTGACGGGGTGGTTATGAGGTGCGAACGAGTTAATATTTCTGTGAGCTTAAAATAGTGTCTGACTGTTTTAAAATGTACGTTTTATGATGGTGAGGCCAACAGATCGGGAGAGGACTGCTGCTAAGATTGTCACTCACAGTTCCCACGAGGAGGAGACACACCACGCAGAGGCCAAGGGGGAGGCACCAGGGCAGTCAGGAGGCCGAGGGAGCAGGGCCCTTTATTGTGGTTTGTGCAGGAAGGAAGGGTAGCAAGGCAAGTGCTTGGCTGGTTTGAAGAATGTCTTTGCGCTGGCTCGGTATGTAGGGGCTGTCCCAAGTTGCCTGGGACTCCAGTGCCTGTCCCTGGGGTGGCGAGGGCAGGGGTTGTCGTCAGCAGTGGACTCTGGGTTGGTTGGTTTGTGTGTGAAAGGTACACCCTAAGGCAAGTTGTTTACTGTCTCTGGGAATTGGCTTGTCTTGGGAGGCACCAACTCTCGGGAGCCTTGGATGTCAAAGCATGGGAATATAAAGACAGGCTTAGTAAAGAGTACCATGTTCCAGTTAGCTGACAGCAGGGATAAATGAGCAGTATGTGAGGTGTTGGATTTGCTGATTAGCCCAATCAACCATTCCACACTGTGGATACGTGACATCACATCACTTTGTACCCACCCCATAAATATATACAATTATCATTTGTCAATATTTAATTTATTTATTTATTTATTCATTATTATTTGAGACAGTCTAGCTCTGTCACCCAGGCTGGAGTGCAGTGGCACTGTCTCGGCTCACTGCAACCTCCGTCTCCAGAGTTCAAGTGATTCTCCTGCCTCAGCCTCTTGAGTAGCTGAGATTACAGGTGCATGCCACCACGCCCAGCTAATTTTTGTATCTTTAGTAGAAATGGGGTTTTGCCATGTTGGCCAGGCTGGGCTCGAACACCTGACCTCAAGTGGTCCGCCCACTTAAGCCTCCCAAAGTGCTGGGATTACAGGTGTGAGCCCAATATTTGATTTAAAAAGACATGCTTAATGTACCAATACACATTTTTAGAATAAAAGGACAAAATATGTTTAGTTCAACATCAATTTTAAAACTGAAACATGGTTCTGGAGCCTTAGGAGTCCCGAGGTGCCTGGGAAGGAGCACAGACCTTGGAGGAAGAATCCTGCCACGCCGCTGTCTCTGGCTGCTCTGAGACTTGGCTCCCGTCTGTGAAATGGGGACACTGACCCCTCACTTGCAGGGCTTTTGCGCGGACTCAGTGAGATGACATGTTGGAAGCCTCCCGCTTAGCTCCTGGCTGCCAGGAGCATCTCAGTACATGAGAGTTTTTAGATTTTTGTGTCCCTTTTAAGAAAAATAAATTCAGGGGCCCTTACAGATTCTGGTCCTGGGGACTTCCCTTCCCATTTCAAAGGAAAAAGAAAATGTTTTCAACTTAGGGAACACAAGCCACAGGGACGGGTGAAAGATCTATCACCAGCTGGTGCACTGAGGAACTGGGAAGGAGGAATTGGGGGCTTCCAGGGACGCTGACGGGCTGTGTCTTCCTTTCTCCTCCCTGGGTCTCTTTTACTGTGTTTCTTGTAGGGGATAGAGGACTCCCTCAGGATGGAGGGCTTGGGGCTAGAGTCCTTTCTGTGTGGGATTGGGAAGTCAGAGTTTGCAGGGCCATCATTCTGGCCTGAAATGCCTTCCAGAGCAGAGGTATAAAAGGCTTCTCTTCCCCAGGAGCAGGCCCAGTGCCCTCGAGGTGTGCTCAGAGGTCAAACGGGCAGGCCTGAGAGATGACTGGGAGTTGGGGCCTGGCCCCCTGTCCCGCACCCTCCTGAGGCACACACCCAGGCCTCACGCCCCTCCCCTGCCTTCCTCCTGGGCTGGGGGAGGGTGCCGTTAGAGCACAGAAGGAGGATAGCAGCAGAAAGAGGCAGCGTCCTCGGCCCTCCAGTGCCAGGGCCTTTGTCCCCTGCCCAGCAGCCGCGTGGAGCCCCCAGCACTCTTGCTGGCTGGCAGCCCTCTCAGGCCCAGGGAGCTCCAGGCCGGGCCCTGGCCATAAGCCCTGCCTCTCCTCCCTCATGGAAGTCTGTCTTGGTCTGTTCAGGCTGCTCTAAGAGAATACCAAAGAACGGGGGCTTACAGACAACAGCAGTGTATTTCTCACGGTTCTGGAGGCTGGAAGTCTGGGATCAGGGTGCCAGCATGATCAGAGTCTGGCAAGGGCCCTCTTTTGGGTTGCTGACGGCCACCTTCTCATATCGTCACGAAGTGGTGAGCAGAAAGCAAAGAAGCAAGCTCTCTTGTCTCTTCTTATAAGGGCACTAATCCATTCGTGAGGGCTCCACCCTTGTGACCTCATTATCTTTCAAAGGCCCCACCTAATACCATCACATTGGGCATTAGGATTTAATGGAACCAGGTGTGGTGGCTCGTGGCTGTAATCCCAGCACTTTGTGAGGCCAAGGTGGGTGGATTGCTTGAGCCCAGGAGTTTGAGACCTGCCTGGACAACATAGCGAGACCCTGTCTCTACCCAAAAAAAAAAAAAAAGTTAGCCAGGTAGGGTGGCAAACTCTTGTAGTCCCAGCTACTTGGGAGGCTGAGGGGAGAGGATCCCCTGAGCCCAAGAAGTCGAGGCTGCAGTGAGCCTTGATCACACCACTGCACTCCAGCCTGGGCAATAGAGCAAGACCTCTTCTTAAAAAAAAAGAAAAGAAAAAAAAGATGTAATGTATGAATTTGGGAGACACAAAGATTCAGCCTATAGCAGGGTCTTCCTCCTCTGCCTGTCCCCCAGCATCCTGTTTGCTGACATCGAGGGCTTCACCAGCCTGGCGTCCCAGTGCACTGCACAGGAACTGGTCATGACCCTCAACGAGCTCTTCGCCCGCTTTGACAAGCTGGCCGCAGTGAGTCACCCTGAGCCGGGGGTTGGGGTGGCCTGACCTGGGCTGTTGAGGGAGGCTGCTGTGGTCGAGGACCTGCTGAACCCCAGGGATGGGCATGTGCCTGGGTATATCCTGCTGAGCAGAGCCTGCTGGTGATGGGCAGAGGGGACCCTTAGGCTGCGGCTGTGTCCTCACGCCCTGCGTGGGCCCTGGAGACACACTTAGCTGGAGTTGCTTTCAGCACTGTCGCTGACCACAAGCGAGAGTGTAGGGAGCCCTCCATGCCCCCCATCCTTGGAAGCGGGTGGTGAGGCCTGCCGGTCACACTGCCCAAACCCCAGGGGAATAAGCTGTTTGTCTGGGGCATATTAGGGGCCATCAAGCTACATTCCTGATGAGATTGGCCAGACTGATAAGAGAATGAGTCTGAATCCCCAGCTGGCCTGCAGGCGGCTGTGTGCCATTCCCTAGCGGCATCCAGAAAGAGGACTCTTAAACGTTTGGATAAATTGGAAGTAACACTCCATGGCCGGGAGTGGTGAACGACACGTTCATTCCTTAGGCCCCTATTCACCCCTCCATTATCCTTTCCCAGCTCTAGGCCTTTGTAGAGTGATTAAATGTCAGTGGCCACTGACGGGTGGACACATTCCCCTTGGCCCACACAGGACGCCAGGCCGGGTTATTGATGAGAGGCTGGTGCCGTCAGTGCCAGTGCCAGGGCTTCTCTGGGGGCTTCCATGGTGGAGCGCATATACTTACCTGTGGATTTTGTCACTGAACTGAATGAGGTGAATAGCACCTGCTTGTCACTTGGGTCTCAAATGAGTCCAGGCCACAAGGGCACTTGAATCCCTGTTTCTCAACTATCTTTGGGAGCCAGAGTTGGACCGCTCATAATTGATGATTACTGATATTCTATCGCAATCCCACTGACGGATTGGTGGTGGCCTGCAGGTGGCCCTGTGGCACCTGTCACTCAGCAGCAGCTCTGTTGGATTCTTGGCACTCATGTGCTTGCTAGTTGAGCAAAATTCTTTTTTGATAAAAGTCTCAGACAGGCTGAGTCAGTGAGCTTTTGGTTAAAGCTCATTTCTGCCTGCTTCAGTCTTTTTGTAAAAGGAGGAGAATCAGACAACTTTTGATAGAATCTCAAGCAACGAATCAGAGTGACTCCTGGGGTGTGGAGGGGACCAGAGACCCTTGTACTGGGGCTTGGGGCCTTCCTTAAGCTGATAAGGCCACCCTGCTGGCTGAGCTGCAGTTCGACCAGCCAAATTCCTCTTGGGGCTCTGGAGTGGATCTTTAAAAGTGAGCTCCTGAGTCTGGGAGCTGGAATGCCGCTCAGGGCTGCCCAGCCCATCCCTCCATCCCCACAATCCCTCCCTCCCCAATGTCTCCTGATAAGCCTGTCCCAGGACCATGCCGAGTTCCGGCGTGGGCCTGCGCTCACTGCCCTAAAAGGCAAGTTATTCCAGGCACGGGGTGAATCTTTTTGCTTCTCGTTTCTTTCCCTCCCACTTCTCTTTCCTACTATTTTTAATTTGTAAAATTAATTTGCTTTCCAGGAGAATCACTGTTTACGTATTAAGATCCTTGGGGATTGTTATTACTGCGTCTCGGGGCTGCCTGAAGCAAGGGCTGACCACGCCCACTGCTGTGTGGAGATGGGCATGGACATGATCGAGGCCATCTCGTAAGTGTCCACCCCCCGGGTACCGTCTCCCTCCCTGGGACTGTCCACAGCCCGAGCGACTGACTGACCTGCCGGCTGCCTAGTTGGAGGCAGGGAAACAGTGGGGTGAAACTGTCTGCCAAAAGGTGCCCAGCCAAGCTGAGGGTTGGCGTGTGCCACCAGACTTTCTGCCTTCTCCAGGGTTCCTGTTCCCTACAGCAGCCTGGGCAGCTTTTCCCAGAGGAAGTGTGTGGGAGGGGAGGGCTCTGCAGACTCCAGGAGTGGAGGAGAGGCTGGCAGCCATGTGAGGATCCTGTGCCGTGTGAGGCCCTTGCACTTCCGGGGCCTCATGTTTCCTACAGACACCCAGCCAGGCATCGAACTGCTGGTTCCACTTCTTCCCAGATGTGAAAGGTTGGGCTCATAGGGGTTAGACAACTCCCCAGGGTGCTACTACCAGGCAGGCGGATTCAAATGCAGGTGTTCCGCTTAGAGAGAATCACCCTGCCTGTGAGCCATAGCAAAAAGGCACTTTGGCCAATTCATGGCTATCACTGGCCACAGAAGGAGCCCTGGTCATTGAAAAACATGGGTGGTGCAAGCTTATGTGACAGCCAAGGGAGCAAGTCAGAGACTTTGGGCTTTAGAAATAGCTTGGGCAGGGGCAGAGAAAAAAGGCACAGAGGGCAAGGTCAGAGGCGGGAGTGGCTGCCAGGAAGGCAGCCGGGTCCGTTGGTTTGGCTCAGTTCTACTTGCAGCACTTGCCAAGTGTCCCCAGCAAGCCTGAGCTAGACAATCAGTCTCCCCGGAAGCACAGAGCCTTAAGGGAGAGAGACCAGGACTCCTGGTGCTCAGATACAAGGCACGTCATGTGGACACGGCGAGGTAAGGGAGGCAGACTATTGAAGGAGGGCCCAGGAGGGGACAGTTGATTCCACTGAGAGGATCAAGAGAGTTTGCCTGAAGGAGGTGGCCGTGGAGTTAAGCCAAAAAGACAGAATGAGCCATTGTCAAGCTAAGCAAGTATCCAAAGGCACTGTGGATGGAAAGTATTTCAGTGAAGGTATTCTGCTGCAGTGGAGGTATTTACCAAGTTGATTCAGGACAAGAGAAATGATGGGTGACCTCAGTCTCCCCTGCAGTGGGTGTCAGCCTCTTGCTGATGGCGTGGGATGGGGTCAGGGAGTCTCAGTGGTGGTCCCACCCACTGGGGCAAGTCAGACTGCTGGTCCCCTGGCTAGCTGAGTGCGCCCATGCCCCAGGTGTTAGGGAGGGTCTAGGGCCCTAGAAAGTGCAATCTGAGTTCATCCATTACCCTACTTCCTGGCACCTGCACCCTCTCCTGCAGATGCTGGGCAGGTTCCCATGGGCCTCAGACATGCACCTGGAGATGTATGGCTTCCTTCCCAGTCTGCCTCCACTGCTCGCCCAGCATGAGGAGTTATAAGTGCATACGGAGGGCCTGCCCTGTCTACTGGGAGCTCCCAGATATGGATATGTGGTGCATGTGGCCGGGACCAAGCTTTCCTCTAGGGCATGGAGCACCCTAAGCCCCTGCACCTGCCCAGGCTCCCCTTCCCTCCTGAGCAGGCCATACCCTTGAAACCTGGGTAACCAGCTTTTGCCATCACCCTGCTAACATCTTGGAAGCAGCAGTGTGGATAAATCCAATAAAAAGATAATCCAAAAGCCATTTCTGTCTTACCCACAAGAGCATTATACAAATAGGGTTTGGAGTGGTGGTAACTTCCCTGTTTAATTCAAGTCGGCCCTAACGTGCATTTGCATTTTTCCAATCACAATTTAATTGACAGGGCAGTGCTGGCCAGAGGTGCCCTCCTGGAGGGGAAGCAGCAGGGCTCTAGGTTTTAGTGTGGCACCGCGCCACCTTGTGGCCAGGCCGGGAACAGCCCCTTTCACAGCCGACTGCACCTGCCGCCCGCCCCAGTGCCCTTCAGGCTGAACGTTCTTGGACTCTAGGGCTGGATGGGAGAGAGAAGACTCTTTGACCCCCGCACCTTCACCTTCCCTGCACCTGCAGCCTCACCCCCATTCTGTGTGCCTGGCCTCCAGCCTTCTCCCAGCTTTACTCCTGCTCCATCCCCAGGTTGGTCCGGGAGGTGACAGGGGTGAACGTGAACATGCGTGTGGGAATTCACAGCGGGCGAGTACACTGCGGTGTCCTTGGTCTCAGGAAGTGGCAGTTCGACGTCTGGTCTAACGATGTCACGCTAGCCAACCACATGGAGGCTGGCGGCAAGGCAGGGTGAGTGACAGCTGTGGGTGGCTTGGGGCCCCGACCTGGGTTCCCACTCAAGCCCACCCAGGGTGACCATCCTGCAGAGGCGAGGCGGGGCAGGGTGGGGTGGGCAGGATGGGCAGCAAGCACCTGTGGGGGCGCTGGGGTGAGCACAGTGGAAGTAGAAATTCCTCTACTTGCCAAATCACCTGTGCCACCGTTGGCCAGTTGTGGGAGCATTATGTCACCCTTCCCTGAGCCTTGACCCAGAAGATATTGACCCAAACCATGGTGGCTGGTGAGGTGTGATAGACAGAGTTCTGGAGGAGGGAGGAATCACAGATAGTTTCTGGGATGGCTAGACCATAAAGGAGGCAGGACTGGGAGGGGTGAGGAAGGTGGGGTGGGAAGAGCCTGCTGCTAGGCGGAGGGAACACAGCGAGGCAAGGCACAGGTGTGGGGGACACAGCATTTCCAAGGAATGGGAGAAGAGCCGATGGCCTTTTAGGGACGGCTAGGAGAAACAGCGCCTGTGTTCAGAAGGCATGAGTGCCAGGCTCGTGAATTTGGACTCCGTCCTGTCGCGTGCAGGAGCCATTGCTGGCTTCTGAGCAGGAGTGAGAGGCTTGCAAAGTTTGCAAGACTGGAGGCCATGTTGTCTTGGGCAAGCTAATGTAGTGGTCTGTGCCAGGATGTTCAGTGTGAGACAGTGTGGTTGCAGTGGGCATGAGAGCCCACTTGATAGTAATGGAGGGTACCATGCAAGGTTGAGGTTAGGATTTGAGCAGAGCTTGGGGCCCTAGGGTTTGAATTGTGGTGAACCCACTAATTGCAGTTTGGTTTTTCACGGGGGCTGACATTATGACTTTGAGTTTTCTGCCCTCTCCACCCTGATCCCTGCCCCCCTGTAGACGCATCCACATCACCAAGGCTACACTCAACTACCTGAATGGGGACTACGAGGTGGAGCCAGGCTGTGGGGGCGAGCGCAACGCCTACCTCAAGGAGCACAGTATCGAGACCTTCCTCATCCTGCGCTGCACCCAGAAGCGGGTCTGTGGGCTGGGGGCCGGGGGGCTGAGGGGCTCCCTTCCTCCAGGGAGGAACATTTTCGTGACCTGCTGCTTCCTTCTCTTTCCTTGAGTGAAGTCATGAATTTCTTATGCAGTTGCGGTTCCTGCATCTTAAAAAGGACCCCGGCAGTTAGGCCTTGCAAAAAGGATGGTAAAGAGGGAATCTTTTAATAGTGCTTCTTTTGCAAAAATGCAACAGGCCTCAAATCAGTTAGCAACAAGACATCAGAAGTCCACAAGCTGGAAATCAGCATCAAGGGAGTCTGTGGATACCGTATATTTTATCTCCATCTCTCTCCTTTTCATTTGCCTTTTACTGGGGTGGACACTTGCCCTAATCTCTCTCTCTCTGATCCATAGATCGGTGTCCATCTCCACATGTGCCTATGTCTTTGTTTCTTGAACCTATTTTCCCCTTTCCCTTTCTAGTCTGTTTCTTTTTCCCCCTTTGTCTCAGCCCACACTTGCTGAAATATAAAGCTAAATTATTAGCAGACTTCAGTGTTCTATTTTTAATAGTGTCATGTTCCATGCTCTTAATTTTTAAAGCAAATCAAGAGAACATTTTCTATTTCTCCCTAAACTAAAATGCCTTTTACTTATGAGTCTTTCTGTGGAATTTATCTGCCAGTCAGTGCCCTTTGATAGAGAAAAGCTTCCCCATTTCTCTTCCTAAGAAGTGAAACGAAAGACAAAATTAGTCTGTGAGAAGAGTTCAGAGAGTCTTGGATGACAGCAAAGGTGATTTTTAAAGGGAGGCAGGCAGGGCTGTTGAGGGCAGGTGCCCGTGCCAAGAGGGACATCAGAGGGACACCTTATCCTACCATGCAGTACCCCAGGGGACAGATCCTGGCTCGGGGGCCCTTCATGGGAGCTGTGTCAGACCCTCCACAGGCACCAGGAAGAGGGATGGGGGATTCAGGGCCCTGTGGGGACAGCTCCTCATGGTTTCCTTGACACGTTTGTAAGCGTTGGCCAGTTCCTTGGCCATAGTATCAATGAACTGGGTCCTCCAGGCTCTTTACCCACATCTCTCAGTGCCTGGGTCACAAGGCCTCCCGCAGCTTCCTGCCCTAGACCCTGAGTTCCCTGGCTCTTGGTTCTTTTAGCTGGACAAGCGGTCCAAAAAGGATGAAATGGAGACAGAAAGAGTAACAGGCACCCCCACCAGCAATGTCAGCTGAAGCAGGCTGTGTCCCCACCGTCACCTCATCTGACAAGGGAGGGAGTTGAGGGGAGGGTTGCCTCAGGTCTCTAGCTCTCTTGCACCCATTTGGATGGATAGACAGACAGACAGATAGATGAGATCCTGGGGAGTGTGTTGGCCCATAGATAGCTGACTGAGACTCTGTGTATTTGTACAATGCCTGTCAGCTCTTGAATCTCATAACTTCACTGACCCAAACCTCTTTGGAAGTGGCCTCTTGGGCCCCGGGCCGTGTCCTAGTGCCCTCTCTGTTGTAGCATATTTTGGAGAAGTTGAGCAGAGGTTGTGATCCCAGGTCTCCTCTCCCTCCGGTACCCCCTGGGCAACTTCAGATCAGGCCCCACCCACCCTTGAGGCTGTAGCTAGAGCCCTACCCTGGCCTGCCCATGAGCAAAGCCT
This sequence comes from Homo sapiens, assembly GCF_000001405.40. Classification (NCBI taxonomy): domain Eukaryota; kingdom Metazoa; phylum Chordata; class Mammalia; order Primates; family Hominidae; genus Homo; species Homo sapiens. The sequence goes on along the minus strand of NC_000003.12, from coordinate 123,325,991 downwards.
GATGTGACACCACAGCCTGCCAGGGACCAAGTTGGGAGGCTTAGGTATGAGTTGGCCTGGCTGCCTGGGAGACCCAAGCTCAGCCCTCGCTGATCACCCTGCCCCACAGAGTAGGGGGAGGAAGCACAGTGCGGGCAGCTGGGTGCGTCAGCTCAGGCCTTTCGGAGCCTAGGCCATCCAGAGGAGAGAAGGGCACCCAGGATAGAATCTTACAGTCGAACTTACAGGGAGAACTCCTTGCAAATGGCAGATGTTCCCAAGCTCTTTGCTTTCTCACAAGACCAACTCTCATCATCTTTTGCCACTCCCACCTGAGCCAGCCAGGGCTGGCATTAGGGAGTTTGGAGAGATCCAGGATGCTTGCCTGGGGAGTTCCAGGATCTGGGCCGAGCTCTGGCTCCAGGGCTGTGCAGAGAGGAAAGGGCAGCTGCCTTAGCCCCTTACCTGGCCAGGTACGATGTTTGGGGAAGGGTGAGGAGCCCTCCGCTTGGACTCCTCATCTCCCCCCATCTCTGTGTTCGTCTTCCAGAAAGAAGAGAAGGCCATGATCGCCAAGATGAACCGCCAGAGAACCAACTCCATCGGGCACAACCCACCACACTGGGGGGCTGAGCGCCCCTTCTACAACCACCTGGGTGGCAACCAGGTGTCCAAGGAGATGAAGCGGATGGTGAGTGGCTGGTGGGGCAGCCTGTGGGCAACACTCTCCAAGGCTAGGGCCTTCTGTGGGCATGAGGCCCGCACCAGATGCCTCGTGTTGCCCAAGGGAATCTGGGGAGCCACACAAGCAAATACAAGTGCGGTTTGCCCCAACTTTGGACTAGGAGTAGGGCACCTGCTTCTGGCCCCAAGCTCTCCCCACCACCCCGTGGCATGCCTCATTAGGCTTTGGAACAGACTGGCAGCACCCCTTCCTCCCTCCCTCTTGGCAGAGCTTGCGGCACAGCCTGGAAGCAGGCATGTCTGGCTAGACTCGGCCAGCCACAGCCTCCAGCTGTCTCTTGGCACTGTCTGGTGAGGCCCCAGGGAGTTGGGTGGGCACCAGCTTGTCATACCCTCTTCCAGCACCTCCTGCATTTCTCAGGCAAGTGAAACCACATCTTTTGGTTCAGTTGCTCAGAAACTATCCTAGTGCTTTCTGGGAAGTGCCAGGTGGTGGTCCCCTTTGCCCTCTGTGCTGAGAAAGACCCCCCACTAATGCCAGCCTTCCAGTGGGAGCATGTGGGCTGAGCAAGTCGGGGAGGCCATGGTCGGGTGTCAGCTCCACCTCCAGGGACCCTGCCTACACACACCGGGACAGGTGAATTCAGGATGTGCTGCCTGGGCTCTGGCAGCAATGACAGGAAGATGGATTCCTGGTGGGAAGAGGAGGAAGAAGCCACGTTACTGCAGTGGTGTTTCCTCTCCTACTGTCTGAGAGGTTGGCTTCTGCCCCTCAGGCATGCTGCTCAGCTCGGGGGCACCAGGTTCCCAGGTGGGAGTCACCCATACCAAGGAAGGGCCGAGGGATGGCACAGGGACTGTGTGTGTGTGTGTGTGTGTGTGTGTGTGTGTGTGTGTGTGTGTGTGTGTGTGTGTGTGTGTGTGGTTTCTGTGTGGCCACTTAGTGAAGGAGGGGCATGTTGCACAAGTAGCTCCAAGTTTGGGCTCTGTGGAGCAGACTGGGTTGAGGTTGTGGCAGAAGGGATCAGAGACGGACTCCCTGGAAATCCAGCAGGGTCAGCAGACAAGAGCCAGGAGCCTGGAGAAGGGGACATGCTGGGGACCCAGTCGCTCTGCTCCTTGTTAGCCAACATGTAGCAGATGATACGAGCTTAAGGAAAATGTACAGGAGGGAAAGTGAATTGAGCCAAGACCCCCATTTAACATTCTGACAGTAGAGACACCTCTTGGCCCTGGGTTACCAGACAGCAGAGTGGAGAAACCTGGCCTTCCCCAGGGCTCCAAACTTGAATGTCCACAGACCTGGTCAGTGCCACTAAGGGCTCCAGCCACCACCCTCCCTCCCCTGAGCAAAGAGCAGTTGGCCACCCTCCCCATTGCCACCCCAGCCCTTTGATAGTCTCCTGCAGACTCTGTACCCACATGATCAGGGCAGTCAAGAGTTCAGGACTAGCCTGGACAGCATAGTGAGACCCTGTCTCTATAAACAATAAAAAGGAAAACTAGCTAGGCATAGTGGCATGCTCCTTCAGTCCTAGCTACTCGGGAGGCTGAGGCAGGAGGATCACTTGAGCCCAGGAGGTTGAGGTTGCAGTGAGCCATGATCACGCCACTGCACTCCAGCCTGGGGGACAGAGCGAGACCGTATCTCAAAAATAAAAATAAAAATAAGGGAGAAAGGGGGAAAGGGGGAAGGACTGAGAGCAGGGACAGCAAAGGGGCAGGAGAGCCGAGAGAGAGGAGGCATTGAGCAGGAAGTGGAGGGGAAGCTGGGGAGTAGGGCAGGGAGATGGGGAGGAGGGGAAGGCAGAGAGGTGGCCAGGGAAGAGCAGGGAACAACCAGCAGGGAGGCAGGGCCTGGTGGTGAGAGATTCTTTCTGTTCAGAATCCTTGGAAAGTTATTTTTTAGTGATATTTGATATAAGCTATATCTTTAGTTATTTTGGAGTCTTAAAGGAGATAGTTTGGACTATAAGCACTGTGTTGGCAGATATATTACTCATCATTAGGACAAGGAATTTTGGAAGAATTTGCAGTCAGGACTGTCATGGGGAAGGGACAGTCTCTGGAGAAGGAGGCTGCCAGGAAGTCTCCTCCACAGCGTTCATCGCTTTGCCCAGCAGGGAGGGGAAGGAGTGTGGAAGAACAGGGCTGTGGGAACAGAGGCTCCTGTCCTGGCTGGGCCTGGTGTCCCCTGAGGGGGCTGCCATCAATGGACAGCCTCTGGGACCCACTCCAGCGTGGCCCGTGGGAATATCTAGGCTGGGGATGAAGACAGGTTCCTCAGTGCCGCGAGGGCCATTGGGCTTTCCATGCTAACGTGCCTGGAATGTTGGAGAGAGATCCATGGAAGGCGAGCTTTCACCCTGAGCTGCCCACGCTGGATGAGTTTTATGAGAAACAGTCCACTGAAGCAGGGATGGGGGGCTGGGAGCGCGAAGTAGTGAGTGAGAGCTGTTAGAAGGTTTGAAGTCGGAGTCAGCAGTGCCTTTTAAATCTTTTTCCAGCTTTTACCCAGCTTTTAAAAGTGATGAGCCGTGCTGGTTGATGCTTAGGCACTAGTGTCATAAGGTCTTTAAGGTTATTTATTAATAAAAAGGTTGCCAGTGGGAAGACACGTGTGGGCTTGAGCTCCTCTCACCAAACCCAGGAATAGCCGGTAGGGTGGGGCCCAGGTGCTGCAGGAGGGAGTGTAGGCAGACTGGGAGAGGCCAAGTAGCCGCTGTCCTAGAACTGTTAGAGTAAGTAGGTGGCGGGATTTGAGCCCAGTCGGCTCTGTTGTGTTTTAATGGCCCCCCTGCCATGGTTTGTGTACCAGTATATTTTCTGTACTGTTACCAACTCGCCATGCCGACCTGGCGCTGAGCTCTCCACACCAACATGGCAAGCAGTGTGGTTAGGATGGTCCCAGCCCCCTACTCAGCACAGGAAGAAAAAATGGGTCCCATGCACCAGCCTCAGCAGGTGACCAAAGGAGCATCGGGAAAGGTCAGAACAGGCTTATTCACAACATTTCGGCCTATTTTTGAACCATAGAGACCAGCATATATGTAATATAGCTCAGTTCTTCTCGGTTCCGTAGTAAAATTTTTGCCGGCTCCTGGGATGGAATTGAGTGGGCCAACCCCTCGCAGGGGGTCTTCCACAGGGAGCTCGCCTGTCCAGCTCTCTGCTGCCCGCCACGCCTGTGCTCCAAGGGATCCTGGGAGCATCAGGCACGGGCCTGCCCCCCAGAGGGAGAGCTCACTTGAGTGACATCTATGCCTCCAGCCCAGGGCTGGGATGGTGACGTGGGACCACTTTACAGCCTGGAGGGAGGGCCTGGCCATTCTCAGAGGACAAGGAGAAGGGTGCAGTTTGCCTAGGCAGACAACTGCCAGGCCATCCTGGGCCGGTGCTGGCAGCCCGGGAGGAGCTCAGAGCCTATAGTTGGTCACTTGGAGGTGACTCCAGAGGCTGCTGAGGCTCCCTGGAGCCCTCAGCTGGGGGTAGAGCCTCTGTACCACCAGGGCCCCATGTCTATTTTAGTGCCTGGTGGCCCTGGCTCATGGAGAGGAACATAAATCCCTCTTTTTGTATTTTCAAACCGTGTCCTCATTGGGAATGAAGAGTGGTGTGTTCATTTGGATTTTGGGTTCACCCAGTGTTTGCCGAACTCTGTTTGCCCAGCAGAGTGCTCCACACTGCCAGGGAAGGGGCATCCTCTGTCCTAGTCCTGGCATCCTGAGGCTAATCTAAACAGCAAGTCCTGGGGCTACTTGTCACCTTCCGCACCACCTCTGAGATTCCACCCCTCCCCACAGTGGGGAAGCCTCCATTCTGCCACCACTGCTGAGACCCCGACACACATCTCTCCCTTTGCGGAATTCATAGATTCAAGAGGGCTTTGAGTTTGACAGCCGGTAAGGGCCCTTCCCACCCTCAACTCTGATAGAACAGCAGTCAGATCTGTGGCAGGTGGGTTCCTTACCCTCTGAGTCCCCAAACAACCGTGGCCTTACAAGAAAGCATTGATTTTCAGTTACTGAAACAGCTGTTGCAGGTAACTAGAGTGTAGTTTTTTTAAGTGCAAAATGTGCGAACTCCTGGGGATTTTATGTGTGCTCGGTGTGATGTACACAAGGAGGTGAGTGTGCATGAGTGTGTCCGTGTGACAGAGATTGTGCAGCCCAGCAATTCCCGATTTCCATCTGAGTAAGAGGCAGGATTGAGAGGGGACCCTCTGAGCCCAGGGTGCAGGAGGATGGCGAGGAGAGATTTAGGAAAGGAGTTGAGCATGGGGGCAGGAAGAGCTTAGACACATGGATTGTGCCGGTGGATGAAGTGAAATCTCAGGGCATCCCCGGCGTCTAGCACAGCACCTGTCTCTTAGGGAGAACCCAGCTGTATTCTCCAAGTGAAGGAAGGAAGGAAAGGAGCTGCTGAATGACAATCCTCTCTATGTCCACGTCCTTTGGGAGACTGTAGAGATGAGCTGCAGCCATCTAGACGCCTCTGAGCTTTCAGTTCTCTCTGTTCTCATTCTCTTCTCTTTCTCTTTCTATCCTTCTCTTCTAGGGCTTTGAAGACCCCAAGGACAAGTGAGTAATATGCCCTTCCTTATTCCTGCTCCCTGGGTCTGGGGGATATCTCCCAATCCACCTTATCACTTGGTTTCTCCACACTCCATGGAAAATGACTCCTCTTGCAGTCTTAGCTGAGAGTGAATGGAGCCCACCCTAGCCGTCAGGTGGTCAGCAGCAGCCCCAGACAGGCCAGGGCAGCCCAGAAGCCCAGGCCACCCAGCAGAAGGACAGAGCCTCAGCACTGCCCATTTTATCTCCGTGACACGCTTGTGCACGTGTGCACACATGGCTCCCTCAGGAAAGTGCAGACCTTACACACTGGTCAGCAGTGCCTGGCATCCAGTGCCCCGAGGCAATGCCCTCTTCTCCCTCCTTCACTTCTGGTTCTCAGGACTGTCAGAAATTCCACTCCAGGACTGGGCTCCACCCTGAGAAACAGGGTGTTGAAGGTCAGCACTCCAAGTCTATGAAACCTGCTTCTCAAGAGTGCCCTGAGCTGGGTGAAAGAAACCAGGTGGGCCACAGTCCCTGTGGCAGAAACTGGCAGAAACTCTCACTGCCTGATCTAGGGCTTCTTTTCAGAAGGATAGAGCTAGAGGGTAAAGAGCAGAGCCTGTTAGCTGTAGGGAAAGTCCAACTAAACTGTCAATGGTAGCTCACATTGTTATGCTAATATAATATGTTAACAGAGTCAGAAAAGCCTGTCAGCAAGGCCCTTCAGCCCGAAGGGGACTGAGACTTGGTCAGTTGTCTGTTCATCTGTGCAGTTGTTAAGAGCACGGCTTAGGCTTCTGGTCTCAGTCTCAGCTCCCGCTGCCCTGATTGGGCTGATGGTGGACAGCTGCCAGGCCTCTCCGAGAGTCTGGGGGGATGGTCGGAAGAGCCAGCCCTCTGCTGGTGCCCCTGTGGTCAGCCTGTCTCACGCCCGTGCCTTCTGCTCCCCAGGAACGCCCAGGAGAGTGCGAACCCTGAGGATGAAGTGGATGAGTTTCTGGGCCGTGCCATTGACGCCAGGAGCATTGATAGGCTTCGGTCTGAGCACGTCCGCAAGTTCCTCCTGACCTTCAGGGAGCCTGACTTAGAGAAGAAGGTACAGCACCCTGGGTGGGAAGGAGGCCCCTGTGCTGAACCAGGACCAGGAGGAGGAGGGCAAGAAAACAGGAGGGCTCCCTCATGCCCCCAGCACCACGGAAGGGGTGGCCTCAGTTTCCCCAGCTCTGATGCTGCACTACCTAGAGAGATGCGAGTTCTAGGGAGGCTTCCCTGGTTGGAAGGGATACACCTTGACTTCTCTGTGCCTTCGTTTCATTATCTGGAAAATGGGGACAGTTAACATTCCCACTTCGTAGGGTCATAGTGAGGATGAAATGAGTTTCTTTTTTTTTTTCTTTTTTCATTTTTTTTTTTTTTGAGACGGAGTTTCACTCTGTTGGCCAGGCTGGAGTCCAGTGGCTTGATCTTGGCTCACTGCAACCTCCTCCCCCGAGGTTCAAGTGATTCTCCTGCCTCAGCCTCCTGTGTAGCTGGGATTATAGGCGCCCGCCACCACTCCCAGCTAATTTTTGTATTTTTAGTAGAGATGGGGTTTCACCATGTTGGACAGGCTGATCTTGAACTCCTGACCTCAGGTGATCCACCCGCCTCGGTCTCCCAAAATGCTAGGATTACAGGTGTGAGCCACCATGCCCAGCAGTTTCTATGTATGAAACAGTATCTGTCGCATAGTAGGCGTTCGGTGCATATTAGTTGCTATTTGCATTATTGTTATTATCATTGTCAATGGACAGCCCAACTGCTTTGTCACATTGGGACCTCAAGGTGTTAAAGTTGGCAGGGACAGTCAAGATCTCTCTGTTGCATTTCTTCACATTGTGAATGAGAAAGCTAAAGCCCAGAGTGGTTGGGGGACCTGCTTTCGGCCCCCCAGTGAAGTAGTGACAGAGCTGGAGTCAGACCCTGGTCCAGTCAGTTCTCTTTGGACTTTGTGGCAGCATCTCCCCAGGGTTCAGTTAAAATGGACTTGTGGTATGCTCATCAGCATTAAACCAGGCAAGCAAACTGAATTAGCAAGGTGAAGCTGTGGAAAGGGACCAGCAGTATATGGACCTGACTTGGGTGTTACTCTGGGTGACTGTGCCAGCCCAACCTCCATCAGTGTGGCTGCTTGGTATCATGGGCGGAGCTGGGGCTGGGAGCCTCAGATGTGACTTTGGACAAGTCATGTGAGCTCTCTGAGGCCCAGCTTGCTCATCTCTGAAGAAGAAATGACAGCAGTTTTATTCCGACTTCTTGGGCTGTTGTGGGGGTGCTGGATGATGCCTGTAGACACCTGGCATGTTTCCTAGCGTGTAGATGGCATGCAGTCATGTACAGCCATGATCATTATGGATTACTCTGAAGGTGACCCACCTGCAGAAGGTTTCAGGTCTGTCTCAACTGCCCTCTCCATAGGCACTACCTTCTGGTGATCTGGACTGGTTTCCTGGGGTCTAAGTTTGACTCTGGTTCTCGAGTCTTCCCTGTTGTGGGAGTGGGCTGCACAGGTGACCAGCCATGAGTGGCTTCCCTGGGTGTGTGGGATTGACAGGGCTGGAGCAGACCGGGCCAGGTACCTTGGCCCCTCTCACCCTGCCCGTCTCCTCTCAGTACTCCAAGCAGGTAGACGACCGATTTGGTGCCTATGTGGCGTGTGCCTCGCTCGTCTTCCTCTTCATCTGCTTTGTCCAGATCACCATCGTGCCCCAGTGAGTATCCCCGTCCCTCTTGGGCTCCTTCCTCTGGCTGCAGGGAATCCCAGGAGTGGGAGGGGGTGGTCATTTAGGAGAACAGAGCAGGGAGTCTGGCCTGCACTTGCTCAGGCACGGAGAGAAGTTTCTGAGTGTGCCCTTGGTGGGGTAGGAAGCCAGGGGTCTGACCTCTCTGGGCGGGAAGGTGATGTGCTCATTCCAGGGTGGGCAACTCTCACTAGGCGCTGCACAGCTGCATGAAAGATGCTTCTTTTTTTTTTTTTTTTGGGTCGGCGTGGTGGGGACACAGCGTCTCGCTCTGTTGCCCAGGCTGGAGTGCAGAGGCATGATCTTGGCTCACTGCAACTTCTGCCTCCCAAGTTCAAGCAATTCTCCTGCCTCAGCCTCCTGAGTAGCTGGGAATACAGGTGCCTACCACCACGCCTGGCTAGTTTTTTGTATTTTAGTAGAGACGGGGTTTCACCATGTTGCCCAGGCTGGTCTCAAACTCCCAAGCTCAGGCAATCCACCCGCCTTGGCCTCCCAAAGTGCTAGGATTACAGGCGTGAGCCACCACGCCTGGTCAAGAGACGCCTTTTTATCACTTAATTGTCTCGTCCCATTAACCCACCCCATCACTGACAATTGAGTCACCCAAAGTATTCCCTGGGCTGCTTTCTGTTAGTTCTTGAAAAAAAAAAAAAAATCTTCAAAAGATGCAGGTTTTCTACTACTGTGGATATTTCTAAGAATGGATTTCAAGTTCTGGAGGTATTTCACAAAGAGGTGTTTCTGAACTCTTCTGAGGACTGGCTGTGTCTCCGACAAAGCCTATGGCTTCTATGGGGAGTACTTTGAAGTATGCAGTGGGCTTTTGGAAATGAGGTTGAGGTGTTTGTTAAATTGTCATTCACATTAGAGTCTCGCTTGGGAGAGAAACATAAGTGCCTTATGTATGTACACCCATGCACACACACCTATACATATACACACACACACACACATACATATACGTATATGTATAAATACATATTTTTACTTTTTATTATGTAATTCCTCAAATGCACAGAAAAGTAAGTAATCTAATCAGTACCCATCCCCTAGATAGAACAACTGTTAATATTTTGCAGTGTTTTTTTCATCTATTTTTATTCTGATTTTTTAAAAGTAAATTTAGACAAAGACATTTACCCCTAAAAACCTCAATATATACTTAAGGACATTTTCCTCCTTAACCCCAATACTTTATATACCAAAAAAATTAACATCAAATCCCTACTATCATCTACTACCCAGTCCATATTGAAACTTCCCAAACTGTCCCCCAAAATGTCTTCTACTTTTAGTTTATTTGTAGCCAGGGTCTACTCAAAATCCACTGATTGCATTTGGTTAAATCTTCTAAGCCATGCTTCATCTAAAGAGTCCCCGAAGCCAGTACCTTCTGTTTTTCATGTTGAAATAATGGTATTTGAGCAGTTACAAAAGTAGCCGAGAGGGATTCTGTGCATCCTGCATCCAGTTTCCCCGAATGTTGACAACTTCCGTAACTGTATATAATGATCAAAACCGGGAAATTAACACTAAAATGATACTATTAACTCATCTACTGACCTTATTCTAATTCGTCATTTTCCCCTCACTATCCAGTTTGTGTTCCCGGAGCCAGTTCAGGATCCCATGTCGCATGTAGTTGATTCATGTCCTCAGTCCCCTCCCATCTGTGATAGTTCCTCAGCCTTTGCTTGTCTTTCATGACCTTGGCACTTTTGAGGAGTACTGGCCAATTAATTTGTAGTTTCAATTTGGGTGTGTCTGATGTTTTTTCATGATTAGGTTGGGGGGGGTCTACATTTTGATAAGGCTCCCACTGAAGTGATGATGTGTCCTTCTCCATGTACCATAGCAGGAGGTACATGGTGTCAAAATGTATTTTATTTTTAATGGCATTATTAAAAGAATGAAAATATCCCCCTTACATTTGTATCTGTCATGACTCTGTTGGATGCCACAGGTGAAAATCAGGCACTGGCAGCCAGCTCCACCCTGGTTGACCCCTGCACTGAGGCTGTGCAGAGCTGGGGTCCTTGTTGGCATAAAACCCCATCTTTCTGTACTGATGTGGACGCACAAGTATCAAGAAGCAACCTGGAGGCCAGGTGCAGTGGCTCACGTCTGTAATCCCAGCGCTTTGGGAGGCCAAGGGAGGTGGATCACTTGAGGCCAGGAGTTCAAGACCAGCCTGGCCAACACAGCAGAAATGCAAAAAATCAGCCGGGCGTGGTGACGCAAAAATCAGCTAGGTATGGTGGTGCACACCTGTAATGCCAGCTACTCGGGAAGCTGAGGCGGGAGAATCACTTGAAGCTGGGAGGCAGAGATTGCAGTGAGCCGAGATCACACCACTGCCCTCCAGCCTGGGCAACAAAGCGAGACTCTGTCTCAAAAAAAAAAGAGCAATCTGGTTTTTCATCCCATTGCAACTGACAGTCCCTGTAGCTTGAGTGCATAGTCCTGCCTCTTTGCTGCTTTTCCTTCTCTGCAGCGGCTTGGGGGCTGGGTCATCTCAGTTACCTGCCCTGCCTGCAACTGCTTCATTCCCTCCTCTGGCCACAGCTCCAAGTGGCTTAGACATTGGCAGAGGTCATTCTCTAGCCACCTCCTCTCTAGGAAAGCCTTAAAAGCCACTCTGAAGATCTTTCTTTTCCCCTGAAGAGAATTCGTTTCCCTTGTTCCGTTTGTTGAAGGCAGCTAAGTGCCGGGCTTTTGTGGAGGCCTGGAACAAAGACGCTGTTTGAATCCTCCCTAGAGGTGTTCACCTGCCTCTCACGCCCCCCACGGGCTTTTAACCCCATAACAACACCTGGCCTCGTCAGGCCACTCTTCCTCCCTTGAAAGGCCACCTGGTGGTATGGTGGGGTGTGTTGTCCCTGGGCCAGCCCTTGCCCCAGGAGGGCCAATGGGAAGTTCCAGATGGAAAGTCACTTACAGCTCTTTTGTCTGAGGGTGGCCACCCGTGGTGGCTGTGAAGGTCACCTGTGATCTGCACCTGAAGGAGGGGCAGAGGGAAATCCTTGCATTTTGCTTGTTGAACTGGCTAGGAATCGAGGAGCAAAAACTGCGGGACTTGTTGTGGGACCTGGCGGTGGAAAGGGGGTGGCGCTTAGAGATTCTGCCCTTCTAAAGAGACAGCCACCCTTGTTTCTCAAAGAGTGGCTGGCTGTGCTGCTGACATAGGCATTTCTAGAAATGAAGGCTACTGATCCAATCAGTTTTCAGCCTTCACAGTTATTTATGGAGCTGTGAGTGACGACTTGGAGGGAGTAACCAGGTGGTTCTTCCAAGCTAAATGAAGCACATCAGTGAATAGCTGAGAATTAGGCAAAATACCTATCAGGTGTCACCTGGTTCTCCATTCAGCTTCCTGTGGGCTGCTGTCTCCACCGGAAGGGGAGGGAACCATACCCTTACGGTTCCAGAATCCACCTGCAAGGCCGTGTAAGCCCTACTCAGGGAGTCAGTGCAAAAGGCTGGGCAGTGGATTAGGGGAGGTGGAGCAACTTCAGGTTCCCTCTCTGGATTTCAGAGCCCAGGCCCTCTGAAGCTGTGAGGATGGGCACGGGGGACCTGTGGCCTGCTTGCCAGGCAGGTCCCCCAGAAGCTGCAGCCCTGCCACCTGAGCCTGGCTTCTCCCTCCCCTCCTCTCTCCTTCCAGCTCCATATTCATGCTCAGCTTCTACCTGACCTGTTCCCTGCTGCTGACCTTGGTGGTGTTTGTGTCTGTGATCTACTCCTGCGTAAAGGTGAGTGTAGCTGACAGCTGGGTTGCAGCCACCTTCTTCCCGCTTCTCTCAGCCCTAGGGGCCCTACCCAGGGGCCCAAAATGTGAAGGGGCCCGAGTATTGTGCTTGGCAGGGGTGGGAGAGTGCCTGATGCCAGCCACACCTCTCCAATGGCATTGGCAGCAAGCTCGCCTGGAGTCTGGCAAATGGTCAGTGGGAGCCTGTTCTTCACTGGCTGTTTTAACTTGCCCTTGGCAAATCTCTGCAACCAGAAGATGCTGTGGGTGCTGTGCCTATTCATGTTATGCACAAGGAAGGAAGGGCACCGAGCACCAAGTCTGTCACAGAGCAGTGCCCAGTGAATATTTGCTGAGAGAATGGGTGTGGAGGAGGTCTCTCTCGACACCCGCTTTGGTGCTCCCATGTGCTCTGGGATTTTCCCTGGAGGGGACCTCAGAGATTATAGGTCTTGAGCCACCCAGCACATAGATGAGGAGTGTGTTTTGGTGTTTTCAAGCAGGTCATGCAGCCAGCTGGTGTTGGCAGCAGAAATGTGGCTCTTGTTCTGAGTTTTTCTCCCATATCTCTTAGGTGTGCTGTGTCCCCTGTCCAGCCGTGTCCCTCAATGCGACCTGGCTCTGGGTCACTCTGGTCTGTGGTAGAAACCACTTATGTTCCTGTTTGCCCTGCCCATCAGGCCTTTCCCTCAGTTTCTTCACTAGTGGTTTCAGAAATCCCTGACGCACCAGCCTGGCCTCCGGGAAGCACTCATCCCTGGGACAGATCTGTGCCTCTCCCACATCTGCTGAGCCTCTCCGACTCCTCCCTGACGCTCACTAGGAGCCAAGCCTCTGGGGTGGGCGGTGGGGCCCCCTGGAAGCTGCACCCTCTTCTGCAGTGAGCACCATGTCTTCCTTCTGGAGGAATTGGACCTTCATCCCCTCCAAAGTCCCCTTTCTCTCTCCACCCTCCAGAGAGGGCCCTTATTAGTCTGTTAACCGTATAGTCACGTCATGGTCAAGGTCTTGGTGGACTGATTGTCAGAACTGGAAGGGACCTTAGGAATCACCTGGTGTGGTTCACCTCCCCTGGCAGGTGCAGAGGTGGACAGCCAGAGAGGGCAGGGTCAGCCAGAGCCATTGGGCACGTGTGAGAAGCACGCCACGCTGAGCCGCGTGCTCCATCCGTTGCTAGTATTGTAGCATCTGATAGGCTGCATCGTAGGGCTTAACGTTAGCTGGTTCCCTGCCTGTCCACTGACCCTCCTTCCTCAAGGCCACAGCCTCCCTCCTGCCCCATGTTCAGCCACTCCTGCCTTTTGGTCTTTCTGTTGTCAAGGCCCCCCCCAGCCTGCTTTATCCAGAGTGGACAGTTCCACTTCTTCATCCCGTGGCTATGAAAGGATGCTGTATTTTCTCAGTAGCCACAAAGCAGAAACAACCCAAGCATCCATCAACAGATGAATAGATAAACAAAACGTGCTGTAAATTGCAGTGGAATGTTATTCCATCATAAAGAGGAATGCAGTGCTGTTTCATGCTACGACATAGAAGGACCTTGAAAACATGACGCTGAGTGAAAGAAGCCAGACACAAAAGGTCACACGTATGGTCTGATTCCATTTATATGAAATGCCTAGAACAGGCAAATTTATGGACACAGAAAGCAGACCAGAGATTCCCAGTGGCTGGCAGGAGGGAGAACAGGTGTAATTGCTTAATGGGTTCAGAGTTTCTGTTTGGGGTGATGAAAGGGTTTTGGAAATTGATAGCAATATTGGTTGCACAACATGAGTGTGATTAATGCCACTGAATGGTACGCTTAAAAATGGTTAAAATGGCAGATTTTATGTTGTATAAATATTGCCACAATGAAAAGTCACAACCACCTACAAAAAAAGTAAACCATAGTTAAAAGTTCTTTTGCTGAACCCCAAAGAGAACATTTCTTTTTTAAGTAAGGAACTGAGGCAAAGTCATTATTTATTTGTTTCTTTCAGGTACTTAATTAGCCCATTCAAATCAGAATCAAAGCTGCGCATAGTCTGCCATTTTTTAAGCCTGAACCTAAATTTCCTTTCTTTTCTGTTAGGGGCTTAGGTGAACCTGAGCTATACTGATTTCATTCCATTTGAGTTTCCTGATTTGCAGTCAGTTGTGGAGGAGGGGAAGGATGGGCCCATTTTCCTGCCTGCAGCCACCTTCACTGGCCATTTTTGGTCTAATGAGTTTTTTTCCCACAGTTCAAGATGAGTTATGAAAATCATCCCTGCCTTCTTTTGTATTGTTGAATTTGCCTATTTTGTTATCAGTGCCAAATTCACTGAGCAAGTTCTCAGTTCTTTTATCTAGTCCAGTGATTTTTGCTGCCTCTGTGCTGCAGAGGCCTGTTTCCTTGGGTGGGGGAGGGGCCGGTGGATGGAATACCCGCCCTCTACCCCCAGGCCACACAAACACTGTCCCCCCAGTCCCACACCATCCAGCCAGGGAGCCTGCTTTTTCCATCTTACAGATAGAAAGCTTCAGTAAAGAATTTTAGTGGCTTATGAAACCTGGAACCTGCCGCTCTGGGCTGGTGGTCCATCCATTGAATAGACTCCAGCACCCACCCTTGGCTCCCATCCCTGCCGCCGCCTCCTCTCCTGGCCTGATTAGCCTCTTCTCAGGGTTTGTCCGCTTTCTGGAACACAGAGCCCAATTTGAGAAGTCATTTGTAATATGAACTTCTTTCCACTGAATTCTTCTTCTTCCCTCTTTTATGTTGTGGGTTAAACAGCTTGCACGTGAAGACATGAAAGGAGCGTCTCCCTGGCTCTACCTCCTGCCATGTGCATGGCGGGGAACAGTACCCCTTCTTCCCCGCTGTGAATGTCTGCCTGTCTCTGAGCACCGTGGCACACTCACTGCAGTGGGTTGACCGTATGAAATTCATTTTCTCACCTTTGCAGGTGCTGTCACAAAGCTGACTAGCCTGCAGTGTTTAGGGTCCTTCTGTTTTCTTTTTGAAAAACATTTGCGGTTTTACCAGAACGCAGAAACTTTTTCTCATTTTCCCAGTCTCTCAGAAGTCACGGAGAGTGGCTTTGCAATGAGATGCGACAGTTCCTAAATTACCCCCAAGCCAGTTAGTGTCAGTCTCTTTCTCTATTTCATTTACTTTTCCATTTTCCCAGAACAACATGGACTGACTTCCTTGAACTGTCCATATTTTAACCTTTTCGAAGAGAGAAATATGAGAGTGTTGACAGAGTGAGTCGTCTTCTCTGGCTGTCAGGGAGCAGTTTTCCCTGGTTCTTTCCGGGTTTTCCCTTCTTACTAAGTGCTCTGGTGGCCTTTTTATCTCGGGCCTGTTCAGTCTTTTCCAGACACAGCTCAGTGCAGTTCACACACTCCCCTGGATTTCTCAGCGGGGCTAACTTGGTGCCTTGGTCTTCATCGTGTCCTCAAGTCCTGGTTTCACTCCTGAGCCTCAGCTGCCTTGCAGAGCCCCCACTGCCCCTCAGATGCCTTGCCTTAGGGACCCTTGAGTGCTTTCTTCTGGAGATGCTGTCTTAGAGGGCAAGTCTGCACATCTGCACGAACCCAACCTCCTTCCCTTGACTTCTATGCTGACCTAGGCCCCAGAACTGCTTTTCGTAGAGAAAACCATGTTAAAGCCCTGCTCACCATCACACGTTGTCCGCAGCTCAGAGAATCTCAGGTTGGAAGGGGCCCATGCAGTGAGAGAGCCCAGCCACCTACCTGAGGCTGGAATTCCGAGTGATAACCCTGCAAGGGGTGGGCCGGCCTCTGCTTTGCTTGATCACCTCCAGGGATAGGGAGCTCACTCACAGCTCCTGAGTGCAGCCCCTTCCCTCTTTGGCCAGCTCCACATGTTCCACTGGACTCCCTGGAGCTCCTGCCTCATCATCCGGTGAAGCAGCCCTGGTCTATACCTGACAGTGCTGGTACTTTTGCCGCCACCGCCCAAATGGTGACTCCCCTTTCCCCACCGCCTGATCTAGGTGCCTCAGCCCTTACTGTGGCTCATTAGAAGGCCAAACTCCTTCCCAGCAGTTTGGGACTTAGGTACAGATAGGCCCTGTGGGGGAACTCAGCTGCGTAGCTGTGTGTGTGTGTGTGTGTGTGTGTGTGTGTGTGTGTGTGTGTGTGTAAATCTCTCTCTCTTATCCCCCAGCCTGATGGCTTGCTTTTCTTTTGGTCTACATGGTACTCATCCCCTGGACCTGATTGTATGAACACCTGGGATCTGTGACCAGAGCCTCCTGTGGGCCCTGTCTGCTCTGCAGTCACTGACAGAGCCTCTCCTCCTCTCCCTGCAGCCTGCGTGTAGCTAAACCCACCTTGCTGGTTCTCCTTTCTACCACTCCAACTCAACTGCTGGTCCACAGTTTCTAAAATAGGGTCTAACTGTGCAACCAGTACCCCTCCCCTCCTAGGTGTCTTCCATCCTGTGAAGATTTTAGGATTCCCATGTTTACCTTTCCCCCTGCATGCTCAGGGGACACATTCCTGTCACCATTCACATCTCATCATACACGTCATTCATTTAGGAGATGGAGAGGTCTTCGTTCCAGGAGGCATATTGTAGGTTCTCCCTGTGTTTTTCAAGTCAGGACAGTCCAGGATGCACATCCAAGCTATGCTACTTGGAACTGTGTTTCCTGAGCCTCAAAGGTAGCTTTTATTGAGTCTGCTTTGCAGATGAGGAAACTGAGGCCCAGAGAGGTTAGACAGCTTTTTCTAGATCCTGGAGTTAGGAAGTGGTTACTGCTAGGATTTAAACCCAGGTGGTTTTTACTTCAGAGCCCATGAGCCTCCCCTCCAGGACACTGCCTGTGCTAATATATCCAGTTGACTCCTGAAAGGCCAAGTGATGAGAGCACTGGCGTGGGGACCCCTTCTGCCTGCCAGGTTTGACCTCTGTGGTTTTCTTACCTTTTTTTCTTTTTCTGAAGTAGGAGCTACTGCATCTTTTATTAGCTCCTTGTCAAAGAGGCTGTATTCTTAAACTGTTTTGCCATCCAATTTCATCCCCTCCTTTTATCTTTGCAATACCCTGGCCCCGCATCACAGACAGGGGCCCGGGGAGGTCTTCGATGTACCTGGAGACACTCAAAGAGGCCAGGATCAAACTGTTCCTTACCCCAATCATGGTTTATTAACTATGTTCCCACTCCTGTTTTTCATGTTGAATTGATTTGAATTAATCAGATTGGGAATGTACTAGTTCTGAACTTATTTTTTGAAGACAGTTCTTTTTCTGGGCTCTGATTGCGAGCAAGCATTAAGTGATTGGCTGGTGCAGGCAGTTATCCTGCTGGAAAATCCTCTCCACGATCTGACTGCAGTTGTGGTGTAGCCCTGGGAAGAGACTTTGCCCCTGGCAGATAGTTTTTTTGTTTTTTCTTTTTGTTTGTTTGTTTTTGAGACAGAGTCTCGCTCTGTTGCCCAGGCTGGAGTGCAGTGGCACGATCTCGGCTCACTGCAAGCTCCGCCTCCCGGGTTCACGCCATTCTCCTACCTCAGCCTCCCAAGTAGCTGGGACTACAGGTGCCTGCCACCAAGCCCGGCTAATTTTTTGTATTTTTAGTAGAGACATGGTTTCACCTTGTTAGCCAGTTTGATCTCGATCTCCTGACCTCGTGATCCACCTGCCTCGGCCTCCCAAAGTGCTGGGATTACAGGCATGAGCCACTGCGCGTGGCCAAGAGTTTTAAGATCCAAACTGGGGTTAGTAAAATCTAGATTTAGGGCTGACATACAGATGAACTCTCTAATTATAGGAGATGAGACACTCTTTAAACTGATATCAAGACAGGATGTCAAATCTTCTGGAGACTTCAAAAGAACAGTAATTCCTGAGTTCCTACTGAGGTTTTAAAGTCAAGAGAAAGTCTTTTTAAAGAGTGTAGAGTGTGGCCGGGTGCAGTGGCTCACGCCTGTAATCCCAGCACTTTGGGAGGCTGAGGCGGGCGGATCACGAGGTCAGCAGATCAAGACCATCCTGGCTAACACAGTGAAACCCTGTCTGTACTGAAAATACAAAAACAAAATTAGCCGGGCGTGGTGGTGGGCGCCTGTAGTCCCAGCTACTCTAGAGGCTGAGACAGGAGAATGGTGTGAACCTGGGAGGCGGAGCTTGCAGTGAGCCGAGACCATGCCACTGCACTCCAGCCTGGGCGACAGAGCGAGACTCTGTCTCAAAAAAAAAAAAAAAAAAAAAAAGAGCATGAAAAAAAAAAAAGAGCATGGAGGAAGTTGGCTTGTAGCAAGCAAGCAAGCCAGTGCACACTCAGTCATTCATTAGATGGTAGAGCCACATCTAACACTGATTTTTTTTTAAGCCTGCAGTTCTTCTCCTCGCCTCTGGATGGTCCTTGTGGGGCTCCTGGTCCCATATTCACCAGGAAGCTAATGTGCATACTCTATTCCCCAACCACCTTTTATTAAGAAAGTTTTAGCACGTATTAGTAACCTTTGCCTCTATCAGTCATTACATTGGTGATTGCAAAATGATGAAAGAAGCCTCTCAATCAGTGGATGGGGTGATCAGAACTGAACAGTTTAAACAACATAGGGCAAATAGGAGTTGGGGTGGGGGTGAGGGAAGGGGATGGAGATAGAATGACAAAATTTTCAGCAGCCAACGATTTGAAACCATCTGTCATACCATTTCAGACTAAGATCCTCATGCTAGTGCCAAAACACTTCCCCAGCTGTGAAACCAAAAATTCCTTTAAATGGGAAGTAAGGACTTTCATTCTTATTGGCAATATAGCTCTTTAAAATGCAGATATTAACTAACTTTTCTGTTGCGTTTAACAGCTTACAGAGCACTTTCAAATGCATCACTTTACTAAGTCTTGATAGCCACTCTGGGTGAGAGCTATTCCCAATTTCCCAATAACGAGACGGAAGCTCAGAGTGTAGAGTAACGCCCCAGGATCACACAGCCAATAAGAGGCTGAGCAAGATTTTTAAAAATAAGAGCTTCATTGCGACATAATATGCATACCATAAAATTCACCTTTATAAAGGTGAATGAACTTTTAATACACTAGTTTTTAGTATATTCACAAAGTTATTCAACTATTGGTGCTAATTCCAGAACATTGTTGTCATCCCCAGAAGAAACCCCCAGACCCATTAGCAGTCACTCCCCCTGCCCTGATCACCACAGCCCCCAGCAACCACTCATCTACTTTGTCTCTGTGATTCACATGTTCTGGACATCTCACATAAAGGGAATCTCACATGGCCTTTTGAGACTGGTTTCATGCACTTAAAATATTAGTTTCAAGGTTCATCCATGTAGCATGTAACAGCACTTTACTCTCTTTATGCCTGAAAAATATTCCAGTGTATGGATATATCACATTTTGTTTATTCATTCATCAATTGATGGACAATTAAATTGTTTCCACTTTCAGGCTATTAGGAAGAATACAGCTGTGAACATGGGCGTACAAATTATCTGTGCAAGTCCCTGTTTCAGATTCTTTGGGGGATATACCCAGAAGTGGAATTACTGGATCATATGATAATTCTATGCTTGATTTTTTGAGGAGCTACCCTATTGTTTTCCCCAGTGGCTGCCCCATTTTACATTCCCACCAGCAACGCACAAGGATTCCAGTTTCTCTGCATCCTCACCAATACTTTTTTAAAACTTTCCTGATGGTGTTAGTTGATGGACAAAAATAATTAATTTTGATAAAGTCCAATTTATCTGTTTTTTTCTTTTTTGATTGGTGCTTTTGGTGTCACCTCTAAGAAACCATTGCCTGATCCAAAGTCACAAAGGTCTACTTGTATGTTTTCCCATAAGAGTTCTGTAGTTTTGGCTTTTACATTTAAGTTTTCTGGTCCATTTTGAGTTCATTTTTGTACAGGGTGCAGTAGGGACCCAACTTCATTTTTTGCATGTGGATATCTGTGTGTCCCAGCACAATTTGTTGAAAAGACTGTCCTTTCACCATTGTCTTGGAACGCTTGTCAAAATCATTGGGCCATAAATGGAAAGGTTTGTTTCTGGACCCTCAATGTATTTGATTTATTTTTATGTCTATTAAGCAGGATTTTAATACAAGCTTATGCTCTCCAGATCACACCTTTCCTTCTACCACATAAGAGGGTTTGGTCAGAGGGTCTCTTTTTATTATCCCAGAGGGTCTCCTTTATTATCCCAGTGTTTGTTCAGAACATGTGCCACAGGCTTGATGGTATAGGAGCATACCTGGGAGGCTCTCCTGCTGGGGAGATGGAGTCCCAGGCCTTCATCTTTCAGCCTGTAGTCCCAGCTACTCTAGAGGCTGAGACAGGAGAATGGCATGAACCTGGGAGGCGGAGCACTGCCAGGCCTCTGCCGTGGCAGCAGCTCTTCCTGTGATCTATCCATCTTTGTGGTCCCCTCTTTCCCTGTGCTGATAGGAAATGGCTTTGCTGGAAGGGTGGAGGAGGATTCTGGGGTCAGAAAGATATACACCCTCCCTATGCACACAGCCAGCCCCAAGCCCAAGACCCAGGGGTGAGCAGGGGCCTGACTTTTTGTCAAGAACTCTGTCTACTTACAAGCTAATGAGTTTGCTTGTTGCTGTTTCATAGAGGCTGGCAGAAGACACAAGACTCCTGGGTCAGAGACAAAAACTTTATTACTCATGTTACAGACAGCAGCATGAGTGTCAGCATATTTGTGTTTGAAGTCCCTTTGCCACTGAGGTCCCATGTGATGGGCCCTCATGGATGCTGTACATGTAGTGGGTTTGGGTTGCAGCTGAAGAACACTGGACCAAGGGCCCGACACTTTTTTGAGTTGGCAGCAAATACTGTAGCACACAAGCCAGTTCCCCTCCCCACTGGGAGTAAGTGGTCACATGGTGGTCATGCTATGGCCCCATGACCTACTTAGCTGTCTGTCAGTGTGGCCAACTGCAGATGCTGTCAGTATCGGGATGGAGAAGCCTTGTGGTCTGGCAGTTTAAGCAAGAATTTGCAGGGATGCTCACAGCCCATGATTGGGGTAGAGACCTTTGCCTGCTTCACTCACCACAAAAGCTGGGGGTGCCCAAAGGTCCCAAGAGCCGTACAAATAGGAGACTTCAGAGATGGGATGCGGCTTGCTCAGGAACACACAGGAAAAGCCAAGCCAAGCCCAGGCTTCCCAACTCCTGGCTCAGTGCTTTTTCAACCACCCTGTCTGCCCTTGGGGGGTTTTATAGACACCTAGCTTGTCTGTAGCAGATAGGCCTCAGCAGGAAGTGTTGGGGGCAGGTAGGGGTAGGGCATCCTGGATCCTCTGCTTGGCTTCTCTGTCCATCAGATTCTTTTTCAGCCTAGGTTGCATGGGAGATGAGGGGGACATGATTTACAAGGCCAGCTGCATCAGATTTGGTGGCAGAAATGGGACTTAGGAGCCCAATCATTTAATTACCAAAGCTGCAGGGGGTCTTTGAGTAGACATGGTTTGTCTGGTGGAAGAATACAGCGTAGGAGAGAATGAGGGAAATGGCAGGTCCTTGGAGCTTGGTGCTAAGGATAGAGCTCACTCAGTGCTCAGGGCCACACCCACCTCCTTCCTGCTCCTCGCTGGTCAGTCCCTCCTCCCGAGCCCAGAGGCCTAGTCCTCTCCAAATCCTTAAACTCACCGCTGCCCACTCCCTCCCAGAAGCCTTCTCAACCCTCCTGGGAACATTCTGAGCCCTCCACGACTCCTCAGCTGCCACCCACCGCCCCTCCCTGATGGCACACAGCGGGTCAATGTGCTTTTTATTGATTTCTCTGTTGGGTCAAGATACCATCTTTCCTGTCTTCCTGCCTCTCTCACCTGGGTTCCCCACGTAGTCCCGCTCCTGGTCAGCTGCAGAATCTGCCCTGCCGTTGACCTGGAAGCAATGGTGCAGCGGTTCAAGGCTGGAGCCTTGCAGGCTGGAAGGGCCACCAGGAAGGCCCAGGGGTCATGCTGGGGAGAGACACAGGTGGGTCCACTGCACTCCCGGGACCATTTGTGGAGTCCTTGCTGAATGCTATTCCGTCTCTCCCTCCCTCCCTCTCCACCCCTGCCCCCACCCTAGCTCTTCCCCTCCCCACTGCAGACCCTCTCCAGGAAGATCGTGCGGTCCAAGATGAACAGCACCCTGGTTGGGGTGTTCACCATCACCCTGGTGTTCCTGGCGGCTTTTGTCAACATGGTGGGTGGCTGCACGACCTCCTAGCACCTCCGCAGCCCCATTGGATCAAACCCAGTGGAGCCATGTACCCGACAAGCAGGCCTAGGAGAGACTTTCCCTGGAAGTTCTTATTTGTTTCGCACCTGGGTCTGGGATCAGCTTTGGCTCAATGTGCCTCACACAAGTTCTTTCTTCTCTTCTCTTCTCTTCTCTTCTCTTCTCTTCTCTTCTCTTCTCTTCTCTTCTCTTTTCTTTCCAGTTTTGAGACAGAGTCTTACTCTTTCACCCAGGCTGGAGTGCAGTGGTGCCATCACAGCTCACTGCAACCTCCACCTCCTGGGATCAAGAGGTCCTCCTGCCTCAGCCTCCCAAGTAGCTGGGACTACAGGTGTGCACCACCACGCCCAGCTAATTTTTGTCTGTTTTTTTTAGAGATGGGGTTTCCCCATGTTGCCAGGCTGGTCGCCAGGCTGGTCTCAAACTCCTGGGCTCAAGTGATCCGCGGGCCTCGGCCTCTCAAAGTACTGGGATTACAGGCATGAGCCACTATGCTTGGCTACTCTCCCACTAAGTGAAGTTCTTAGCTCTTCATTCTCAAGCCTGGTGGGGCCAGGAAGAGTTTAGGGAATGTCCCCAAGGCATGTTTAAGAACCCCTCCCTGGGAGGGCATGCTAGCCACACCCCCTCCAGCCAGGACAGCTGGGCAGACTTTGCCCGTTCCTCAGACTCTTTCAGATTTTGTCCCCATCAGTGTCATGCTGCACCTGAGGCGGAGGACAGGCGGGAGCCTGCGGCCTGGTGGGCTGGGCTGCTCTACCTGTCCCCCAGCAGCTTACCCTCCCCTCATCACCCTCCTTCCTCCCCCCAGTTCACGTGCAACTCCAGGGACCTGCTGGGCTGCTTGGCACAGGAGCACAACATCAGCGCGAGCCAGGTCAACGCGTGTCACGTGGCGGAGTCGGCCGTCAACTACAGCCTGGGCGATGAGCAGGGCTTCTGTGGCAGCCCCTGGCCCAACTGCAACTTCCCCGAGGTACTGGGTGCACAGGGGCTGGAAGGGAGTGCTGAAGAGTCCCTTGCCCTCCCCCACTGTCACTGCAGCTGCTCAGGACAGTCTGAAGGACAGGGTCTCACCAGCTCACTGTCTTCTAGAGGCCTGCTTACCCCAGTATCTCTCACTCCTACATGCCAGTGTCTGCACTGGGAACAAGGGGAGCCTCCTCCATATGACAATGACTGTTAAAGCGGTGTAGCTGTTGTTTCTATAGTGCTTACCAGGGACTGTGGCTGAGAGCTCTACCTGCACTTACTCATTAAATCCTCCCAACAGCCTATGACATAGGTATTATATTATCTCCTTTGTAGAGACGAAGAACCTGATACACAGAGAGGCTAAGTAATTTGCCCCAGATCACACAGCCAGGACTCAACAGAGCTGGAGCTCTCATTCAAGTTGTCCAGCTCCAGACAGAGTTCGTGCTCCTGATCTGAGGGCAAAACTTTATAGACCCTCAGCTTCTGTAGCAGACCCTACCCCACCTCAGGAGAACCCACCTAAGCCCCAGCTGTTAGAGAGGAGGGAGGGGAGCAAAGGAACCCAGTCCCAAACCAGCACTACTATAAACCTCACCCGTTCAAAGTGCACGGTTCAGTAGCTTTTAGTGTGTTCACCGATGTGTACAGCCATCATCATCATCTAATTTTAGAATACTTTCATCACCCCAAAAAGAAATTTTGTGCCTACAGGCATTTGGGTTTAAAAATAATACCACGTATCCTTATTCAGAAAACAGCATATATGAAGCACCTGTGGCGTGCAAGTTGCTTCGTTCATGGTACTGCGTTTGCCAGGAAGCAGTTCGCTGTCAGCAGCTGGGCTGAGCTTCCAGCCCCCAACTTCCCAAACCCCCAGCTCCCTATGGGTGCACACATGAAGCCTGTAAGATGGGGGCAGTTTGCCTTTTTCTGGGGAGAAGGTCTATGTTTTCATCCAACTCCCAAAGGGCCTGTGACTGCAGCTGAGGGGTGCTGTGGGCTGTCAGTGTGGGCCCCCCACCCAGCCTGGGATCTGGCTCTCAGATGTACAGACAGGGCAGGGAAGGCCCAGGGAGGAGCAGGGCTTGGCCCCAGCTCACCTAGGCAGGTGCAGCCCCACCCCCGCTCCGCCCCACCCCTGGGCTGGTGGCAAGCTCTGTCTCCTCCAGGCAGCCATGCTGCACCCAGCCTCCCCTTCCTAGCCTCCCCTCCCCAGCCTCCCTAGCCTCTGCTGCCTCTCATATCTGGCTGAGAGCCCACAGGAGCTCTTCAGCTTTCTGAGGGCTGTTTATGAGGAGCAGAGGCTATTTTCAGTCTCGTACTTGCCCCTTGGTGGTGGCTCCCCTGGTGAGGCTAAGGCCTGGGGGGAGAGGGTGGCAGTGGGCAGGTCCTGGCTCCTCATTTGTGGGAGAGGCTTGGTGCCAGCCTTCAGCCCCCACCAGCTGACCACCTCCCTCAAAGGTTGCTCCTGATTCAGCAACTCCTCACAGACCAGACCCTGGGGGGTCCCCAGCATCCAGTGTTGGCCTCCTGGTTATCTGGGCCAAGGTCTGAATGGGAATCCAAGCTGGCTTTTGGAGCTCCCATCCCTCCTCCCAAAGACTGAGGCTCTGGGGCTCTGAGCTGACTCATCTGGGCATGCCCTTCTCATTCCCTCTTCTGCTCCTGTTCCCAGTGGCGATGTGAGGCTTCCCCCCACAATCCAATCACCCAGGGGCCCTTGGCAGTCCTTCCTTGGCTCCAGAAGGCCTGAGGAGGCTGAGGGTCTGCCCTAGGGGCTGCCCCAGCCCAGGGCAGAAGCCGTGTGCGAAGAGTAAACATCTGGAAGCCTGACTCAGAAACAACGGTGCTAAATTAAAATAGTAATAATAATAATCATAATAATTGATGCTGACGTGCCTAGGGACGTCATCTGCATCAAGGGACAGCAGCAGATGGGGACCTCCGAGATTACCTGGTTTAGCCCCTCAGTTGTCTAAGAAGGAAACGGAGGCTCAGAGACCAGAAGGGGCTTCCCCAGAGGGAACAGCACAGGGCACGATCCCTCCTCTGAAACCTTTGGAGCCCCATATATTTTGGTCTTCAGAATTTTTCAGATTTTAAAAGGTTGCCTCCCACCCCCAGTGGAGTCTGATCATGAAATGGTCATATTTCCACAGTAGTAGCATGTCTGCATGTCACAGGGGACAGGATAAAGATGATAACTAGCGTCCCAGAAGTGAGGTCAGCTTTTGCCACCAGAGCAGCTCCGTTCAGGCGTGGCCCCCTACAGGAGTCATGAAAACACATTCTGCTTTTGGAGCTTTGGAGTTCAAAGCTGCAGATTAGGGGCTCCCCACGGTTATTGAGGGTGCTGGACACTGCAGCCAGGGCTTCCTTCCGTGTGTTCATCACAGCGAGCCATGAGATAGGAAGCCTTGCAGAGGGGACACTGAGGCTCAGAGGGGCTGAGCACGCAGCCCGAGGCACACAAAGCCCAGTGTGGATCAGGCCTGAAACCCAGGGCAGCCTGGGCCTGCAGCGCAGCTGTAACGTGGGGCTGTCCTGCAGGCAATGGCCAGACTCCAGCTGGAGCCCATCTCCTGGTTCCTAACCAGGGCCCTTCACTTTATATCACACCTGTTGGGAAATTTACATCAGCAGAAACATGCCCAGCCCAGGCCTCACTTGAGCCAGCTCAGACTGGAGGATGCATGGGGCCAGGGCCCGGGGTCGGGCAGGGCCTGGGGAGCTGATGCTGCTGCCCTCTGCCCGCAGTACTTCACCTACAGCGTGCTGCTCAGCCTGCTGGCCTGCTCCGTGTTCCTGCAGATCAGCTGCATCGGGAAGCTGGTGCTCATGCTGGCCATCGAGCTCATCTACGTGCTCATCGTGGAGGTGCCAGGTGTCACGCTCTTCGACAACGCCGACCTGCTGGTCACCGCCAACGCCATGTATGGGGCACCTCCCTCACGCTCCCCACTGGGCATGAGACATTGCAGGGAGGTGGCAAGAGCAGGAGGTTTAGGGTTCTGGCACCACAGGGAACTTGCGAGGAGAGTATCTTGTTCCTCCCCAGCCCTGACATCTGGAAAACGGCCTTGTTTCTTTCCTTCCTTCCCATTCCCAGTAGTTGGAGTGGCCTCAGGTCACCAGGCCCCACTGTGTTTCTTTCTCTGGTTTGCTCCCCGCTTGCCAGGGCAGCCTCCAGTGGGCTGCTTTCACCTCGGTCCAGCTGCCCCAGGCTCAGAGGAGTCACGGTCCAGCAGAGCCGGGCAGTAAGGAGTGTGGGAGCAGAGGGACAAGCTTTGTTGTTCACAGGGTCTGTGTCCCACCTCGAGGCAGGTGCCTGGATATCCGCTGTTCCTCTTCCTCCTGCAGCAACTCAGCCAAGTAGGCAGGCCCACCACATAAGGCTGGGCATCTGTGCACTACTCAAAGGCTCCTGGCTGTGGTGGCAGAGGTTAGGTCCCACGTCCTAGAGGTGGTAGGTGTGAAGGTGGGGCCTATGGCTGTCTGGTCCCACAGTCAGCATGGTCATGTAGTGACAGATGTAAGATTTCCAAGGGAGGTGGCTCCATGAGGGGAAAGACCTTAGGCTTTGGGTGAAATTGGGTTAGAATCTCAGCCTCAGACACATTGATTATTCCTCTGAACCTCATAATTTTTTCTTTGTAAAATGGGAATATTGTCAACCCAAACTAAGGTGATTGAGGCAGAAATAATTTGATCAAGTTTTGTTGGAAGCTGGATGTGAGGATCGGCCAGGAAGACACACGCACCAAGTTAGGCATGTTCCAGAAGCTGTTACAAGTGGGAATGCTTTCATAAGAAAGTAGAAGGGAAGGGGACTCCTCAGATCAGAGTTGTCCTTTGTCATTGGAGGGTTACAATAATTGGCTACAGATTGCAACATACAGACTAAAATGTCTACATGCCAGCAATCGGTACAACTTCATGATTCAGAAATGAATCAGCATTTTTTCATGTCAATAGATTATGCATTAATCAGTACATCAGCAATTTGAGGAGCTCAGATAAGATTCTTCACTCGGGCAGGATATTGCCGTAAATCACAAGACCTCCCTGAAGCAGGTTAATTTGGAAGCCTGGCAAATGTGAACTGTGGATTATCAACGCCCATAGTAGTAAGATGTATTGAAAGTGCCTGATTCGTAATATGCTTTTCTACGCATCACCACTCCCTATACACACACCAAGAAGTGCAAAAAAAAAAAAAAAAGTGACAGTTTTGTGTCCCCTGAGAAAATGCAGCAAACTGTACCTTCTTTGAGTGAGAGGAAGGGATTCATCCATCCATCCATTTGTTCACCCATTCATTCATTCAAAAATATGAAGGGCCTGCTATGTGCCAGCCACTGAGCTAGGCAGTGGAGGTACAATGTGGATAAATAGAAAACTCTCAGGAATGTTCCTCTCTTGGGAAGGTGGTGTCGCCTGAGAAAGTGGAGGTGTAATGAAGGGTTTAAGTCATATTCAAGGAAGAACTTCTTGGTGGTTGTGTGGGGGCTATGGGCAGATGACCACAAAGAGATGGGACAGTGGAGCATGGGACAAGCTGCCATCCTTTGAGAAGGAACAGGAGGTCCAGGAACTTTTCTACTCTTGGTTCAGGGCTGGAGCAGGGAATGTTGCCCTCCTCTTACTGCTCCTTCCCATCCTCAGCATCTCCTCTTCAGGCGCTGAAGTTGGCAACAGACAGTGAAGGTTATTTCTGGATTGGGAGACCATGGTTTGGCTCTAGGGCAACCTTGTCCAATAGATAAAAAGTGGGCCGGGTGCTGTAGCTCACACCTGTAATCCCAGCACTTTGGGAGGCTGAGGTGGTTGGATCACTTGAGTCCAGCCTGGCCTACAAAATCCCACGTCTATTAAAAATACAAAAATTAGCCAGGTGTGGTGGCATGCACCTGTAATCCCAGCTACTTGGGAGGCTGAGGTACAAGAATAGCTTGAACCCAGGAGGTGGAGGTTACAGTGAGCCGAGATTGCACCACTGCACTGCAGCCTGGAAGA
Organism: Homo sapiens; assembly: GCF_000001405.40. Lineage (NCBI taxonomy): Eukaryota > Metazoa > Chordata > Mammalia > Primates > Hominidae > Homo > Homo sapiens. The sequence goes on along the minus strand of NC_000003.12, from coordinate 123,298,036 downwards.
TAGAGCAAGACTTTGTCTCAAAAAAATAAAAAAATAAAAAGCCACTTATGTAATTTAAAATTTTCTTATAGCCATATTAAAAAGGCAAAAAGTATAATTTGACTTTTATTTAACAAGTACTATATAGCCAAAATATCATTTTAAGATATAATCGATATAAAATTCTTAATGAAATATTTTACCTTTTTTTACACTAATTATTCAAAACCTGGTGTATGTTTTACACATACAGCACATTTTAGCTTGCACCAGCCCCATGTTGAGGCTCAGTAGCTGCACGTGGCCAGCGGCTGCCACACCAAGCAGCGCAGCTGTGGGATCTCTCCTCCACGCCCTCTGGATGGCAGCAAAGGCCTGGGAGGGGGAGAGGCGGGCAGGCCTCCACCCAGGTAGATATGCTGGGGTCTGGGAAGGCAGGGTTTCAGGTAAGAGCTGGGTGGTTTGTGGTCATGAGTATCCAATGCTAGTTGGGGCTGGGCTTTCTGCCACCTCCCACCCTGAAAATGTCGTTGGATATGGAGGGTGAATGGGGCTGGGGAGCCAAGGAGCAGCAGTGGTGGGGACAGCAGAGCAGGGCGTGGGGGCTGAGCAGGAGTGGAGGCCGCCTTATGCAGAAGGGTGGCCCTGACCAGTCTTCCCCAACTCTCTTCACAGAGACTTCTTCAACAACGGGACCTCCCAGTGGTGAGTTGATGCTCCTCGGATAGGGTCGCTCCCTGCCCTCAGCACAGAGCAGACAGGGAGGGCAGCTGGTGCCCAGGTGGGAGGGGCCTTGGTGGCAAGGTGGGTAGTGAAGGAGAAGGCCAACAGGACAGGGAGGCTGGTTCCTCCTGGGGTAGCAAGGCGTCCTCGGGGGGCAGAGGCCCTGGTCACTTTCATGATCCCTGCCAAGGTGATCTGTAGTCTCTGTGGTTGGGATCACCGGCTTCAGATCATCCCATAGGCCTCATGTTAAAGCATTTAACCTCAAGCTCTTCCCCAGGAGCCTGTGTGAGAACCTCAGACACAGGAGAATGGAAGCTGGTACCTACTTTCCCTCTGGAGTCAAGGAACAAAGGCGAGGGCTGCAGTGCTTGTGGGACCCGTCCCTGCATTGAGGGCTGCTGCCTGGGCAAGGGGCGGGGGGTCACTGGAGCCTCTGTGCAGCCTTCCAGGGGTTGAGCTCTTGGCAGGCACAAGACGTAGGATTTGGAATGGCTGCTTTTGTTAAGAGTATCTATTAGTAACAAAAACAGAATTAGACAATAATGCTACTAGTTTGCAGCACCTACTGTTGGTCAGATGCTGTGCTAAGCATTTTGTTTATAATATCTCTTTAATCCTTACTACCATCTTGAAATGTGGCTATTGTTATCCTGTTGTACAGATAAGCAAACTAAAGTTCAGAGAGATTAAGACACTTGCCCAAGGTTGTCCAGAGACAGGGTCAGCATGGCCTGCGTGGTGCCCTTTTACTGCACCCACTGCCCCTGTCTTGTCCAGAGAAGGATCTGGATGTACATGCTGCCTTTTAGAAAGCTAAGTTCATCCCCTGATCTGACCAGAGGGGAGCTCCCGAGTGATGGGGGGTTGTAAGGCGTCAGGAGAGGAGTAATGGCTGCCTGAGCTGCAGGTGCAAGCAGGGTCTGAGATGGGGCTGCCAGCCAGGAAGGCTTTCTGGAGGAGGCACGCGTGCGGCAAAGTTTGAGCAGGGGGATAAGGAAGAGGGGAAGGTATAGTGGGAGGAAGAAAACAGGGCCAGCAGTGGGTGGGGGTGGGGTCCTCAGAGCCCGCTGTGAGGAGCCACGGCCGTCTCAGGCCTGTCCACCACCTCCCCACAGCCCTGAGCATGCAACCAAGGTGGCATTGAAGGTGGTGACGCCCATCATCATCTCAGTCTTTGTGCTGGCCCTGTACCTGCACGCCCAGCAGGTGGAGTCCACTGCCCGCCTCGACTTCCTCTGGAAACTGCAGGTGGGTGGCCCTGGGGCTGGACCTGGGGAGGGAGGCATTTGGGAGCAGGTGGCGGAGACAACAGGCTCGTCTGCTGGGCCAGGCCAAGCCGGGCCTTCGTCTTACACTGTCAAGCTGTCTTGCTCAGGCCCCATCGAAGCCACTTGGTGCCCTGTGTCCCCGTGGGTCTGCTCCCTGCACTCTGGAGCCAAGAGGCAAAACCCTGGGACTTACTCTGTGCAGACAAACCCATGCTGACAGTGCTGGGACTCTGACGGGTCCAGGAGGCATGCTTTGAAGTCAGCAAATACTGGCTGGGCACTTACTGTGTGTGTTGCCAGGCAGGGACAGAGGGGAGGTGCGGGCAGGTCCTTTGTGGTGGGGGCAGCAAGGCATCTGGGACGGGGGAAGGAAGAGTGGCAAGAGGTGAGTGGAGGAGTAGGGGAGGAACCTGGCCAGGGTAGGGAACTGGCACCAAAGGTTTCTGAGCAGGGCTTGACCTAGCCAGAGCTGGGTTGAAGACTTCTCCAGAGGGGATGGACTGAAGGAGCAAAGACTGTTGACCATGATGCATGCATTCCAGCCAGCACTTGGCTCTCCAGGCTGCCTGCCCTGTGCCTTGTGTCTCCCTGGAGGAAGGGGTGCCTGTGGGCCAGGTTACCTGCTGGAGCATCTCGGAAGGGCCAGGAGGGAGTGCCCAAGAGCACTCAGCAGGAGAAAGCCCTGTCTTCCTGTGGGCTGCCTCACACCTTTTATTCCAGCCCAGCCCTGTGCAGAGCTTAGCCTGGCCCGGCCTCTGCCTCTCTTGGCCCGGCCCCTATCTCTAGACCACTTCAGCTCACCCACAGCTCACTTTGACCTCCTCCATCCCAGACTTCTTAGAGGCATCAGGATGGAAGTCTTTGGGCTGGAGCAGGAGGCCCTGCTTTTCGTTGGATGCTGAGTGAGGATGGGGGCAAATGGTTGTCCCTTCTGCTGAGTATTTTGCATGGGTTCTGGCTGGAATTGAGCACGGAGGTCTGCAGTTGAGGGGTCCCCTGAGTTTGGGGAAACCAGGGAGAATCCCAGAAGGGTTCTGTGCAGAATGCCCCTTGTGAAGCCCTGGGCTGGGGCACCCTGGGGAAGATCCTGTGTGAGCCTGCCCCTTGTCAGGCCTCTGCCTTCTTCCTCAATCCCCTCTTCTTTGGGAACATTTCCAGGAGGCTCTCATTTTTCTGCATTTGCTCTATCACCCACCGCCATATGTATTTTCTGACATGATGCCCCATCACCCCTAAATACTCCCATGTCTACCTTGCAAAAACAAGGTCACTCCCTGCGTCATCCCTGCGCACCCTCCCCATCGGCGATCAGCAGGGGTGCGGCAGGCCCCTCTCAGTGTTGCCGACTGTCCCGATGCTGGTCCAGGATCCTGTGCACAGGTCCTCTGTATCGAGCTGTTCCAGTCTGCAGTAGATCCTCAGTCTCTCCTCATCTCATGGTCCTTGCCAATCTTAAAGAACTTGTTACTCTGGGACCTTCAGACCCATGTCCAGACTCAGGCTGAGCCTTCCTGGAGGAAGCACACAGAAATGGAGCCGGGCACCCCTTGGTGCCTCGCACTGAGAGACTCCACCGTGTTGACCCATCCCACCACCGGTGATGTCAGCCCTGATGGCCTGCTCAACCAGCATCTGCCAGATTTCTCCACTGTCATGTCCCCTTTTCCCCCTTTGTATTTGACTAGCACTTTATGGAAAGAGAGTCTGATATTCCACTAATTTTCTGATCCTCAGCAAATCTCTGCCCAGCAGCCTTTGCATCCATTGGTGGCTCCTGCTTGTCTCAGTGCCTGCTGTGGAAATGCCCGATAGCAATGCCCAGTGTCCGCCATTCCTTCTGGACTTGCTGGTTGGCATTCTACTGCACAGAAGAGCTGTCCCTCCTCCTCCATTGATTTGCTTATTTATTCACTTCTCTACCTCAGCCTGGACTCGCAGATTCCCATGTAATCCAGTGGGTTATCGTCTGCAACCCTCACTATGTATTTTAATGCTCAAATTGTCCTAGGTTTGGCCCATGTGCATTTCAAGTTGGCGTCTGTTATTTGACAGGTCTCCATCACTCTTTGAGCTTTTCCTGACTTTCCAACACACGCGATCGCAGGCTAATCTTGTGCTTTCCCTGCTCCAGCCCGGGAATCTGTGATTTCTTCAAAGAGCCCTCCCTCATTCTTAGTAGTAGAGAGTGGTGTTTAGAAACCAAGGTCTGAGCGTTTGGTGTGCTCGCTGCTTGTAGGTGTGGAAACGTACGTGGAAACGTGTGTATACATGTATCTGTACTACTTCAGTATCCATCTGTACAGATCTGTTTTTAATAATCCTGAGTTCATACCACTACCTCCCATTTTAATCCAATACCTCGGGCTTCTTCCCAGCCTTCCCTGTTCCGTGCTTGCAATGTCATCTCTGGCAATGAGAAACTCACCTCCCATTATCTTTCATGTATGTGTTTATTTGCTCAGTGGTGACCCCCCCCACCCCCTCCTCACCTGTGTGCACACACATGCACAAGAGTGTGTGTGTGCATGTGCGTGTGTGTAGGAATGTGTGAGTGAGCCTGTGTCTACCTGCCAGCCTGTGGCAACTTCTCTCCCTCAAGTTTTCCAGCAGGTCCCTCATTTTCCCATCCTTCCCCTGGGATTTTGGGAGAGGGAGCCATCATCACATAAATACCAATAAAGAAACACCAGAAAGCAGGCCCTTGGGATGGGCAAGTGATAGTCTCTGCCCCGCCCCCAGGCTGGCTTAGCAGCCCCTGTACAGTTGGCTGGTAGGCGGACTCCTCAGCATTCTTCAAGCACCTGCACAAGGAACACACTCTGACCCGCCTAGCGCCTGCCTGGCCCCCTCCTAGCCTAACTGCAGGGTCTGAGTTCTCAGGAGAGCCTGCTCTTGTCCCTTCCTCCAGCATTGACCTTAGTGGGGCCACCAAGAGGCTGTAGCCCCCCGAACCTTCCTGCCCTGCCAGGGCGCAGCCCCAGAAGTAGTTGGCTGCATTGTCAGGCGCCCACCTGTGCTGGGGTGGAGTTTGCAGAGGTGGCTGTAGCAGCTGGCCTGGCCCTGGGGATTGGCTCTGCCCCCAGCTGTAGCCTGCTCTAGCGGCCCTGCCCCTAGCTTCCACCTCCACTCTGTCTGACACTTTGGGCTGATGCTGTCTGCCACCTGCAGGGTGCATCAAAGGAGCTGTAGTGCTTCTGGCATCCGTGGGCCCCCAGGCATGTGTCTCAGCAGAGGTAGGAGCAGGACTGTCTAGTCTGGTGCATTTTCAGAGGCAAATAACTGACTGCAGGGCTCCTCCATGGGACAGCCTGTGAGAAGAAGCACAGGGATGCCCCCTACCCCCCACCCCCAGCCTTCTCCCGTGGGCATAGCTGTTCCAGAGCCAGACACAGGTAGCCTTATTCATGGCGAGGGACATGGGTAAAGGGTACTGCCTCCCAGGAGCTTAGGTCACCTGGGCAGGAAGGCTTGGCAAGAAGACAGCACAGACCAGCTGGCTCCCCGTGCCTCTGTGGGTGGTGGTGGAAGGCGGGGCCCTTTAGCGTCCAGAAGCCCTCGGGATGATCCCAGTCCTCACAGCCACATTCCCAGGGACTCCAGGAGGCCACCAGGCCATGGGCAGCACAGTCAGGAGCCCACTTACCTTAGGGGCAGGGCTGGCCATTGAGCCTAGGGGTCCTGGATCTTCTGCCCTGGGAGCTCTTCCTCCGTGCTGGACCCAGGTCCTGAAGCCTTGGAAAGGAGCACCAGCTCTTTCCCCATGGACATCCACCACCACAGGGACAGCCAGGGCCCTGAGAGTCAGTCCTGGTCCTGTTGGAGATTCTACTTGCAGCTGAGCAGAAAAGTGTCTTCATTTAGTTAGGAAAAGCCCAAGTGGGCCAGCCAGATTTTTCTCATGAACACTCTTGTCAGATGGTTCCTTGCCACACCTCGGTGTGTGACACCTCTTCCCTTCAGCCCCTTGTAGGGCACTACTGGCCTCTTGACCCGAGGGATCTGCCCTGTCCTTTAACCTGGAAGGTGGGTGACCAAAAAATCCCATAGACCCAGGACCCAAACTGGGGGAAAACCAAAGTCACTGGTGATGTCCCATCCTCATCCCAGGGGGTCCCTCCTGGCACTTGCTCCTCCTGGCTGCATCTGGCTCTGGGGCAAGTCTGCCCTCCTGGGAGACAGACTGGGCAGGGCTTTGGGCTGTTTTCCCCCACAGGTCCGTCAATTAAGGTAACTCTGGCTTTTGATTCCATTTCCTGATATTAAGAGGACAATGAACAGTGGAGGAGCACCGGGGAGCTGGAGGGCTGTGTGGGCTGTGTTTTGGATCCTTTTCCCTTCCAGCCTGGTTCTGGCCTTTGGCAGACAGGATCCTTGCAGCCTCACCTCCAGGCTTGTTCCTGCTCGGGGCTCCCTGCTGCAGGCTCAGCACCCCCAGAGAGGCTGGCAGAGAGAGTTCGAGGCTCAGAAATGTCTTTTCTGATTGTCAAAGTCCTGCTCTTTGGAGAAAACCTGGAAGTAGAAACAGCAGAGAGAGGAGGAGAGACAGCGGTACTTGCCAACATCCTGGGCACAAGTTGGCATTTGCGTGACTGGTGCTTTTTCTCCAGGCCACGGAGAGGAGGAGGTGGAGGGGCCGACATCTGGGCTCACATTGGCATCTGGGTGACTTGCAGTCTTTTTCTCTCAGGCCACAGAGGAGAAAGAGGAGATGGAGGAGCTGCAGGCCTACAACCGGCGGCTGCTGCACAACATCCTGCCCAAGGACGTGGCCGCTCACTTCCTGGCCCGCGAGCGGCGCAATGATGAGCTCTACTATCAGTCCTGTGAGTGTGTGGCGGTCATGTTCGCCTCCATCGCCAACTTCTCCGAGTTCTACGTTGAGCTGGAGGCCAACAACGAGGGTGTCGAGTGCCTGCGGCTACTCAATGAGATCATCGCTGACTTTGATGAGGTGCACAGCGGGGCCTGGGTCAGGCTGTGTTCCTGGGAGGGGCCTACAAGTCCCTGGTATGGGAGGGATGTGAAGAGACCTGGCGCCCCCTTCTACCATCGTGACATAAGCAGTGATGATGGGAGCTCTGCCGGCGGGAACCTGACCGTGTCCCCAGGTGCTGCAATGGGCACCTTGCACACATGGCCTCTCTCATCATCATGTGACAGATGAGGAAACTGAGGCCCACAGAACTCAAGTGTCTGGCCTGAGGTCACTGCCAATAAGTGGCAGAGCTGGGGTTTCAGCCCACACTGTTTGAACTTAGCCTTTGGCAGCTCTCTGACTGGCTCGCTGACCACCATTCCTCTTGTGCCATCTAGGGTGCATGGGGTCCCAGGGCCTGGGACAACCCAGTGTCTGTGCCCAGGGCTTTGAGAGAACCAAAGGAAGGAGGAGTCCTCAGGCTAAGGGAGGAGGCAGGAGAAAGATGTGAGGCCCTGAGTAGCAGAGGCCAAATTGAAGCATTCCTTCATTTCCTTCTCATACTCTGGTTGAGCACCTGGCGTGTGGAGGCACTGGGGATGCAGAGCCCGGTAGGGCAGTCTTGACCCTGGGAGCTCCTGAGTCATGGGCGTGAGAGGGGCCACCCCAGCGGGCACGCCGGGCCTGGGCATGGGGCACAGGGAGAAGCAGGATGATGGAGCTTGGCCAGGCAGTGTCAGGAACGGCCTGCAAGACTCCCGGGGCAGTGGAGTGATGGGAGTTGGCTGAGTTGAGTGTGGGAAGGCTTCCAGGAGGGCCGGGGCCAGGGGGTAGGGAAAGAATTTGCCTGCTGGACAAATGGAGGTTTCCCTGGGTGGGATGGAGGTGTGAGCTTGTTGAAGGGGAGACAAGAGACCCAGAGGTGACTAGTGACCTTGTCTTCAGGGCTCCTGGCGTGAGGGTGGGCAGGTAGCCCACAGGCACTGTCCAGTGGGTGAGTGAGTGTGGAGGGGCCTGGCTGTGTCAGGAGCGTTGCGGGCATCACACTGATGAGGATGGAGACAGGCCCCACTGTGTGAAGAGCGGACACATGAAGGGCCATGCTGCTGCACTTCCCTGGACATCCTCTGTCCCTCCCTGTGGCCCTCGGTGTCCCAGGCTTGGGGTGACCCAGGTTTGGCCTCCTTCATCCAGATCATCAGCGAGGATCGGTTCCGGCAGCTGGAGAAGATCAAGACCATCGGCAGCACCTACATGGCTGCCTCCGGCCTCAACGACTCTACCTACGACAAGGTGGGCAAGACCCACATCAAGGCACTGGCCGACTTTGCCATGAAGCTGATGGACCAGATGAAGTACATCAATGAGCACTCCTTCAACAACTTCCAGATGAAGATCGGTGAGTGGGGGCCCAGGGAGTGCTGAGCCCAGGGTGCAGTCAGGCAGAGGGCTGGCAGGGGCTCCCCCATACCCCATACCGCATCCGCCATTGTGGTCCCAAGGTAGAAGGCCAGGCGGCAGCAGAGGCTGATGTGGTGTGTTCCCTGCCCTTAGTAGGTGGGGGCAGGCATGGGTCATTCACAGCGGAATCCGCCCAGAGCCTGGCGATGCCTCTGCTGCCTTTTGACATGAGGGCCACATGGGTAGGACACCCCTTGGTGAGTTCCCACCTCACTCAGATGCAGGGCCGGCCTGGTGGGACCCAGGCTGTGCCTGCTCGAAGGGCTTTGTGGGGGATGCTCTGTGCCGAGGGCATGGGGCCTTCTGGTGGTTGTAGCACAGCAGATGGCAGTCCCATTTGTTTCGAGTAATACTGACCTAACCGCGTTGTTTTATTTAAAAGTATTCCACATTCATTCAGTAAAAATGGAAAACAGTAAAATCAAATACTTGATACATTTTAAATACACAATGTATAAACATGTTACCAGTCATTAAATTTGCAAATGTAGAACAACATCAAACATGTAATCTGCAAAATCGTTAGCAAAACAAAGTGAAATAGTTTAAAAAACTAAACATTTAAAGAATCATGTGATAGTGACCGTGAAATGATTATATTCTGACTTCTTAAAAAGAGTTACTTTTTACTCTTTTTATACAAGTTATGAAATGGGTCAGTGGGGTTATTGTTGAGTTGAGGTGGTGAGCAAAATCTTCCAGTGGCTGCTCATCCAAACTGGGGAAAGAAATGGTGAGGAGGTTGTGACAGGTCAAAGCCCTGGATCTTCCCTGGACTCCTTTGTCACATGCCTTGCCTTAGTTGGATGGCTCTGGAGGGGCTGTGCCGATACCTCTGTGGTGTCCGGCAGAGGTCCTGGATCAGTTTCAAAATAGTCATGACCATATTCTTGCTCAGAAAGTCTTTGAACCAAAAACATATGTATTTTTCTTTTTGTAAAGTCAGTTTTGTTTCATTACCCCCAACCTTTTATTTTGACAAGTTTCAACTCTACAGAAGAGATGAATGGTAAAATGAAAACCCAGGTACACACTTCCCCATGTGTTCCACCCTACTGTGTCCATAAAATAACTGTGGAATGCCAGCTCTGAACTCGTTCCACAAAGCCCAAAGTATTTCTGCAGTTTGTTTGTCCTTAGAATAGGTCTTACCGAGGGTGTACGGTCTGATGGAGCACAAGTTAGTTTTGCAATAGAAAGCTGACTTGGTGGAGTGTTGCTCCTCCCAAGGTCTGTGGAGGTAAAGAATGCTTTCTGAAAGAGCAGGCCTTTGTTCTATTAGCCATTTAATGCATTATCAACTCCCTGGGTATGTTTCAAGCCATCAATGATTCAGATTTCAAATTTTTAAAAATTACAATTATCATCCACAAAAGTACCGGCATTTCAGTTCTCAAAATTAACACATTATACCGAAATATTGGATGACTAAAAACCAGTATTGTGATCATTCCTGTCCTTGGGAGACATTTTGTTGCAGCCTGAGTGTCAGGAATCGGGCTTTCCCTGGGCCAGCTGGCTTGCTTTATCCCATAGGCACAGTGCTTTGTGGGCTTGGCCAGGTTTGCATCCTGCACTGGCTGCTGGAGGCCCCGAGCACAGCCAGCTGGGAGTCTGCTTTAAGTGATGTGCAGCCTCCATTTCTGCATTAACGTCACGCACTCTTGGTCTTGTGTAACATTGCCATTCTTGTTTTCCTTTCACCCCATCTCGTCCACCTGCTTTGGTTTGCATTTTTCTCCCAGTGTGTGTTTTTGAAAAGCCTCAACTCCTTGATTGGATCAGGCCTGGGGACTGAGTGTAGAATCTGCCAAGAGGTAGATAAGGAGCCGGGCAGGCAGCTGGGAGCCTGTGTGGCAGCTCCCCTCCTACAGACTCAGGCTTGTCTTCCCTGGGTGGCATGGCTTTGGGAAATAGAAGCCATCAGGGCTCAGTCTGGTCAGCAAGGTGGACAGTCCAGCCTGGTGATGGCACATGGGGTATAAAGCTGCCTGCGGCTTGGAAGGACTGATGAGGAGGGTCGTGGAAGGAAGTTCTGAGGACTGATGGCATTGCTGACCAAGTGAGGGTCACCAGGGGCCTAGTTTGGAGCTTGTGTGTTTTCAGTCCTGCCCTTCACACACAAGAAACAGGCAAGAGTGAGGCCTAATGAGGACAGTACGAGACCGGCAGGTTACACAGGAGGGAATGCCCCGTGCCTGGAGACAGGACAGGAAATGTCTAGGGAACATCAGTTGAGCCAGATACATGGGGGCAGGATTTAGCCTGGGGAGGAGGAGAGAGAACGCTTCAGGAGGGAGAAGCAGCTCAGCGAAGGCTCAGAGGCAGTGATGCTCAGCGTTGCCTTGGGTGAGATTGGGAAAGTGGGCAGAGGAGAGCCGAAGTGGTGGCCAGAGCTTGGTTGCTGCAGTGTGCCTGCCCCAGCTCAGAGGCGGGGGAGCAGGAGGACTTGGAGAGAGGAGACTGGCACAGGGCGATGAGTTGGGCAGGATCTAAGAGTGAGAATGGCGAGGAAAGAAACAGAAGAATGAGGAAGAGAGACACAGCCAGTCTGATAGGTTGCGCCTAAATGGCTCCAAGAGGAGGAGGATTAGGGAAAGGCAACTGCATTGCACAGGAGGTCACTAGAGACCTTGAAGAGGGCACTCCTGGTGAGGGGTGTCGAGGACACAGGTGCAGGCTCCTTGTGTCTTGCATTCACAGGCATTTGACAGGAGCAGGGTAGCGGGAGGCTGCAGGGTTTAGCACAGCCTTGGGCCTGGAAGCCCACGGGTGTCTCAGGTTGGGAGTCAGAAGGACCTGCAGCATGTGGGGAGACAGATGGTGGCAAGGTCAAGCCAGAGATGTGATGACTGTGGCTGATTCCTGTCCCCTGCAGGGCTCAACATCGGCCCCGTGGTGGCCGGGGTGATAGGGGCACGAAAGCCTCAGTACGACATCTGGGGCAATACCGTGAACGTGGCCAGCCGCATGGACAGCACCGGTGTACCCGACCGCATCCAGGTGAGTGCAGGAGCATCCACCACCCCTCACCCCATGGGAGGTCCTGTGTCTGACACCGAGAGGTCTTCAGGGCAGGCCACCTACAGTTCCCAGTCAGAATGTCTGCAGCCAGATTCAAGGGTGATGGGGCTGTTGACGCTGATGTCTTGGAAGCTTGGAGAACACAATTGTGTTTCAGGCCCTCAGCACCTTGGACAGATCTTCAGGCTTCTGCAGAGCCCTCTACTGGGCATGGAAGGGACTGGGGGCTGCTGGGAGTGGATCTGATTGTAGAGGCCGAGCTGAGAGTGCACATGCAGGCCCCAGTGCCTCCTAGCCCAGGCACACAGAGAGGATGCAAAGATGTCTGCAGGGAGCAGGTCTTACCCATTGAGCCTGCAGCACTCCTGGCCTGGCTCAGGAGAGCCAGTGGGGGCTGCTGGCCCTGGGATGGTACCTCCCCCAGCCCCAGCAGCCAAGGGCCCTGGCCACAGACTCAGAGGCCTTTTCCCCTTGCTCCCTCCTTTGCGAGCTGGGCTTGTGGTTTCCCGGCCTGCTGTTCTTCAGCTGCTGCTTTTTGAGCCTTCCTTGATTCTCTGCTGCAGTCTGATGGCAGAGGCACCGCCCTGGGCAGTAGTCCTCCTGCACGGCCCTCACCCCCAGTTCTCTGTGAGGCTGTGGGAGGTCAGCTTGCCTGGCCTGTTTTTCCAGGTGCTAACTGTGCTGCTTTTAAGGCCTTTTGCCAACACTGATGATACTGCTTAAATGTCCTGACTTCTCTCCCCCACAGGGCCTCTGAATAAAGGGCCTGACCCCAAGCACAGTCCTGGTCCACTCAGCCTGACCTGGCTGAGGTGTGGATGCTGGCCGAGGGGCCTGGCCTTAATGGCCTTTTCTCACCTCCATCCCTGTGCAAAGGAGAGAAGGACAGCAGGATGGGCCTAGAGATAGGAGCAAGGGGCATGTGTGTTTCCAAGGCTTCCAGCCCATTCAGGGACAGGCGCAAGGGACTCTCTGAGCAGCCACCATAATGACCCAGCAACTCACCTTGTGTGGGGCTGCACCACACAGGAACTGCAGCTAGTAACACAGTGGGGTCCCCTCTCAGCAGCCCACCCAGCACTCCTACCGCCTGCTGCCTGGCACTTGCACTCACTGGTGGGCTTGCAGTGTGGCTGGGGTGGGGAGCTCTGACGATGCTCACAAACAGCTCTTGGGTCATCCCAGGAGCCACTGGCTATGCTGCCCCTCCCCACATCTGTCCCCACCACTCTTCTCTTTCACCCAGCAATGGGATAGTGAAATTAGTGAGGCCATCGGTGAGCTCTCTTCTTTGTTCCGAAAGCTAAAGCAGAGCCAGACAACAAGACCTGGACCTAAGCACAGGCCCTGCCATTTATTCACTGTGTAACCTCAGGCTCGTGACTTAGATGCTCTGAGCCTGAGGGTAATAACATTAGTCACCTCACAGGAAGATGCAGTGAGATAAGCAAAGGCTCTCAAACGACCTGTGGTGAAAAAAGCAGCTTTTAAAAATCGTTCTGATCTGTCACGGAGGGATGCTTTTGTACAATGCACCGGGGACACACTTGGAGACGGGCTGCAGCCAGGTCAGATGGCTTTGAAAGCTCCCCGGCACTTACTGTCCACTCCTGAACTTATTCTGGACTCAGGGCAGTCAGTCCATGGACCACAGGCCACACTGAAACAGCACACGCAAGCTGCCCGTCACAGTGCCTGGCACGAGCAGGTGCTGAGGGTGAGAGCTGGCGTTGCTCTTTTCTTAGGATCCCTTCCATGGTGAGCTGCTGTCTGTCAGTCCCTGAGAGCACCTCAGTGGGGCAGCTGCCCCTCTCCTTCTGTGTCAGGGGCGGCAACAGGGCTGGGCAGTCAGAGGTGGCTCTACCCCACAGCAGTTCATGGCCAAGGCCATCAGTGGCTTGCCCTCTCTCCTCCTGTTCCCCCACAGGTCACCACAGACATGTACCAGGTGCTGGCTGCCAACACGTACCAGCTGGAGTGCCGGGGCGTGGTCAAGGTCAAGGGCAAAGGCGAGATGATGACCTACTTCCTCAATGGAGGGCCCCCGCTCAGTTAGCAGCTGTTGGCCAATGGTGCCAGGCAGCCTGGCCTCCAGAGGCATGGAAGCAGCTTCTCTGTGTGCCGGGGGTGGCGGGGAAGCCATGCTCCAGCCCGCAGGGCTGCGCTGCTGAGATTTTCCACTTGGACTCCAGAGCAGCTTCTGCCTTTGCTGGTGGGCAGCGGCCTCTGTCCCAGGCCCCGGGGTGCCAGCGTCCTGCGAGCACCCAGCTGACCAAAGATGTTTCCCTCTGTAGAAGACTCTGCTAGACTGGGTCTGAAGCTTGAGTTTTCTAACAGGTGCTGCTGCACAGGTGGAAAGGAGCCGTGGGAATGTGTGTGTGGCACGGCCCAGACAAGGGCAGGGCTGAGGGGCCTCCGACTCAGCTGGGGGTAGACGGGCTCGAATGTGGCCTGGGAGAGCCTAGGGGGCCCCAGGGGTCTGCTTTTCTATGTGAGCCTTTAAACTTCAGACAGGCCACCACCCTGCACCTGCAGGGGCTTTGGCACAGGAGTGCTGGCTTTGGAGGGACTGTGGCCTTCATCGTGGTCCTCTGCCCACACCTCCACGCACACAGACAGTGCCCTAGGAGGGAAACAGAACTAATTACGAGGGGGAGGCAAGAGGACGCCAAGCAAGGAGTGGTGATTCTGAGAAAAATATTTATTAAATAAAACAAAACAAGTTCTCCGTGCCCTTCTTTAGACTATGCTAGTTGTATGCGTGTAAGAGACACACAAGCAAACGAGGACGCCACTCGGGGGGAGGGCGGGGATCCCCACTTGTCTTTTTTGTATTTTTTATTTTGTATTATTGAAAGCCTTGGAGATCTCACAGATAGATATGCCAAATTCTATATTTTGTAAATTCTCTATATTAGAAAACAGCTGTGCACAGCAGGGCGGGTGTGCTCATTTGTACTGTGTGTATGTCGGTGTATGTACTGGTGTATATGTGTGTGTGTTCATGCTGTGGAACTGGTCTCACACAGGATGTGTTTCCCTCATTTCAGATTTGGCAGTTTTGGGTTTTCCAAGGTACCACCAGAGCAGTGGGTGTGTGCTTTTGGGGTACCATATGCTCAGATTAAGTAGGAGGATGCATGGACACACTGCCCCATCTTTTCTGACACACGCACACGTATGTACACACATGCACACACCCTCCTTCCCCTAAGCAAAACGCAGATGGAATAAGAAAACAAAAAGCTGCTTTCCCATCCCAGGCCGAGCTGGAACCAAGGGAAGCAATCTCATCCTGCGACAGGCAGTGTGGTGCCCTCCACACCCTGAGATTTCAGACGTTTGCGGCTTACAGAGGCAGCGCCCACAGATTCCAGAGTGCTTACAGAAGGCCAGGTGCTTTGCAGGCTGGGACGAGGAAGCCAAGCCTCCCTGGCCTACTCAGTTGGCCAAGGTGCAGGTGGCTCTTCCTGGAGATGTTCACTCAGACTGGGGGATGCAATGTGCAGCCTTCAGGTTTGCGGAAAGGGAGTGGCCTTGACCTCCACCGGCAAACCAGGCAGAGGAATGGGTAGAGCCCAGCTTTAGAGTCCACAGGGAAAGCTAGCAGGAATTTTGTTTTAGTGGGAGGGGGCAGTTAAACATACCAAGAAAAAAATACTATTTTTATAACCTATGAGGAAGACATTTGGAAAATGATACTCTAGCACAGAATTCAGTGGAATCCTTAGGGCCCATGCCCAAATCTTTCCATTGCTTCTCAGGTTAGAATGATCTTCACCTCCAACATGAGCTTGGAGGTGATGAGGCAGTGGCTCTGTGCCAGCTGCCACAATGTGACTTTGATGTCCACCTGTACCACCTCTCACTGGGCTCTAGCACCACCCTCCCCTCCCCGCACACCAACTGAACACAGCTCTGAGAAGCAAAGTGTGTGGACCCAAAACTGCCAAGCCTGAGTCTGTCCCGTGCTTCTGCTGCTCCATCCTTTGAGTTCTGCATTGCCATCCTGACGTCGGCCACAGGAGGCCTGCTTTCTTCCAGCTGTTGTTCTCAAGTTCCCTGCCCCTCCACATCGCCCGCCAGTGGTGTTGGGTTTTCGTTCTGCTTCCAACCTGAGTAAAGTGTGTGTGCTGAGTTCATCCCATGTTCTCCCATGGTCATGGCTTCCCGGCCCCATGGGGACCCCTCTCCCATCCCAGCAGTGACTGGTGACAGTGTGCAGGTGCAGTGCTAGCTCTTCGTTCCCTCTAAAGGGTGTGCACTCTTTTTATTCCTACTCTTGCAAAAACAGATACGATTATGATTTCCCATGGAAATTGAAAAGTCTATTTAAATAATTTAACTATTAAACACTTTCACTGGTAATGTGTCCTGGTCTGATTTGCAGGTTGAGCCAGGGGGGCCTGGCCCTGGGTTGAAGAACAGTGTACCCAGCCTTGGGGGTGCTGGGGAGGGGAGCCGCAGAGGGCAGAGAACTCCCCTGAGTGGGGGACAGCACCTTGCTATAGAGATAATGTTGGCTGAAGACTGCGGTCCTTGTGGGAGAACACTGGTGACCATAGCAAGAGTCAGTGCATGGGGCTGGGGAGCAGGTGCACCCAGAGCAGGAGGCTGAGGAACAAGAGCTGAGTAGGGACCAGAAGTGAAGGGGATACAAAATCCAGGATCAGACCAGAAAAGACCAGGTCCAGGGAAGGATGCTCTAACATGTTTATATGTTGGATGAGCCAAACATGTTTATATGCCACGGGAAAGAAAGGTGAAAACACAGGCATGGAACACAGATAATGGAAAGGACCCAGGCAGGTGAGTGGGGACAAGCTGCAGGCCAGAAGTGAACTGATTTGACCTGCATAGCTAATAATGATGGCATTCTCTGTGTGCCACACTGGGATATGCACCATACAAACATTATCTCATTTAATCATACTGATGAAGGAACTGAGGTACAGAGAGGTTGAGTTATTTGCCTAAGGCCACACAGCTAGTAATGAACAGAGATGAGTTTCAGAGCAGGCCTGTCTGCCGTCAAACCCCATGCAAGGAAACTCATGCGGACCTAGGACTCCTCTCCCCGCTGAGAGGAAGGGAGAGGTGGTAGGGGAGGCAGGGGCCCCTGTCAGCACTTCTGCCTGCTGTGCCATCAAATGCCAGGTTATATTTGGGTTAAGGAAAGAAATTCAGAGGGGGTTGCTCACATTAAGTTGAACACAGGTATAAATAAAGGCAGCAGTGAAAAAGATTTCACAGCTTCACTGACCAATAGCCACGTGGGGACATAGATGTCAGTCCTGGGCATGTGGCCTCCTGCTCCAAAGAAGGTAGACATCATTAAGGACTTCAATGTGCCTGCAGAAAGATGTCATTTTACTGAGGTAAGACTTTAAGTCTGAGAAATTTTCATGCTGGAGTACATTCATTAGAAAAGGAGACCAAATGATAAAACGTTCAAACTTAAGGGGCCAATTGGCCTACGTGGGAACCTCAGCTCCTGAAGAACTTCCACCCTGCTGTAGCCAGTAGAGACTAGGCCCTCAGGCAGGCTCCATGAAACCACGCGTGTAGATACCAAGGAAATGCAACTCAAAACCATCAAAAGCCCTTTCCAACCCCATCCCCACTGAGCTAGTCCCAGAGAACCTACTTGTTTCTCCCTTACGAGGGTCTACTTTTTTCCAAAAGCATATTCATATCTAGAACACCAATAAGCAAAAAGTTGATTTGAAAAGATGCTTTTGATAGGTGGGGTGAGTTTTGAACACCACTTTAACGCCCACTGACAGCAAAC
This sequence comes from Homo sapiens, assembly GCF_000001405.40. Lineage (NCBI taxonomy): Eukaryota > Metazoa > Chordata > Mammalia > Primates > Hominidae > Homo > Homo sapiens. The sequence continues at coordinate 123,280,872 of NC_000003.12, read as the reverse complement.
ATCACTGAAACCAAGACCAGACTTCAGCCAACATGGTGATGATTTGACTGTAGTGTGATGTTAGCAGCTAATTAGTGGGAAGACAGTGAATCCTGGTGCATTGGAGAGGCTCAAAATAAATATTCACCAGCTAGCCACCTTACTCTTAAGACATTCAAAGTTAGAAATACATTCACAGAACTTTTCCAAAAGCAAAATTACCTGAGTGGCATGTAGTTAAATGACGCCAGGAGCTGCGGGTTTTCCATAGTGCTGCAATGGCCACGAGCTGTTCATCAGCGGGATATGAGCTTCCTGGAGTCTGAAAAAGGTGCTGAGCCCGGGTCCCTGCAGGGCAGGAAAGCCTTTTCAGGCATTTCAGCATATAGTGTTCACAAGTGCTTAGCAGATTCTCACTGCTGCCTGAACAAAAGAACGATGATGGCAGTGACAAACACGCTCTGAAATACGGCAGCTTTTGAATTTGTCTAAATCCAAATCACACACTAAAGAGAACAAATGCTGTCCAGTTCACCTTCAGAGGGAAGGGACTGACAGGGCTTGGCCATGCTGGCCATGCTGGCCCTGGCTGCCCACTGCAAGGCCCCCATCACTGAGCACAGGATCAGGAGGAGAGTTGGAAGGGCTGCTGTTATTTATGGGTGTGGGGAGGGGGAGGGCACAGCAGACCAGAGAGACCATCCCACTCCATTTGGATGAACTTCACGGTGTGTAGAGAGCTTCCACACACATTTTCTCACCTGTGCCTCCTCAGGCCTGGGAAGCCATTCGAGAAAGGACCAGAGCCTTGCCCAAGGCCACCCTGGTACTCAGAGCAGTCCCTGTGGCACTAGTCCAGAAGCACTTCTGTTCAGGGTGCCCATCTAGCTGGGTATTGAAGAGCTTGGCAGGAACAGCGGGCTCACCACTCCTCAAGGTTAACAATAGATGAAATGAGATCTGATGACTTAAGTGGGCTTTTCTTGTCCTTCCAGATTTTCACAAAAGCCGTCTTGGTGGCTTTTCATCCCTGTCTTGGGAAGGAAAATGTGATATTGGCTGTCCTCTCGCCATCTTTCTTTCCCACCTGCAGGGTCCCTGCTTGACGAGACGGACATGAGCAAAGGCAAATGAGGGCATTGGAGTAGCTGGTCTCCAGACTCTCTCCCTCCACTGGCACTCCCTGAGTCTAAATATTTGTGTCACTCTCTATCCAATCTTCAAGTGCCAGACCACATGTATGGTGCAAATATAAACACAATCTAATTAAGACGTTAAGATTTAGAGCCAAAGGCACAGAGACAAATGAGGTAAAAGTATCGTGCCAAGGGGGATGTGTGGGAAAATCACCTTCAAACCAAAGTCAGAACCAGCCCTTGCTTTGTCCTCCTGCAGACACCAGTCTGGCCCAGCAGCGTTCACAACATCAGCACAGTCAGGGGTGTCTCCCTTCGAGGGCCCCATTCAGGAGTGACGGGTGAGTGGAGATCAATCCAGGTTCACAGAGCAAGCAGAGGGTCCAGAGAGGGAAGGGGAGGAAGACGGTGAAGAGAAGGATAGGATTCACCTAGAGTTGAGGGCCAAGTAGGCAGGCATCCTGTCCCCACGGGATTCCCAGCGCCCAACCTCACCTGCCCAAGTGTCTAGTGAGCAGAGCTGATCCACTGAGGGCATTTGCATCCCCAGGGCCTCTCTCTCCTACTGCTACTCCATCAGGGCCATGAATTTAAAGAATTCTCACTGGAATCCATAAGGGGGACTATCACGGTTTTCCCTTGACCGATTTCTAATTTAGATCTGCCTGGAATCTCAGGTTTGTCAGCATCTCTGGTTAGCCTGAGACTAGTTTTCTTACTTTGCAAAATTGCTTCCCCACTTTGTTAGCTATAGTGGCAGTCCCCTCCCGGCTCACATGGGTTTTTTTGGAGGGTGCCTTTTGCCTCAGATTCTTTTAAAAGCCATGTTGCATTTGTGCAATTTAAGAGCGCCTTTCAGCTCTCACGTCCCCAGCATCTGCATGATACTGCAGCTGAAGGCTGTGGCTGCCTCCCCACACCCCTCATCTTCCCATCAACGCGTGTGCACACTCACGAGGGCCCTCAGAGTGTGGGCACAAGGGCTGCTGCCATCCATGAGCAAATTGTAGATCAGATTCGAATGTTCCAAGTCAGGTGTGTTGGGACCAAAATGCTGGTTCCATGCTGGATAGGGCAAGGTTCTTAGAGGCACCTCCCTCACTCACCAGCACCCCAGTGCCTGGGAGACTCTGCAGGTACTGGCGAGCACAGTCTACCACTCCCAGGTGTGTGACACAGGGCTTCATCCTGCTTCCTTCCCTCAGGAGGACTTTAAGGTGGGCAAAGCACCTGGCATACAGCAGGCATTTGGCAAATGTGAGTCCTTCAACCCCCTCTTCTCTCTTTGGATGCACCTCCAGTGCCCTGACCAGAAGTCTGCCCACAAGTGCCTGCCTGCTAGATATTTCAATGGGATTCTTACTTAAGTGGTGGCTTCTGAAAAGTTTTGTGCAATGATTTACGACATTCAGGGGCATTTGCAATTTAAAAGACTCTTAGCACCTTTAACTGCAACAAGGAAGACCACAACGTGGTGGCAAACGCTCTCCTAGCACTTGATGTGCCAGTCTCTAAGTGCTTTACATTTACGCACTCAATCGTCACAACACTGCTTTGCCAAAGGTACGATTATTATCCCCACTTTACATCTGAGGAAACTGAGGCAGAAGGATTAAGTAATTTGCTGAGGTCACCATGCTAGTAGAAGAGAGAGCCAGGGATGATTCTGGCTCCAAACTCTTAAACACTATTTTACACTGTGAAAAGTTCCCTTCTATTTTTTGGTTAATGTTTTCAGAGGGATCACAAATTCCCTAATCACCTAACAGAATTCCCATTAAATGACATCAAGTCAAAGAATCAACCTATTCTGGCATTTTGCTAGGAAAAGCAAATGTTTGTAACACCCAAATCACCAATAATGCTTTTATTTTCCACATCAAGATTAATTTATATGTTAGTTTTAGTACAAGTACTAAAATGTATACTTCTTGCCCTAATAGCTAAGGTATACATAAGCTTCACCATACATCTTGCAGCCACCTGTCTGTCCTATGTCATTGTTATAAATGTAGAGATTTTAGGAAACTATTTTATTCAACCTGGGACATCTATACTGTAGGAGTTAGCACTGACCTGATGTCTTATTTAAAAGTAATGTATATTACCTTTACATATATTCCTTATATATTTAAACGTATTTCCATGTTATCCAGCTTAAAATCACATGGTGGTTAAGAGCATGAGTTCTGAGTCAGATCTGGACTGAAATCCTGATGCTACCACATGGGTTAGGTTGTGACTGTGGTCAAGTCACTTAACTTCTTCATGGCCCAGGTGGCTCATTTTTAAAAGAGAAAACCTTCATAAATGCTTTCGGTAAAGATGAGATGCTTAGCATAGTGCCTGTCACACAGTATACATTGCCATTTCCCCCTTCCTGTCTGCTTCATCTGTTCACACTGCTGCTAAAACAGTAAGAACCCAGCTGTCGTCAGTCACACACACATTCCCTAAGAAGTGTCTTTCTGAGATGCACTGTGGCACAGAAAAATGAGCACCAACTTTCAAGCGACTTAAACCCAACTCCAAATTTGAACTTCACATCCACCACCAAGTGTCATACCATACGAAGACAAGTTCCTGGCCTGAGTCTTGGTTTCCTCAAATGCAAATGAGATCGTGCCCGCTCCACCTCATGCTGCCATAAGGATGAACTAAGGAGAACCCAGCACTGGCCCACAAAATGAGCTAACAAGCATTCTCCTCATTAGTCCTAGGCACTGGAGAGATTCAAAGTGCAAGAATGAAATACTTTGTTCATCTTTAGGCAAGGTCCTTTGCAACCCAACCTCAAAGAAAAGTGCTGGCACAAAGAAGGTAAGCAAGCAAGGCAGAGCTGGGGAGGGGACACCAGGAACAAATGGGGAGTGGAATGCCTGAGTCCTGCTTCCCGTTGTCAGATGGTGCCTGAATGTGCTTTCTGTTGGGTGATGCTTGTATGGCTGTGCTGTGAGATGCAGGAGAAAGGGGTGAATGTAAACCGTGGGTGGGTTTGGGCTGAAAATACTGTTTGTTGCCAAGGAAACACAAGGAACAATTCATAAGGCTAGGATATTGATTTCAAAAACTCTGAGAACTAAGGCTGATCTCTGAGTTTCCTAAAACCCCCAATTGTGCTGAGACGACTGATTACACATCAGCATTGCCAACGCAGAAGAAACCTGAATGCCCACGCATCAACACCACTCACTGTTAACAAGCAGGAGCATATGCGCCACGTGGCTTCCAACCACACAGTGTTTCCACGTTTCTTTTGATTTCATCTACTAAATAACCTAGAAAACTCAGCCACTCAAGAAAGAGACAAGAGTGGCAGCCAGTTTTTCTCTTTGAAAAACTCGATGCTTAAACAGGAGGCCGCAATCTGCCAGCATTCAACAGCAGCCCCAGAACATTAATGATCACACACCTCCAACCTTACCGGTAATGCTCAGAGTGACATTCTCGGCTCACTCAGCCCTTTTACACAAACTCAGTCACAACCCTTGGAGCTGGGTTTCTTTTGTTAACTTTTAGCGAGGTTATTACTAAAGCCAATTTAACCCTAAAATCAGACCTTACTTTACCACAGCATTTTTAGGGAGAAAGACTTTGGTTCCTTAGAGATAAGGCAGAAAAATACTATAAAGCATTGAACACAGACAAAGAATGTGGCCCTAAAGAGTGACCTATAACTTGTGGTTAAGGCTAAGTGTTCAATGAGGTTTTGAGTGGTGGCTGCTCTTGAACGTATGTGTTCTTTTACCACACACTCCACAGAAGTTCTAACTCTTACAGTGAGCCAAAAGTCTGTTAAAATAGTAACAAGGAAGGTGTACACACACACACAACCTTTGTTGAGTTCCTTGGAAACCCAACAGCTCAGAGTATGACCTTAGGTCACTTAGTAAACCTTTTGAAATGAAGGCCAAGCAATTGCCTTTTAGGGGAGCAGCTGACCTCAGAAGCCACGGAGGTTAGGTCCTTTATGACAAACTTCTGGTCTCTGTGGAGCCCTGATGAAGTAGGAGTCTAATGGGGTTCCACACGTGGCCTAACAGAAATGGAGCTGTCCATCTCTCCACACTAGATTCCACTGTGGAGACATTTACTGCAATATAAATGTGCCAATCCAAGGATAGCACACTCACTTTCAATCTTATAATTCTGTAATACAGAATTGGGTAAAGGTTCTCCATGTCTTAAGGCATTTGTCTCAAATGATTTTCAAGCTTAATACTTGTTTTCAGCTTAGGATTCTTACCTATGAAAACAAAATCCTTTATTAACCACACCTACACAAATCCCCCCAAATCCTGAAATGGAAGCCTTTGAAAGCTGGTACAAGGTAAGGATCCAAGGCACAATCATAACATGTAAATGTGTGAAAATCGAGAATTCTGTTCATTTTAGCACTTCACAGGACCCCCAGTGAGAACACCTTTACTAGAAGGCATCAGGAAAGGCTCTCCCCTAAGGAACTGGTATGCTTTTCACCTACTGATAGGGCAGTGCATAACTTCTTTCCCTACCCTTAGCCTTGATTTCCAGAAAGTTCCAGAGTCAAATTTTACATACAATAATGTATGTAAACCCTCCCTTCAATTTTCATTTGTTTTTCTTCCCTTTCTGTTCATATTTCATTAACATGGCTGTATATGTCTTTTCTTGGTATGCTGCTTCAAGTGCTTTTGGGAAAGAGGCCAGGTATTAATGTAAATATATTTCAAATACAGACTGAAAAAAGCAAGCAAATATTGCAATTATCTTAGTATATAAAAGAGGGTATCTTCGCTCTCATGGTACACCTTAATCAAAAAGCAGTATTTAGGAATTATCTAAATTAAAATAAAATACACCTATTAGGATAAAATACTCCAGCAGCAGGCCTGGACTCACCAATTTCAGAACCCCTCAACTCCTTGGCTTTACCAAGAACAGTCATATTCCCTGAATATAACACTGGTCACCTTCACTAGTTCCATGCTAGTGCGAAGAGCCCTGCACTAGATCAGGGTTGTGTGTGCTTAGCTATGTGAACTGGCTAAGTCATTACCATCTGATCACCTCTGTGTCCTCCCCCTTAGAGTGAGGGCAGCTACTACTGCTCCTATGCTACAAAACTATGAGGAGGTAAACTCAGGCTTGCTCTTAGAAGTGCAATAGAAACAGAAGATCATACACCATGGAGGCCTAAAGTGATTCTTTCTAAAGAGCCTAAGGACTTTTTTTTTTTTTTGAGACAGAGTCTCACTCCGTCACCCAGGCTGGAGTGCAGTGGTGTGATCTCGGCTCACTGCAACCTCCGCCTCCTGGATTCAAGCGATTCTCCTGCCTCAGCCTCCCAAGCAGCTGGTACTATAGGCGCCTGCCACCACGCCCAGCTTATTTTTTTTGGTATTTTTAGTAGAGACGGGGTTTCACTATGTTGACCAGGCTGGTCTCAAACTCCTGACCTCGTGATCCACCCACCTTGAGCTCCCAAAGTGCTGGGATTACAGGCATGAGCCACCGTGCCCGGCCAGGACTTTACACCAATTTCTTTTTCTAAATTCAAAGTTCTTTTTTTGGCAGCAATGATACAGGTGGGGAAATGATATAAACACGGAGATACAGGCACCAAATAATGAAAGAAAACATTTCTATACATAAAACATTTATACCTGTTTTCATTTTTTTACATTAAGATGTAAACATCCTCTTATCCAAAATAGCCAGTGAAAAAATAAAAACAAAAACAAAGTAAGCCTTTAAAAATAGTTGGTGAGGAGTTTTCAAGTGTTCTTGCTGAATGTATCCGAATACCAAACATTGTAACTCGTCAATTCAATGACAAGGAGGTAGCTCCTGAACCAAACTGGTGCGAGCTGTGTCAATACAGAGCAAAATCTCAACCAGAATGCTCCAACTTCCCTATTTACAAGAAAATTCTGTTTTAACCATTAGTTTAGAAAACCTTTCTTTTTTGAGACAGAGTCTCGCTCTGTTGGCCAGGCTGGAGTACAGTGGCGTGATCTTGGCTCACTGCCAACTTCCACCTCCTGGGTTCAAGCGATTCTCCTGCCTCAGCCTCCCGAGTAGCTGGGACTAAAGGCACGCGCAACCACACCCAGCTAAATTTTGTATTTTTAGTAGAGATGAGGTTTCACCACGTTGGCCAGGCTGATTCTCAAACTACTGGTCTCAAGTGATCTGCCTGTCTCGGCCTCCCAAAGTGCTGGGATTACAGGCCTGAGTCACCGTGCCTGGCCTGAAACCCTTTCTAAATTGAACCACTTCACTTTCCTGGCTACAAAATGCCCAACACAATTCAATGGTGTTTTGATGATTCAGGATCTTGTGATGCCTTGGGGTATCTCTCAGAATATGCATACTTTTGTTAGAGGAGAAGACTGGAGCCAACTACTATTTCCTGTTTTACATGAATCCCTGATATCATAAGCTTATTGTCTTCCTTTTACCTCATTCTCCTAAAAGGAGGGTGCAGACTAAGGTTCTAGTTAAGCAAGATTTTACAGTTCTAGACATATCCACAAATACTGGTTCACGCAAACAAGACAGTTCACTAACTTTTTACCCTCTATTTCTCTACTTAATAAATATGCCTAGTAACAACAATTACAATGTAATGGGATCTGTTTTTCTGGATGATATCAAATTTCAGTATCCTATGAATTCCTTGTTTGAAATATTTTCTTTAAAAAACAAAGGAAAATCACCCATGAAGATGACTTCCAAAACCATGAGAGTTATAGATTTTGCTAGTGGAATCCAACTGTGCTTCCTATATTATTAATTCATAACTGCTTAAACAATCTTTAAAACGTTATCAAAAAACAAGTAAGTTCTCTCAGATACTAGGGGCTTAATTCCTCAAAGCCATAAAATAATGAGTTGCTAGGAAAGCCACCTTCTGATTCTTACTACAGTCAAGCATTTCCATAGTGCGGACCCATGCCACTGGTGGCACACAACATGTCTTTAAGTGATGCACAACATAGAATAATGCTGAATCACAGTGAGAATGTCATTCCCTTTACAGTTTCCTTTTATCCTCTGACTATTCCAGAGACAGTGCCTCATGCTGGTGCTGGTAACATCTCCCTCACTGCCACAAAGAAAGAGCCTAAGATTCGGAGCCTTTCTAGGCATTAGTTTCTAGCTAGAACTGAACAACATTTTTTGTGTTCATCTTACTTATTTTGTGGTTACCTTTTATTTATGGCAAACTGATACTGGTTTTCCACTTGGAGCAGGATTCATTTTTTTAAAAAAACTTTAAAATTTAAAAGATAAATATTAAGAAAATAATACAAGTAGTACTAAAGAGACTGAAGTTTGGGAAACAACGGCTATAGTGTGAGTCATATTTTTTAGACGTGATTTCAAAAGAAACAATAAATGTGGATTAGAAAGGAAACATCCATTACTGTATTTTCGATACTTGTGATGTTCCACAGACGAGCTCATCACAGTCTTCTTCTACATCAGGTGATTTCCAGAGTTAAGATTCAAGCAAAAATATAAAAGTAAAAAGAACCAATTTCACACCATCTTGGACTTTATAAACTCGTAGTACCATAAGTGTGCAAATAATCTGATATTTATCACAGTCATTTATTTAAAACATAAACTTTCCAATTTCTGCAGCTTTTTATTTGGTCTATACTAATGCCTCACAAAGGCAAACTCAGGTTGTAGAGTTCCTCCTGCCTGGTCCTCAGAGCAATACCACATCTATTTTCTGAACTCTTCAGGAAGGATTCAGGACTGCTGGCCAAGACTTCCAATGGCATATGACTGTTCTTCCACTGTTACGGCCTTGAAGAGAGAAATCCCCTCCTCCTCTGAATGATAGTCTCATGGCCAACATTCTTCTGAGAGGACTCTTCCATGCTCACAGGCACATCATGCTGATTTTAAAAAAGGAAAGTTGGAGAGAAAGAAAGCAGAGCTTCTCCTCTGTGGGGAACAGCTTCTTCATCACAGTGCAGTTATGATATGTTCCCTCCTTATCCCCCTGAAGCCAAGGCAATAGATCTGAAGGATGGTGTCAGACATCATAATCGGGAGCCTTGCCCTGGGCTTGCCTTAGCCAGATCTGTAGTGTAACAAATGCTCCCACAGTCACATGAAAGAAAAGCTGCCAGAGGTTGCGCAGTTCATAGAGATACATGTTGCATAGACAGATTAAGCCAAAAGTCAAAAAAGATTTGACATTCCGCCAGCCGGTGTAGTAGACAAGTAAATAACACTGTTCAAAATATAAAAATGAAAGATGATTAGGGTTACAGGAAAAGAAACAGATGTTTCTAATATAAAATTGTAACAGGTCAGAGAGTAAAATATAAGAATGGATAAGGTTATTTTTTATCTAGGGATAAGATAATGTAGCATATATCTAAGACATTCAGCTATGAAAGTTTCACAGTTTGAAAGGGAAATAGATTTTCCTCTTAAGTTTTTCATTTTTCAGAAGAAAAGCATTTTGTATCATATTTTAAATGGAAGTACAATGGAATGACTTCCTTGCAAACAGGCTGAGCAAATTCCCCATGGTGACAGGCAACTAAGAAGCATTCCCAGGGTCTGCGGGTGTTCCATTCTCACCCAGGAAAATACAAAAAAGCACATACAAGCTATTCTACAAAATGGACTCTTAATATAACCTGAGTCTGAGTATTAACAAAATCCACAACATTTTACTAGTCGCCCACTGAGTACAAGGAACTATGCTAGGTACAGCATCTGACTGAACATTTGAGGGAGAATTCATTCAACAAATATTTACTCAGGGCCTGCTACAAGTCAGGCATTGTTCTTCAGTTGTAAGTAAAACAAAGCCCTTGTTCATATAAATATTAAATTTTAATGGGGAAGAATTATAAATGTATTTTAAATATATAATATCAAACAGTTATGTCTTGAAAAAGAGAAAGCAGGAAAAAGGGATAGGGAGTAAGAATGATAGTGGGTGCTATTTTAGATGAAACGGTCAAGAAAGTACTCCCCCTCTCACCGCTCCTGCCCATCCTGGCATTCACCCTTTACTGCTTTATTTTTCTCCACAACATACTATAAACATACTTGAGAAATGTGCTTATTTTGTTTGTCATCCATAGGCTTTCAACAGAATCTATTTCATGAGGGGTGAGATTTTTTACTGTTATTTACTCATTTATCTCCAGTGCCCAGAACAGTGCCTGGGACATAGTAAGTGCTCAATGTGTTGAGTGAATAAACTGTTTTCTAGAAGATGTCTAAAATTCACAACCTGGTAAGTATAGGAACCACAAAGTCTAAGAGAGAGGCCCAGGTCTCTCTGAGAAACTGTGTCCAGGCTTCAGAATGGGAAGGACACACCAGTGTCTGTTATAATGCAGAAAGAATGTGGAAATGTTCTGTTAAATATGTTTAGTTCTTATGCAAATTTGGACTGTTTACTTAAAAAGAAGACTGCTATCCAAGCAAAATGAATTGGAAGTATTTATCAGTGATTTTCATCATATAAGACTGAAAAAATAGAAAAAAATAGCTTTTTCTTTCTAAACAATTTTAGAGTTAAAGATGCAAAAACAGTTTATTGTATACGCTTTGTTTACTGTATACTCTTCACCCTGTTCCCCGTTATCCTCTTATGTAATCATAGTATAATCATCAAACCAGGAAATGAACATTGATTCAATACTCTTAGCTAATCTACAGACTTTATTCAGATTTTGCCCATTGTCCCACTAGGGTCCTTTTTCTGGTCCAGAATCTAATCTGGGATTCTGTATTGCATTAATTGTCATGTATATTCCAATCTGTAACAGCTCCTCCATCTTTTTTTAAAAAAATTTTTGGCCAGGCATGGTGGCTCACACCTGTAATCCCAGCACTTTGGGAGGCCCAGGCAGGCGGATCACGAGGTCAGGAGATTGAGACCATCCTGGCTAACACAGTGAAACCCTGTCTCTACTAAAAATACAAAAAATTAGTCGGGTGTGGTGGCGGGCGCCTGTAGTCCCAGCTACTCGGGAAGCTGAGGCAGGAGAATGGCATGAACCTGGGAGGCGGAGGTTGCAGTGAGCCGAGATCACACCACTGCACTCCAGCCTGGGCAACAGAGCAAGACTCCATCTCAAAAAAAAAAAAAAAAAAAAAAAAATTCATGTCCTTGACAGTCTTGAAGAGTATTAATCAGTTATGTTGTAGGAATGTCCCTCAACTTGGGTGTGTCTGATGTTTTGTCAAGATTGAAATGAGGTTATACAATTTTGGCAAGAATATCAGAGGTGATACGCAATACATGTTATTACATATTAAATTAGATCACTTAATAAGGTGGTATCTATTCCCTTTGCAATTATTGTCTTGGGGGCAGGGAGTTGAGATTATGTGAATATCTTATCTCATCATACTTTTGCTCATTAATTTTAGTATCCATTAATGATTCTTGCCTGCAACAATGATTACTGTGGTGTTCGCTTAATGGTGATTTTATATTTCCATTTTTTATCTATATTTATTGCTTGGAATGCTACTGTAAAAATGAGCTAGCATTTCCAGTAATATATACACACACACACACACACACACACACACACACACACATATATTTAATTCAAGGTTTTCCAAGGCTTTTAAAATAATAGGTCTCTACCCCACATATTACTTATTAATTACAAAGAAGAAAAAGATATCTTTGCAATGGGGATCTGGTAGACACCATCTTAACCAAATGATCAAACTTATCACATTTCCTGACTGAAGCAATGAGAGATATTCAGCATATTATACTATACAGCACTGTTGCCAGAATATTTAACCTTAATATAATCACGAGTAACAGACTAATCCAGATTGTGGTACTTGCCTGAACTCTTAAAAAAGTCAATGTTAAGAAAGATAAAACCAAACTAAAATAGAACAACAACAAAAAGGCTGGGAGACTGTATCATAGATCAAAAGGTACACGACAATCAAATGAAATGCATAATCCTGGATCAGGAGAAATATAGCCACAGAAAACATTTTGGAGACAACAGAAATAATCTGAATAGGAATCATATATTAGATAATATTGTATCAATGTTAAATTCTTAGATGTGATATGAAGTCCTGGCTATGTAGACAGATGTCTGTATTCTTAGAAGATACATCATGAAGTATTTTAAGGTAAAAAATATCATGATGTCTGTAACTTACTTTAAAAACAACGGCTCAGGGACTTCTGTTTCTGGGAAGATGGAGTAGACACACTTTTCCCTATTTCTCCCACTAAGTACAAATAAAAACACTGGACATTATATGTAAAACAAGCATAAGAAGACTCTGAACTGTGGAGGAAAAGCAGACAAATAAAGAATCTTGAGATCCAAGAATGCCACAGTGGTAGGTTCTCTGAGTTTTCTTTTTTGCTTCATATATCCCAGACTTGGAGCTGAAGAAGCTGGCAACTAGAAATGCCAAGGCATGCATATCAAAACAAACAACAAAAAAGACCCTCAATAACATCTTGCTCTCTCTGGTAAAAGACCAGGAAAGAGGCACCTTAGCAAGACAGAAAACTTTTAAACAGTAACTATTATCCTCTAGCCAAACATCACACAAAAAACCCCTGTGACCCACCCATACCCACACCATCAAATGTTGAGAGCCTAGAACATTATAAGCAGATGTTTTAACCCTTCAGCATGGCTTCAGAAAAGGCAAGTAGAAGCCAGGACTTTCATTCCCACTAGATGGCAATGAATCCCTCCTCTACCCTCTTATTGTGATATCAGTGGAGAACACGTGGGACTCTGGACACCCACTTTCACTTGACAGTAACAAGATAATTCATTTCTCATCGGTAACAAGACAGTGGGATTCTCATCAGAAACCACAGAGGCCAGAAAAAAACTAGAACATTTCTCAAGTGCTGAAAGAAAAAAATACTGCCAAATCCAGAATTCTGTATTCAACAAAAATATCCTTTAGGAATAAAAGGAAAATAAAAACATTTATCAGATGAAAGATTAAGATAATTTGCTGCTAGCAGATCTACCATAAAAGAATGGTTAGAGGAAGCTCTCTAAATAGAAAGAAAACAATTAAAAAGAAGGAATCTTGAAACATTGGGAAAGAAAAAAGGACATGGTATGCAAAAATATGGGTAAATACAATAGGCTTTCCTTTTCCTCTTGAGTTTTCTAAATTATGTTTGATGGTTAAAAAAAAATCATTATAACACTGGCTGATGTGGTTCTAAATATATGTGGAGGAAATATCTGAGCCAATTATAAATAGGGGAGGGCAAAAACACATCTAGGGAGATAAGGTGTCTTGAACTAGTAAAATATTGACACGAGAAGACCATGAAGAGTTAAGTATGTATTACGTGATGCCTACAGCAATCATTTAAAAAGCTATACAAATAGATACACTAAAAAATACTACAGATAAACTGAAATGGAAATCTTTTAAAATGTTAAAGTAACCCACAGGAAGATAAAGAAAAAAAAGAAAAAAGAAAAAAAAAAGTCCTAACATATCCATAATTACATTAACTATAAATGACTTACGTACAGCAATGAAAAGACAGAGATTGGCAGGATATTAAAAAACATGAATCAACCCCATGCTGTCTGTCAGAAACTCACTTTAAATAACATAGGAAAGTTCAAAGTAAAGGATGGAAAAGGATTTATCACATAAACAGTAATCAAAAGAAAGCAAAAGTGGCTATATTGATACCAGATAAATATCAAAATATTTCAAAGCAAAGAAAATAACCAGGGACAGAGAGGAACATATATAATGATAAATGGGCTCACCCAACAAGAAGACACAGCAATCCTAAATGTGTATGAACCAAACAACATAGCTACAAAATATATGAAGCAATAGAACTGAAGTACAAAATGGAAAAATCTATAATCCAATACTCTTCTCTAGCCAACTGGTATAACACTAGACAGAAAATCAGCAAGAATACAGAACTTGACAATACCAAGCAACATGATCTAAACATTTACAGAACACACCCAATAACAGCAGAATACACATTCTGTTCAAGTGGCTATGGAACATATAACAAGACAGACCATATTTTGGGGCCATAAAAGAAACCTCAACAAATTTAAAAGAAGTGTAATCACACAATGTGTGTTCTCTAATCACAATGGAATCAAACTGGAAATCAGTAAGGGAAAGATAACAAGAAAATCTTCAAACATTTAGAAGTGAAACGATGCAATTCTAAATAATCCATAGGTCAAAGAGGAAGTCTTAAGGAAATTTTAAAAATTGAAATAAGAGAAAATGAAAATAAAACATATCAAAATTTATGGAATACAGCTAAAGAAGTGCTAAGACGGAAATCTTTAGGAGTTAGTGCATACATTATAAAAAAGAAAATTCTCAACCAATCATGTAAGCTCCTACTTCAAGAACCTAGAAAAAGAACAAAATAAATGCAAAGCAGGCATATGGAAGAAAATAGTAAAGATAAAAGCAGAAATCAATAAAATTGAAGCCATAAAAACAGTAGGAAAAAACAATAAAACAAAGATCTGGTTCTTGAAAAGATCAATAAAATTAACAAGTAAGACTGACAAAGAAAAAGAGAGAACATGCAAATTACCATTATCAGGAATGAAACAGGAGATACCACTACAGACCCTGCAGACATCAAAAGGCCAGTAAGAGAATACTACAACCAACTCTAAACACATAAATTTGGTAACTTAGATAACATGGACCATTTCCTCAAAAAACACAAACTACCATAAATTCACTCAACATGAAACATAATTTGAATAGTTCTATAAAACTACTAAGAAAATTTATGACTTATTATACGGCTACAGTAATCGAGACTATGTGGTAGTGGTGGAAGGATAGACAAAAAGAAATCAATGCAACAAAATACAGAACCCAGAAATAATCTCACACAAGTATGTCCAGCTGATTTTTTACAAAGGTGCAAAAGCAATTTAATGGAGGAAAAAAAATCGCCTTTGCCATGGATGGTGCTGGAGCAATATAGACAAAGGAACCTTGGTTGAAGCTATCTAAGTCTCACATCTCATACAAAAATTAACTCAAAATGGATCACAAACGTAAAATATAAAACTATAATAAAAGGTCTAGAAAAAACATAGTAGAGAAACTTAGGCTAGGCAAAGAGCTCTTAGACTTGACCACCACAAGCATGACCCATAAAAGGAAAAATTGATAAACTGAACTTTATCAAAATTAAAAACTTTTGTTCTGTGAAGAACCCTGTTAAGAGGATGAAAAGATAAGATACAGACTGATCTGAAACCATTAAAAAAAAAAACTGACTGGGAAAAAACCTGTTAAGAGGATGAAAAGACAAGATACAGACTGATCTGAAACCATTTTTTTTTAAAAAAAAACATAGACTGGGAAAGGATACCTGCACACTTCCTTTCTGACAAAGGATTAGTATCTAGAATATACAGTTGTCCCTCAGGATCCATAGGGGATTGGTTTCAGGACCTCCCTCAGATATCAAAATTTGTGGATGTTCAAGTCTCTGATATAAAATGGCACAATATTTGCATTTAACTTATGCACATCCTCTTGTATACTTTAATCTCTAGATTACTTATAATACCTAACACAATGTTAATGCTGTTATACTATATTCTTTACGGAATGAAAAGAAATAAAAGTCTGTACATGTTCAGTATGGATGCAATATGTTTCCAAATATTTTCAATCCATGGTTGGTTTAATCCATGGATGCAGAACCCACAAATATAAAGGGTCAATTGTATAAAAAACTCTTTAAGAAAAACAGTGAAAAAACAAAGAATCCAATTAGAAAATAAGCAAGGCCGGGCTCGGTGGCTCACGCTTATAATCCCAGAGCTTTGGGAGGCTGAGGTGGGTGGATCACCTGAGATCAGGAGTTCATGACCAGCCTGGTCAACATGGTGAAACCCCATCTCTACAAAAAAATACAAAAACAAACAAACAAACAAAATTAGCTAGGCATGATGGTGGGTACCTGTAATCCTAGCTACTCGGGTGGCTAAGGCGGAAGAATCACTTAAACCCGGGAGGTGGAGGTTGCAGTGAGCCGAGATCATGACACTGCACTTCAGCCTGGGTGACAGAGCAAGACTCGTCACAAATTAAAAAAAAAAAAAAAAATCAAAAGATGTAGACATTTCACTGAATATACACATGACAAATACATGAAACAATGTTTAGCATCATTAGCTAATGATGTTAAACAACGCAAGTTAAAACCACAATGAGCTATCACCACACACTTAAAAGAGTGGCTAAAATAAAAAATAGTGACAATATCAAATGCTGGTGAGGATGCAGAGAAACTAGATCATTCACACATTGCTGGAGGGAATGTAAAATGGTACAGCTACTCTGGAAAAGTTTTTCAGTTTCTTAATAAAACTACCACATGATCTGGCAATTGTACTCCTAGGCATTTATCCCAAAGAACTGAAGACTTATGTCTGCACAAAAACCTGCACATAATTGTTTATAGCAGCTTTATAACAGCCAACATTTTAAAACAACTCATATATCCTTCAATAAGTAAATGAAGCTGGATGTTGTGGCTCACACCTGTAACCCTAGAGCTTTGTGGGGGCTGAGGTGGGAGGATTGCTTAAGGCCAGGAGTCCAAGACCAGCCTGGGCAACAAACATAGCAAGACCCCGTCTCTACAAAAATAAATCAGAAAATTAGCTGGGTGTGGCAGCACACATCTATAGTCCTAGCTACTCAGGAGGTTTGAGCCCAGTTCAAAGCTGCGGTGAGGCTGTGATGGCATCACTGCACTCCAGCCTGGGTGACAGAGCAATACCTTGTCTTTAAAAAAAAAAAAGGAACAAATCATTTAATAGTACATTGAATACATATCATAGAATACTACTCAGCAATAAAAAGCAACAAATAATTGATTATGCAACAACTTGGCTGAATCTCCAGAGAATTATGCTGACTAAAAAAATGCCTATCTGGCTTATGCCTGTAATCCCAGCACTTTGGGAGGCTGAGGTGGGCGGATCACGAGGTCAGAAGTTGCCTGACCAACATGGTGAAACCCCATCTCTACTAAAAATACAAAAATTAGCCAGGCATGGTGGCGCACCTGTAATCCCAGCTACTCAGGAGGCTGAGGCAGGAGAATTGCTTGAACTGGGAAGTGGAGATTGCAGTGAGCCAAGATCGCGCCACTGCACTCCAGCCTGGGTGACAGAGCAAGACTCCGTCCCAAAAAAACAACAAAAAAATGCCTATCACAAAAGATTACTTCAAATGTTGAAGCCCTTAATCCCTAATGTGATGGTATTAGGAGCTGGGGCCTTTGGGAGGTAATTAGGTTTAGATAAAGTCATGAGGGCGGAGCCCCCATAATGGAATCAATGACTATGTAGGAGGAGGAAGAGATCTCAGCACTTTCTCTGTGTGAGGATATACTGAGAAGGCAGCCTTCTGCAAGCCAGGAAAAGGGCCCTCAGCAAGAACATGATGTGCCAGCATCTGGACTTCCAGATTCCAGAACTGTGAGAAAGAAATGTCTGTTGTTTAAGCCACCCAATCTATGGTATTTTCTTATAGCATTCTGAACTATGCCAGTTATATACTATATAATTCCATTTACATAATGTCCTTAAAATGAGAAAATTATAGAAATGGAGAATGCGTTAGTAATTGCCAGAGATTAAGGAGCGGTTAGATTAAGGAAGTGGATATGGCTATAAAAAGGCAACATGAGGGATCCCTGTGGTGACAGGAATGTTCTGTATCTTGACTGTATCAGTATCAATACTCTGGTTGTGATACCGTTTTATATAGTTTTGCAAGATGGTAACATTGGGGGAAACCAGTAAAGGGTACGTAAGATCTCTCTTGCAACTCCACGTAAATCTACAATTATCCCAAAATAAAAAGTTTAATTAGAAAAACTTTACCCATACACATATGTCTAAAACTTACTTTAAAAACAACTACAGAAGCTCCTTGGCTTACGATAGGGTCACATCCTGATATACTCATTATAAGTTGAAAATATCCTAAGTTAAAAATGTATTTAATACAATTAACTTACCAAACATCATAGCTTAGCCTAGCCTACCTTAAACATGCTCAGAACTTTGGCCTACAGCTGGGCAAAATCATCTAATACAAAGCCTATTTTATTCAAATATATTCATTATCTCATGTAATTTATTGAATAGTGTGCTGAAAACCAGAATGGTCATGTGAGTACCTGAAACATAGTTTCTACTGAGTGCATATCACTTTTGCATCATTAGAAAGTAAAAAAAGTTCCAAGTCGGGGATGGTGTGTTTATACACGCTATATGCACATACATAGAGAGTGAGATAAAGAAGGTGTTGCAAGATGTTAACAATTGATGACTCTAAGTATACTGGTTTTTCAACTTTTCTGTAAGTTTCAAGTTTTCAAAGTAAAACATTGAGGGAACAGGAAGTCTCTAGTTTCTTCACTGATCCTTTGCTTTCCTATTTGAAATGTTCCATATCAAGATTAATCCTATCAGGCTGAGCTCTGGGCTTCCATAAGCACCTGCATCCTGAAGAAAAAGATGACAAACCATGTGGTAATGGCTTTTCAGATCTGATCTAAAGAGGATTTAAAAATATCCTGACAACTGGAGACAGAGCATGTTATATGGTAAAACATAATTACTTAAGTTTTACTGTGGGGGAAAAAAACAGCATTATTATCACCCTGCTCATCATATTTAGAAAGCAGGCAGTTTCATGCCTTTCAATATGAAGGAAATTAGTTTTCTGCTTTTCTTTTTTAAAGCATGAATTTGTTTACTTCTCTCAAGTAAAAGAACACCTGAGTGACACCACTCTACCACGAAGCAACTCTCAGAACTACTCGAGGCTGTTCTGGGAAGTGTAACAGAGGTATGCCTATCTATAGCCTGGTAGTCACCTGCTCTGAAGTCACAAAGATCTGGGTTTAAGTCACTAACAAGCTATAAGAACTGTCTATACCTCAGTGAGGACGATATAATGGTATATCCTCCTTTTTGTGAGGATTTAATGGTACAATGACTATAAAAGGCTTAACACAAAATAAGAGCTCAATACATTCTGCCATTATTACTAAGCATTTACAATTACTTAAGACAAAGCAACCAAAACTTGTATTTTATAAGAATGATTATTCATAAAATTATATTAAATACCTCACAGTTTTAGATAAAAATCAAATGAGATCATGTGTATAGTTATAAAATTATAACTTTATTACATTATAAAAATTACACAAATTAGGAATTTTGCCTACAGACAGCATGATATAGTAGACAGAACACAATACTGAAAATCAGACACCCAGAGTTAAGTACTGACTCTACCACTTTCTGATTATGTGATCTCAGGACAGTACTGAAACTGTCTCCGTTTTCTCACTTTAAAAAATGAGATATTATCCCTTTTGTGACAGGATAGAAATTAAAATAGAAAATATATACAAGAATATTTCATAAAATTAAAGCACTATGTGACATTAACAAATATGTTTTCACATTTCCTGCATGAAGTGTCACTCATCACCATTAAATCTGTCAGATTTGACAGAAAATTTCTGAAGATAATATAAATGGTTAAGAAAATCAAGCAATTTTTTTGGTCAGGCGCGGTGGCTCACGCCTGTAATCCCAGCACTTTGGGAGGCCGAGGTGGGCGGATCACAAGGTCAGGAGATCAAGACCATCCTGGCTAACATGGTGAAACGTCATCTCTACTAAAAATACAAAAAATTAGCTAGGCATGGTGGCAGGAGCCTGTATTCCCAGCTACTCGGGAGGCTGAGGCAGGAGAATGCCGTGAACCTGGGAGGCGGAGCTTGCAGTGAGCCGAGATCGCACAACTGCACTCCAGCCTGGGCGACAGAGCGAGACTCCGTCAAAAAAAAAAAAAAAAGAAAAAGAAAATCAAGTGATTTTAAAAAATGAGGCCACTGGAACTAAAATGTCTAATGTCTTTACATAAAAGTCAAATACATATATTCAAAATACGTCCCTAAAGACGTCCACTGAACTTTAGGTAGTCTTATATTTGCAGTTCTGACTCTTAACATTTTTTCTAATTCAAGCTAGAAAAATGTGTCACTTACAAAAAAGTTAGGTCAAAAAGCCTTGCTTGCTGTAACACGTTTTAACAAAGACATTCTTGCATTTGGGTAACTGGTAACTTCCTTTCCTACAAATGTGTGCCTCCTCTGGCCTTGGAAATGTGACTATCAGTCTCCATGTCACCAAGGTGCAAAATCTCTTCCCTCCTTAAGTTTCACAGTCTTCAAGTCCCAGTGAGTCTTCCTTCTCAATGTCTATTTTTTTCTATCCTCACTGCCATTACCATATGTTGGCTTTCATTACCTTCTACCTGTAGTAATAATTCCAAACCAATTTCCTTGCTTCCAGTCTCTCTGCTCTTACAGTCCATTCTATTCATTACTGCTAAATTGAATCCTAAAATCCTGTTTTTACTGTGCTGTTCTCTATTCAAAAACTTCCCTCCAATACAAAATCCTCAGCCTAGAGTATAAGTAGAACCTGGAAGCTGAATAATCAACCACCAGAAAATCTAGTAGTTTTTTTTTTTTTTTTTTTTTTTTTTTTTTTTTTTTTTGAGATGTAGTCTCGCTCTGTTGCCCAGGCCGGAGTGCAGTGGCGCGATCTTGGCTCACTGCAACCTCTGCCTCCTGGGTTCAAGCAATTCTCCTGTCTCAGCCTCCCAAGTAGCTGGGACTACAGGCACACATCACCATGCCCGGCTAATTTTTGTATTTTTAGTACAGACAAGGTTTCACCGTGTTGGCCAGCTGGCCTTGAACTCCTGACCTCAAGTGATCTGCCCACCTCGGCCTCCTAAAGTGCTGGGATTACAGGCATGAGCCACCACACCCAGCCTAGAAGTAGTCTTTACTACCATAGGCAGATGACATACCACCACTGAAGCCTCAGCACAGGAAGAAGGTTAACATCAGGTTCACTGGGATGTATGTCTACTCAAAATGGAGACATAGGTCACAAAGTTAAAAGAGGCTCAAATTAAAAGAGAAGCAAAGAACTCAGAGTTTTAATAATTTATTTAAAATGCACAATTGTTAGAACTGATACCCGAAGTAAACAATAATGGTAAGTGTTTCTTTAAAATGGAAGAAAACCTACCTGGTAAAGGCAGGCTGCTGTTCCAAGGAAAAATGCAATGATGTAATTAAAATCATCACCATCACTCTGCAAAAGCAAAATAAAAGATTATTTTTGTTTCCGGTGGGAGCCCATTTCCAGAAACAATCCATCAAGATAGGATGTAACAATATTTACAAACAGTCAAAATTGTCACACACTGGTATATAGAAATTCTCAAGAGTCCTAAAATGAAAACATAAAGCACATTCTAAGACCTAAAGAGTGTGAGGTAGAGGTACAAGTGTTCCTCTTCATTTTGGCCACCCCCATCAATTTCATTCCACTCAAAAGAGGAAAACCACTGGGGAAAAGTTCTGACATAACGATAAAAGCCTCTCCTCCTACTGCTAAAAAAATCATGTAAAAATGTACAACACCCCAGTGGCTGACAAAGTTACTCCAGCTCACTAGGGTCATTACTTGATTCAAATACTGACAAACTTTACTGCTAGTAAGTATATCACTGAATTGTCCAATAAAGTAATTTGATATGATTTTTTTAAAAACTGTGAAAACTGAAAAGCTACTGTCCACTAGAGTGTGCTAAATCCCAACGTGAAAAATTAAGACTAATCAGTCTTGCATGCTATGCTAGAAAAACAGCCACCCAGAGGAAAAACAGAGATACCTCATGCATAGAATGTCTCTGAAAAGAAAACTAATGGAGACATGTAACAACCCATGCTTTCCTATGCCTTTTTGGTTCTTCTTAAATATCTACATTATCGACTTCTTTCAATGTTTTTATACAGTAAAAGATAAAGTTCGGGCAGGAGCATTACATTTTTTTTTCTTCCAGGCAGGAACATTAATTTGGCCCTTTTCTTATATTAGAGAGAAAAAAAAAACCTCTTTATACAATGATAATTTCCACAAGACACAGAAGAGTATCTCATTATCATTTCTTCATAAAATAGTATAAAGGAAAAATTCCTTTTGCACTGGTTATTGGGCAACTGATTGTAAGGCAGAGGAAAGCTGGCTTATCCTAGTGAGAAGATCTTAAAATAGGAACCACTCATCTGCCTGGGATGCTCAGGCCAGTTGCACCCCAGAGGCAAGGAAGGCCAACACCAAACCTTTCCAGTTTAATAATTCTAAAACCTTAAATAAGTTCTGCTTGATTATTTTTTCTTTAGTCCTTTACTTTTTAAATGACCTTTTTTTTTCTGATTATAAAAGTTCATGTTCATTGTAGAGAATCTGGAAAATACAGATTATACAAAGAAGAAATTAATATAACCTATAAATGCCACAACTCTGGGAAAATTACTGCCAACCCTTTCATGTATTTCCTTCCAGTCTTTTCTGTATATGTAGACACATTTTAAAAAATAGATTGATACTTTTATATACTACTTTTTAGTACTTCACAGTACTACACAAACACTTTCCCAAGACAGTAAATATTCCTCAACCACACGATTTGTAATGATTATATAACCTTTAATTGTGGGGATATACCATAATTTATTGTCCTACAATTGGATACTATAGTTTTCTCTAAATTTAGACTAACTCTCTTAATCACTCCTTCTTTTCTCTCTTTTCCTTCCTTCCTTTTTTTTTTTTTCAATGAGATGGAGTCTTGCTCTGTCACCCAGGCTGGAGTGCAGTGGCACAATCTTGGCTCACTGCAACCTCCACCTCCCAGGTTCAAGCGATTCTCCTGCCTCAGCCTTCAGAATAGTTGGGACTACAGGTGCGTGCCACCATGCCTGGCTACTTTTTTCTGTATTTTTAGTAGAGATGGGGTTTCACTGCGTTAGCCAGGATGGTCTCGATCTCCTGACCTTGTGATCTGCCCGCCTCGGCCTCCCAAAGTGCTGGGATTACAGGCGTGAGCCACTGCACCCGGCCTCTTTCTTTCGAGATTGAGTCTCGTTCTATCACCCAGCCTGGAATGCAGTGGCGCGATCTCGGCTCACTGCAACCTCTGCTTCCCAGGTTCAAGCGATTCTCCTGCCTCAGCCTCCCAAGTAGCTGGGATTACAGGCACCCATCACCATGCCTGGCCAATTTTTGTACTTTTTAGTAGAGAGTGGAGTTTCACCAGGTTGGCCAGGCTGATTTTGAACTCCTGACTTCAAGTGATCTGCCTGCCTCAGCCTCCGAAAGTGCTGGGATTACAGGCGTGAGCCACCGTGCCTGGCCTTAAATGCCTTTAAAACACTTAGGAGCATATTTCTAGAGTCAGTCAGACTTGGGTTCAAATATTTACTTATAATCTGGGACACTTATTTAATTTCCTCTTTTGAAAAATAAAAGTTGTAGAGATTAAGTGAAATAACATTTGCAAATACAAAGAAAAGTAACTGGTACATAGTAAGTACTCAGAAACATTCACTAACTCCTGTCTCCCTGGGGTTACTGTCTGTGTCACTTAAAAAATCTTTAATTGATACAGAGAAGACTGTCTACTAGCATATTATTCCATTTAATAAATATTTATCAAGCATTTACAAACCAGGTACTTTGTTACTATCCCTAGTACAGAAAAGAGTTAAGTCCAGCCAGGGCGGTGGCTCATGCCTGTAATCCCAGCACTTTGGGAGGCCGAGGTGGGCAGATCACGAGGTCAGGATATCGAGACCATCCTGGCTAACACAGTGAAACCATGTCTCTACTAAAAATACAAAAAATTAGCCGGGCGTGGTGGCGGGCACCTGTAGTCCCAGATACTCGGGAGGCTGAGGCAGGAGAATGGTGTGAACCTGGGAGGTGGAGCTTGCAGTGAGCCGAGACTGCGCCACTGCACTCCAGCCTGGGTGACAGAGCGAGAATCCACCTCAAAAAAAAAAAAAAAAAAAGGAAAGAAAAAGAAGAGTTAAGTCCACACCAACTTAAGGAGGTCACTCTAATTAAGGCAGATACGTAAGTCAATAATTACCACCCAAAGTGATAACTGATGGCACAGGTGTGTGTAGAGGATACTAAGGGAGCCCAATGGAGACACATCTAATTCTGCATAGAGAAAAAAGAAAGGCCAGGGAAGACTTCCTAGATGGAGTAAAGCTTAAACTGGGTCTTAAAGGCTGAACCAGGTAGGCAAGGTAGGAAGAGAATCAAAGGCAAAGGAAGTAGTGCGTACAGTGTCAAAGAGGGAGGAGATTAAGATTGACTCAGAGGCTTCTTGTTTAGGCAACGTTTGAATGACACCATGCACTAAGTTGGGCATATGGAAGAAAAGTAATTCAAGAGCAGAAAATACTGAGCTCACTGTGGGACATGCTATTCTAGAGCTGCTAGTGGGACATCCAAATAATTATACTTAGCAGATATTTCAGTCTGCTTCAGGAAAGAGTTTGATCCAGAGATCTAACTTGGCAGTCTTCTATTTTAATAGTAGTTAAATGAAAGGCCTATGACAACCAAGTAAAAATCTCAATTCTTGATTAGCTCCTAGATTAGAGAGAGGAACAAAACACTATATAGAACATTCTGGGGGCAACTATGGAAATTTGAATACAGATTTTCTATTAGGTAATACTATACTAATGTTAAATTCTTTGGTGTGATTAAGGTATTATGATTACGTAAAAGAATATCTTAGCTCTTAAGACATACATATTGAATTCAATTTTGGAATAAACTGAGATGATACCTACAGTATTAACTTTGAAATGACTCAGTAAAAAAAAAAAAAGAAAGAAGAAAGTAAAATGGTAGGTAGGTATATGGGGTGGATGTTAATTCTGCTGTTCTTTAAACTTTTCTATAAGTTTGAATTCTTTCAAAATAAGATGTTATGTGGTGCAGCAAAAGGAAAACGCAAATATTTAATAAAAAGTCATGCGGCCACTAAAAAGAATAGATCTCCGTGTACTGATGTGAAATAAACTCCTACATATTTTTAGACTTAAAAAGATGCAAATTAGTATTGAGTATGCTATCATTTTCATAAAAATTTTAAAAGAATAATTGCATAAGTAAATATATAAATACCTATATACTAGCATAGGCACATAATCTCCCTAGAAGGATGACTCTGAGGAAGAAAGTTGGGAGGCAATTACTTTTCTGTGAAAATATCAACTCTTATAGGCTTTGAAATTTTTATGTGCATATTTTACTGTGTGTGTGTGTATGTGTGTGTGTATGTATAAATGTATGTGTATTTTTTCAAAAAGGCCATTATGAAAGTAACCAAGAAGAGGGCATGGAGTTGGAAGAATATAAAGCCAAGGACAGAATACTGGAGAATGCCACTATGTAAAGGACAGGTGGAGGAAGAAAGTGTATCAAATAAACTGAGGAATAGGAAGAGAAAGAGAGAAACAAAACAAAACAAAACAAAACGGGAGAAAACAGTTTCATAAAAATGAACGGATGAGAGATTTGTCATGAAGAAAAATGTAAATACATTAAACTATTAACAGTGACTTGTGTCTATGTTTCCTGAAATAAAATTCATTTTTTGAAATTAAACAAGGAAATGTTTAAAAGGAAGAACATAATGACAGATGAGGCAGAGAGGGTACATAAGATAAGACTCTAAAGAGTTTCTGCTGTATTTGGCAATTGAAAGGATACTGGTGAGCTTAATGGTGGATATCTGAGAGAATTACAGGAGCAGAAAAGAGATCATAGTAGACTAAGACTCATAGGTGGGAACTGAACAATGAGAACACTTGGACACAGGAAGGGGAATATCATACACTGGGGTCTGTTGTGGGGTGGGGTGAGGGGGGAGGGATAGCATTAGGAGATATACCTAATGTAAATGACGAGTTAATGGGTGCAGCACACCAACATGGCACATGTATACATATGTAACAAACCTGCACGTTGTGCACATGTACCCTAGAACTTGAAGTATAATAAAAAAAAAGAAAAGAAAAGAAATAGAGGGTAAAGGAGCAAGACAACAAATGTAGTCTACTCTCTCAAAAAATTAGAAGAGAGCATACGTAAAGAGGCTTTTTTGGTTTTGTTATTGTTTGTTTTTTAAAGAACAGCAGGGCTGAGGGAAACGAGCCAGTAGGGAACCAGCAGATGAAATGTAGGTGAAGGAATAGCCAGAGGTTGGAAGGTGGGCAGAGGTTAGGAACAAGGACAAAAGTGGGAGTGGACAGAGGTGGGGAAACAGAGACAGGAAGGAAGGCAGAGGAGAGGAAGAAGAGGGCAGAGGTAAGGAGTTCCAATACACATTTTTATGAATGTCACTATTCACCTTTAGGGGATACTAGAGTACCAATGTATTGCTCTGAAAACAAATAAAGGACATTTTCTTTTAAAGATGAGGATGGGTCAGGGGCAGTGGCTCATGCTATGATCTTAGCACTTTGGGAGGCCAAGGTGGGAGAATTACTTGAGGCCAGGAGTTTAAGACCAACCTGGCCAACACAGCGAGACCCTGTCTCTTTAAGAAAAAAAAAGATGAGGATGAAGGTAAACAAAAGCCTCATATAATAGCCACACAATGTATTAGGAGGATACTATTAAAATGTTTATAATAATTAGGGAATATTTACTTTTTAATATTAAGTGAAAAAAGGACATAATGGATACATGTACATGTATGAAAATTTGGTGATAATTTTTATTTTATTCTTTATACATTTCCCCCAACTCTTTTTTGTTATTTTTATTTTATTTATTTATAACTTTTTTATTTTCTTTCTCCACTTTTTAATGTTATTTAATCTTTATTATCTTCTATTTTATGGCACTGTCTTGTAGGATCTCCTAATTCTTTAACAATGAATTAGCATATAATCAGAAAAAATGCTTTTATTTCTTTTGAAAGAAAGTAAGCACCACACCTTAGCATAGATATGTCACTAAATAAATGAAAAAGTTCTGTTAAGTATTAGCAGGGACATAATTTCTTTCTTTCTTTTTTTTTTTTTTTTTGAGATGGAGTCTTGCTCTGTCGCCCAGGCTAGAGTGCAATGGCACAATCTTCGGCTCACTACAACCTCCGCCTCCCAGGTTCAAGCAATTCTCCTGCCTCAGCCTGCGGAGTAACTGGGATTATAGGCACCTGCCACCGCGCTCAGTTA
The DNA here is from genome assembly GCF_000001405.40 of Homo sapiens. Lineage (NCBI taxonomy): Eukaryota > Metazoa > Chordata > Mammalia > Primates > Hominidae > Homo > Homo sapiens. The sequence goes on along the minus strand of NC_000003.12, from coordinate 123,253,563 downwards.
ATTTTTGTATTTTTAGTAGAGATGGGGTTTCACCACATTGGCCAGGCTGGTCTTGAACTCCTGACCTCGTGATCCACCTGCCTTGGCCTCCCAAAGTGCTGGGATTACAAGCGTGAGCCACCGTGCCTGGCCAGCAGGGACATAATTTCTTTAAAAGGCATCAACAAGTCTATGGGAAAGAAGATAAGAAATAAAAGCAAGTTGATGACTTCTGCTTTGTAGAAGCTTTTACAAACAATTTTAGAATCCGAGAAATCTTAGATTGTCTGTCCTAAGACCTAAGAAATGGCCCCTGGGCTTATGTAGTCTAAAATCTTCATCTTGCAGAATTGCAAGATGAGATACAAGAAGGTAAAATAACCCATGCAGGGTCACAAAGTTACTGGCAGATGGGACCCAGGTATCTTAACTTCCAGGTCAGCATTTCTACTGAGATATCAAAAGATTCCATTTTTTTTCTAATGTGCCATATGCAAATTACTTCCAGGTTGGTATTAGCCTAATTAATGTAATTGTTTCAAGGTTGAGCCTTAAAGAAATACATGTAATATAAGCCAATGTGAAAAAAGCTTATGCCTTCATAAGGTATCAATTCACAAAAAACTTATTACCATCTCTAAACTCAGAGCAAAGTTAAGAAGTGAAAATAATCTAATTTATATATTACTGTGGACTCCAAAATAAACTTATGAACTTAAAAAAACTATACCCATCCTAAGCCTCCCCAGTTTAAACTTAGATACCAAGAAAAACTTCAGTGCTACGTATTTGAATAAATCCCTTGCTATCACCCTGTGAGGCAGTTAATAATCTGGAAGAAACAAACTTGTGCTGAATCTTCAAACACCATTAATAACATGCAAGAATGTTGATTCATGTGGGTCCTCAAATTTAAATGAGCCTCAAGATACTAGAGATAAATGTAGCAGTCATTTTCAGCATTCAGAAAGAGTGTTTAGAATTCATGGCTTTAAAAAAGTAAGCTTTAATGTCTATATATTACTCAAACTCAGGAAATACACTACATATTTTCAGTCAGATCTAAAATTATAATTCCCAAATAAGTCCTTTGCTCTTAAATCAAGTATCAGAGAAGCAGTAAGCCCACTCAATCTGGGGTACTGCCCTTCCCCCTCCTCTAACATTGTGATATGAATAACACCACTGTAGGTAACTTCAAAATAGATAAAACTTTAAGTCCTGTGTCCTGGGATTTGCACTCAAGTCTTCAGAGCAGACTACCTCAGAAAGTTCTACCTTTACTAACCAAAAATTATCCAGAGTGACGTTTGAGATTATTCCTAATGTAAAATGTAATGATCAACCAGAAAGAGGGCTAAGAGTATGTCTTAAGACTAATGGCTTTAGTGAAAATAAAAAGGATATTTTATCCAATACAAGTTGTGAACAATGATAAAACTTCAATAAGGGAAAATTAAAAGTAAGAGACCTCAGGTTCCCAATTTTGTATGTATTTTCTTTCAGGTTAAGTCGGGCTAAGGATGTACTCGGAAAATCACTCTAGTTTGCACTCTTGAACCTATCTGGTTTAAACCTCTAAAGTTTATCATTGTGTCCATTTACATTCTGACACTTCATTTTCTCCTTTTGTTCACTTATCATCCATTCCATCTTTTAGGACACAGAATCTTTACAAAGCAGAGAATTCTAACACTATATAGTGCTCCTTCATTTATCTTCACAGTGGGAAAAGGAAAGGAAAAATATTCCCAAGCACTAGTCACTTACCAGAACATTGTTGTACTCAATGCAGATATAAAGTCCTCGATAACTGGAACAATGGGAGTTTCTACTTTTGGTCAAGTGGATTTGCAAAGGTACTGATTTTCATTTAGGTGAGAGGATCAGAATTTGCTGGAAAATCTTTTAAAATTACCTATGAATGACAAACTACTTGTGGACTACATTATCCCCAACTTTGCATTCTGTTGTTTCCTTGCTCCTCTTAGAATCACTCTCTCAGGAACCTCAACTACTAAATGAGTGTATGTGGAATACTTCAGGTGGGTTATGGCAGAACAAAGACTTTAAGTGCTAAGGGAACACAGAGGCAGGTACCAATGCCCTCATTTTCCAGATAGCTAAGAATCCCCATATGAACCAATTTACAGTTCCCTGGATCAGGTAAGTAAGAAATGTTAGAGTAATTTAGTCTAAGACAAAAGAAAGGATTCTGTATCAACCATCAGAAACATACAAGCCTACACACAGAGTTCCCAAATTATAAATGACCTACTAATAAAAAAGACCACTCTAACCTTTTCCCCATTCATAATTTATACCCCATGCTTCTTTCACACTCCACCACCATAGTTGTGACGAACTGTTTTAAATAAACAAAAAAACAAAAAAATCTCTTTAAGTTTCTAGGGAAACTGAAATCTAACATGGGGCAGGAAGAAGTTGCAATGCCCTGCAAAATATTCAGGCTCCCCGACAAAAATATTTACCTTTACTTTCTTGAAATGTTTGTTGCTTAAAATCTACTAATTAAGTTAACAAAAGTTGTCTTTCTTTCTGCTTACATAACAGGTGCTAATAAATATTTAAAATGAGTCAAATATTCATGATTCAAAAATTAAAAATAACATATAAAAAGATACACATAAATATATACCAGGAAAAGTCTCATTCCCACTCAATTTTCCATCTGTCCAGTTCCTAACATGTTCATTAGTCTCTTATCTTTCCAGTTTCTTTATGCAAATTAAAATACATTGTTATTCCATCAAGCTATCCTAGGTGAGGAGACTTGGGCTGAGCTGGCAGGCACTGGTGGGTGCTAGGCCAGAGGACCTGGTCTGGCTGTCTCTCACTGGCTTTCTCAAAATGGCCATTGTTCTGAGAGGGCATACATTTGTACATGTAACCTTGAAACATGAATTCCTGATTTCAGGCTCCATTATGGCTGGGGATCTACTATCCTCACCTGGCCTGTGTGTAGAGGAAGACTCGTCCCTCCATAGGAAGAGAAGGCCCAATCCACTGCTTCCTAAGAGTGGGCTGGGCACAACAGGTTCTACTGTAACTGCCAAATGGAGCAACACCTAACTAAAGAATATCAAAGCCCAGAGTGAGAACATTCCTCCCTTTCCAGTTTTCCTCCAACTTCTTATTTTTTTATTTTTTTTTTGAGACGGAGTCTCACTTTGTCGCCAGGCTGAGAGTGCAGTGGCACGATCTTGGCTCACTGCAACCTCCACCTTCCAGGTTCAAGCAATTCTCCTGCCTCAGCCTCCCGAATAGCTGGGACTATAGGCGTGCGCCACCACACCCAGCTAATTTTTGTATTTTTAGTAGAGACGGGGTTTCACCATGTTGGCCAGGATGGTCTCGAGCTCTTGACCTCGTGATCCATCTGCCTCGGCCTCCCAAAGTACTGGGATTACAGGTGCGAGCCACCGTGCCCAGCCCCTCCAACTTCTTATTATGGAGAAAGTCTGTGTTTTAATGATGGATTTTTAAAATAGACTTTTTAAGAGCAGTTTTAGGTCTACAGAAAATTAAGCAGAGAGTTCCACATATTTTTCTTCTCTCCTCTGCCCCTGATTCCTGACACAGAGCTCCTAAAATAAAACCCTTGTAAATAAACATGCTAGGAGACTCTTGTTTCCATATTTGGTCTTTTTTGTTTTGTTCCCTATATTTGGTCATGGACCCTGGTGTTGACACAGAGCTACTGAAACCTTTGTAATTTCTTGAGTGATAAGAGCATCTGAGGCTGGGCGAGGTGGCTCACACCTGTAATCCCAGCACTTTGGGAGGCCAAGGTGGGCGGATCACTAGAGGTCAGGAGTTCGAGACCAGCCTGACCAACATGGTGAAACCCCATCTCTACTAAAAATACAAAATTAGCTGGGCATGGTGATGCACATCTGTAATCCCAGCTACTCAGGAGGCTGAGGCAGGAGAATCGCTTGAACCTGGGAGGCAGAGGCTGCAGTGAGCCGAAACCATGCCATTGCACTCCAGCCTGGGCGACAGGATGAGACTCCATCTCAAATACATATATACATATATATATATATGATAAAAAACAGTATCTGACACAGAACTCCTAAATCACTTGGAATTTCCCAGGTAATAAGAGCATCTTTTATTCTAATCAGGCAATTCTTGGTGAGATCCTAGATGGGGGCTGGTTACCACAAAGACCAAGCCATGATTAGAAGCTAATAACTTTAAGTCCTACTCCCACCCTCCGGGGAGGGGAGAGAAACTAGAGAATGAATTAATAATCAATCATGCCTACATGAAGAACCCTCCATAAAAATCCCTAAAAGATGGGGTTCACAGAGCTTCTGGGTGGGTGCCATGTGCCAGGAAGGTGACAAACTCCAACTCCATGAGGACAGAAGTTCCTGTGCTCAGGACTCTTTCAGACCTTCCCCTATGTACCTCTTCATGGCTATTCACCTTTATTCTTTGTAATTTCCTTTATAATAAACCAGTAAACATATTTCCGTGAGTTCTGTGAACCATTCTAGTAGATTATTGAATCCAAGGAGGGGGTTGTGGGAACTTCCAATTGGTGACAACCTGAACTTGCAACTAGCATCTGAGGTGGGGGCATTCTTGTGGGACTGAACTCTTTACCTGTGACATCTGGGTTAACTCCAGGCAGATAGTGTTAAAAGTGATTTGAATTAAGGGACACCTAGCTGGTACTGGGGAATATGTTGATATGAGAAAACCTCCCACACATCTGGTGTCAAAAATGAAGCTCTGGAAGTATTGAGAATCGTGAGAGTACAGAAGCAAACAGCCTGTTTTTCCCTATACAACGCATCCTTGCTTTTCCATATGAACTTTAGAATCACTGTTAATATCCATCAAATAACTTGAAATTTTGATTGGGACTGTATTGAATCTATAGACCAAGTTGGGAAGAAATGATACCTAAACAATATTGAGTCTTCCTGTCTATAAACATGGAATATCTCTCCATTTATTTAGATCTTCTTTGATTTATTTGATCAGAGTTTTATCATTTTCCTCATAAAGATCTTGTATATACATTTTAGATTTACTCTGAAGTGTCTCTTTTTGTTTGGTGTCACTATAAATGGTATTATATTTTTAATTTCAAATTTTAATTCTTTGTAGGTATATAGTAAAGCAATTGAGTTTTGTATATTAACCTCATATCCTGCAATCTTGCTATAATTACTTATTAATCCCAGGTTTTTGCTATTGTTGTTGATTTTGGACATATTCTACATAGAAAGAGAATTAACAATATCCTACTTAGTCATGTCATCTGTGAACAAAGACAGCTTTATTTTTTCCTTCCTAATCTGTATATCTTTTATTTCCTATTCTCATCTTATTGCATCAATTAGAACTTCCAGTATGATGTTGGACAGAGTGGTAAGTGGGGACATCCTTGCCCTGTTCCTGGTCTTAGGGGGAAGCATCTAGTTTCTCATCATTAAAGATGATGTTAGCTGTACGTTCTTTCAATAGATGTTCTTTATCAAATTGAGGATGTTTCCCTTTATTCCTAGTTCGCTCCAAGTTTTTATGATGGATGGGGTTTGGATTTTGTCAAATGCTTTTTCTGTACCTACTGATATGATCACGCGATTTTTCTTCTTTAGCCTGTTGATGTGATGGATTAATTGGCTTCTAAGGGTGACTGGCCCCCGCATACCTGGGATAAATTCCACCTGGTTGTGGTGTTAATTATTTCTGCAGTGTTGGATACAATTTGATAGTATTTTGTTGAGGATTTTGTATCAATATTCATGGTCTGTAAAGTTGTCTTTTTAAAATGTATAATAGGCTGAGAAATCTCAGAGCTATCAGTCAGTTACACTTAAGTGGTAATTAGTTTAATAAGATTATTGTTCTTCTGAAACCTAAAACTCTATCAACTGCAATGAGCCAGAGACATTACTGATCAGAGGGAAGACAAGGAACAATTAGGAAACCAGGTAGGTTTTAGCCTGTTGCAGTATCTCAAAAGCAAGAAAGCTGTAATTTATACTACTTTCCTTAGTTTTTAAGTTTTAAATCAGAGGAGAAAAAAAGAAATCAGCCCAAGAGGAGGGATATAATATCTGAGTGCCTGAAATAAAGTACTGTTCCCTTAAACTGGTTTTGTGAATACAATAGCCTTGTCTGAATTTTAACTTAAAGTTAATGCAGTCTAAGCCCCAGGTTCCATAACTTGTATACTGTTTTATAAGTCAAAGATAGTGAAACTCTGTGGGGGTCAAGATTTTCTCTACCCAAGCCCAAGCCTGCTTCACCAACAACTCTTCATACCCCTATACTACTGTTATTTCTACTATGTTGAGTACAAAAAAAAAGAGTATCTTATTTGTAAGCTTTTTCTATCAGCAGTCTCCAAATTGTCTTTGTTTCTTCTTTTTGTTAGGTCATCTAAACAGCTGAAAACTGAACTCCTTCTGCTGGAATAAATCTGATCTGGCATGGGGACAGGAAACAGAAAGGCCGAGGGACAGCAGCCAGCTGTCCTGTGCATAAAAGGGGAGACGAGCTTTAACCTGAGGGCAAAGGGTGTTTGGAAGAGGAACTAAGAAGTCATAAGAAGTCCTGTCCATCTCCTTTACGAACAGCTCTGCTGCTGGAACCTGTGATGTCATCTGCTGTTGGCTTTACATGGCTAAACAGATGCAGAAAGATACCCTCTGAGGGTTCCCCAAACTAACAGCAATTTAAAAACAGAATATAAAGTGTGCTCAGTGGATTTTTACAAATGGTATTCTGCACTTAATGCTGACCAAAAAAAGAGGACTGATTCATAATGTGAGAGTGTCAAGAGTTCTTCAGAGAAAGTGAATAGAAATAAGGGAAAGGAAAGCTGTGCAGTCTCAAATGTGCTAAACTTAAAAAAAAATTTCAAAAAGTTTACAAAAAGCATAAGAGAAAAAATTAGTATATTCTGATAGCTATAGCTTCTGAAAGGAACTCCACTTGAAAATGTAATAGTTAGCAATATCTGAATAAATTTGTGGTTTTCTAGGAAGCTCAAGTTTTAAGAAGCCACTAACAAAAAAAGAAAAAGAAGCAGATGAACTAAGTAGGGAATACACAGAAGTGGAATAAACACAGCCCACGTGTGCCCTCTTCATTCTTCCACTGCTCTCTGTCTGATCAGATCTTTCCAGGACCAGTTCAACTCTCCTCCACAAAACCTTCCTTCTCCAATCCTGATTATACTGACCTCTCCCCCTTCCCAACTCTGTGTATTTGGCAATTACTTTCTTGCCTCCCCAGTTCAACTTTCAGTTATGAGACTGCAAGGCCTATGTCACACACATCTTGGGGTCCCCAGGGTGCCTATAAATAGTGCCTCCTAAAGAGCAGATGATAAACATGTGCCAATGGAATCAAAGAAGCCAACCAGTGTTTTTAGAAGGAGGCTAAAGCAGATATAAAAAAACATAGATTTTGAGTATGCACTGTAAATTATACTAATACCCAATCCAATTCAAATCAATTATGTAACCAGTAGAATGAAGAGGCACAGTCACCTGAAATTGCAAAAATAGCACAGTACCTGCAGGAGACTTTCTATAGCATGAAAGCCTCGAATTAAATTCAGAGCTCCACATAAAAGACTAAGGATAAATCCTACAATCCCTGACAGAGTTGCTGGTTCCAGTCGCTGGTGAGCTGGAAAATAAAAGAAATAGTTAGAAATGAACACCAATACCTCACAAAGATGAACTTAGGTAAAACAGAAATTCACTGCTCAACTTAAATGGGTCAAGCAGATACTTCATAGAATTATTTAACACCATATATTCACAATTAAATACTGTTATAAAATGAAAAATGCTTGACAACATAAAAGCTTCATTTCCCTGAAAAATTAACTTATTTTTCTCTTTTTCCTTTTTTTTTGAGACAGGGTCACAATCACAGCTCGCTACAAGCCTCAAACTCAAGGGCTCAAGCGACCCTCGTGCCTCAGATTCCCGACTATCTACGATTACAGGCACGTGCCACCATGCCTGGCTAATTTTTTCTTGAATTGTTTATAGAGACAGAGTCTCACTATGTTGCCCAAGCTGGTCTTGAACTCCCGGCCTCAAGTGATCCTCTGACCTTGGCCTCCCAAAGTGCTGGTATTACAGGCATGAGACATTGCATCTGGCCTTTCTCTATGTTTTTAACAAAGACATGTAACTTGCATTTGGGATAGACAGTGCTAAGGGATGCTCACAACCGGCAGTAAATCATTTAGAAAAAACCTTACTGCATAAATATGTCTACTATTTGCAGGTAGGTGAAAGTATTTGTAAAGGTGACTTTGCTTGGAAATTCATTGCATAATCCTACTTTTTCTGAAAATGCTTAGGAAACATTTTAAAGTACAAACATAGCTTACTTTTAAGCAAAACTTTGCCTTATCTGGGTTCTAGGGCTATAAATATCACTGGATACATGTGAAAGCTCATATATAATCAGCAATCTGAACTCCAAAACAGAATGGAGTCTTATAGCTATGAAGTTCCTGGTCCTCTGAATAACACTGGAAGGTAAAAATGACAAAACACCAGCTGAATAAGTGACCATTTTAGTTTCATAAATACATTCCCTTATCTTCCAGGGCTGCAGCAGCACAAAAGTTATACAATAGCTTCCCTTCATCATCATCTTACGCTTAATAGAATTAACAACAGGGTCTACATGAAAACACATAACTAAATACATAATCATCTAGACCTCAAACAGGAGACAGAGGGAAAGACAACAGAACCACATTTAGAGTATTTTATTTAAATCACTGAAGTGTAAACGCCCTAACAATTAAGTTAATGAGGTGGAACATTAATATAAGGGCGGGTTTAAATCTCTGCAACTTATATTCAGCCATTATAGCAGAACATCTTCCCTAAACAGTTATAAAAACACAAGAATCTACATATCACAAAAAAGTATTTATTCCCCAAGTTCAGCAGAAAGTGCTTATATAACATTTTCTTAAACTTCTCTGGTGCCCAAGCTGCCTGCTCTCAATCAATTTCCTTGATATTGTAATATGACAACAGAAAATTAAATGTCACTATTCAATATTGCTTCCAAGTGTTATATCAGTAAAGAAAAAAAAATTCACGATTTAAAAATCTATCTAATTCGTCTATACATTTAAAGGCATAAAAGCCTTTAAAAAGCATAAGTCTCCTTTAACAAGAACACAGTACACCTTTGCTGAAGGACAGCTGGCGTTGTGCCAAATCACTGTGGGGAAGAAATTCTAGAGATTCCCCCACTTCCGCCCCCACCCACTTCCCAGGTTCTGTGGCTTGTTCCTTGAGAAGTTATCAAGAGAATACTCCATCTGCCCACAACATAAGAAGGTGACACTTCTTAATAATTTCTCATTTTAACAAACTGAACTAGATATTTAATCACATTTTAATGTATTAACTATTTGTTATTTTTTTTACTTCAGTAAAACAGATTTTAGATCCACTATTATCCAAAAATGCTTAATTTGGCACCATTCTAGGTACTATAATATTTGGTGTAGAATGTTTGTAACAATAACAAATAAGAGGCAGTGTAGAAAAACAATAATTTTGCTGAATCCAAAGCAGTGTCATCTGGTCAGTTTTTGTTTTGCTTTTGTTATTATTGCCTTCTCCTATAAAGTCTTTTCTTTAGTCTTCTTGAACCCAAGGATGGCATGTTGATAACAAAATTAAATGTTTCTGAAAATGTACCAATGGTTTATGGAGACTCTGCAAAAGTTCCTAAAGAAGTAAGAATAAACCCCTTAGAACCAAAGGAACCAAAGAGCTATTGGTTACAGTAAATTAATATATTTATTCAGTAAATACTTTCTGGCATGGTTCTGTGTAAGATGCTATGCTTTCGAAGATACAAAAATTGAATTACATATTCTGCCCTCAAGGCACTTCTAGTCTTTTATAAAAGAGATAAAACAGATAAGTATATGAAAGTAATAAGCATTCTAAGCTAAAAGAGGCAAGGAATGATGAAGTGGAAAGATAAAGTAGGGGGAGGGTGGTCTAGAACCAGGAAAGAGCTTTGAAGATAGATAAAATGTAGTCAGGTACAAAGGGGAAGAAATGCATTCCACGCAGAGAAAAGAATGTGAATGTGATGGAGATGGAAATGGGAGAAACGAGTAACAACAGCATCAACAACTACTACTTCTACCAACAGTGACTGCTCTCAACACGCCAGGCACCAAGTGCTTTATATACTTGGTCTCACTGTATCCTTCCAACAACCCAATGCAGTAGGCACTATAATTATCCTGGTTTTCTGCCCCACCCCGCCCCCTCCCCACCCCTCCCAGAATAGGAAAGGTTTAGGGACATTAAATAATTTGCTCATGGGCACAAAGTAAGTACGTGAACTGGGATTTAGATGATTCTGGAATTCATGTTCTCAGCCATTCTGCTATAGGGCATTGCTAGTGGTTTGGTTTGGCTCAAAGCGATGTTTGTGACAAGTGGGGAGAAATAAGGTCAGAAAGGGAGGTGGACACAAATTGATAGTATACAATTCTAGGCTAAGAATTATGGAAAATTAGACAATGGGGAACCACTGAAGAACAAGATTCTCATATGATGAAGGTTATACTTAAAGAAGATTAATCTATTAATGGGTTGTAAAGAGATCAAAAGTAAGGGAGGGAGAAATAATATTTTTCTGAGTACCTTCTCACTAAGCACCCATTGTCTCATTTACCCTTCAGAATGGCATACTTCATGAGGTAGAAATGACTAACTTCTCTGTGACTGAACTGGAATGACTAACTTTTCTGTGCCTAAACTTTCTCATCTGTCAATTAAGATTAAATTATTTTCTATAAGTCAGACAGCCAGAAGGGCCATCTTCACAATTAGCACTTAGGTCTATCTGACTGCAGAGCCCATGCTCTTTCTACAGTTCTACATTAGGAAGTTTGTGGGAGAGTCACTGCAAAAGACTGACTGAAATCAGGGCCTGAATCAGAATAGTCACAGTAGAAATGGGAATCTGAGTGCTTGGGAGTTCATTAAAGAATAAAGCTAAAATTAAAAAAAAAAAAGAAATGGGGAAAAAGAAGTAAGATGTCATGGAGGTTAAAATTATTAGACTTGGCAACTAATTAGATGTGGCAAACAAAAGGGGGAAAAAAATTCAAAGAAATGTTGAGGTTTTACCTCTAGGTGATCGGAAAGATGAGAGTACTGAGCAACAGATCCACAGGAAGAAACTTAAGTTTGATAAAAAATGGGGACATTTTAACATCATATTTGAGGTGATGGTGGGCCGTGTTTAACAAGCAACTGAAGAATGGAATAGCTGGGAGAAGCAGACGAGGTCTGCAACTGAAGGGAAAGGTTTAAATGAGCGTCAAAGAAAGAAGCAGGCCAAGGGAAATCCTTGGTAAACACTGTCAGTAAGGGATGGAAGAAGAGTCAGGGAAGGCAGATGCAGGAGAATCAAGTGAAACCTAGGAAGGAGAGACCATCAAGAAGAAAGATATGGCTAACAGTGCCTATAGATAGGCCAAAAAAAATCTGACCTTAAAGTAAAAAGTATTAGACTTATTGAACAGGAGATGCTAGGATTCTCCTTAAAATTTTTTTTTTTTTTTCCAGAAAAGTGGTTGAGGGCTTTTTAGATCTCACAAATAAGTGAGAACATGCAATGTTTGTCTTTCTGTGCCTGGCTTATTTTACTTAATGATCTCCAGTTCCCTCCATGCTGTTGCGAATGACTGGATCTCATCTTTTTCATGGATGAACAGTACTCCATTGTGTATATGAACCACATTTTCCTTATCAAATTCAGATTGCAAGAGGTTGAACAACTGGCGATGTTAAGAGGTGGAAGCATTAAGTGAATACTACTGAAGTTAAAGGAGAGAAAAACAGGATGAAAGCTTAACAGAGATAATAGGATTGAGAAAATAATTCTTTTTTCTCTTACAGTGTTGGAGGGAGGGAGGAAGACTTGAATACATACATAGGTGGAATGAAATAATTCAGTGAAGATGAAATAGAAGAATCAAGAAAAAGGAAAAATAATTGATGAAGCAAAGTCCCAGAATAGTCCTTATGACGATTCAAAGAGATGGTACCATTCGAAATCTCAAAGATGCCCACAATGCCTAGGGAAACAGACTGTGGAAGATAAGAGAGAAATTTCAAGTCAGTTCCATCTAAATGAGCCTAATTTATTACTGAAGTGTGACTGAATGAGACTAACAGTCTGGCACAAAAACACACTATTCTTTTCATCAGTGAGGCCCTTCTTTATCATCACCACCTGTAAAAATCATGCATATCCTTCAAGGCTCCAAGACCTGAGTCTTCCTTCTTACCTCTTTTGGAGCATGTATCACATTCTACTTTGTGTTTTACTTATTGGATTGTATTTCCCTTTCTCATTCTGAGTACAGTTAATGTGTTTACTGTATTTCTAAAAAATGCCTCCACAAAATTTAGCATAATACTTTAGAGAAAAAAAATGATAAATACCTGTTGGATTATGAAGGGGATGTGTGTGTGTGTGTGTGTGTGTGTGTGTGTGTGTGTGTGTAAGAAAGAGAGATTAGTAAATCTATTTGGCTTGTGGGCACCAGCCAAAACAGAGCAGCATTTTCAGGCAACTGACAAATTTTCTAGAAAATGATAAAATAGATGAAAAATATACAAGTGTCAAAGAAACTGACAGAAGTGTTTCTATCAGTTTAAACCCTAAATTTAGGGTTTTGTGAAGTTTTTTTTTTAAAGCACAACATAAAAGTAAAAAGACTAACAACACTAAATGTCGGTGAAGATGTTGAGTAATCAAAATGCTCACAAATTGCTTGTTGGGAAAGTAAAATCTTACAACTACTTCAGAAAACTGGCAGTTTCTTAAACAGGCAACCTTTTGACCTATCAATTCCACTCCTAATATTTACTCAAGGGAAATGAAAATATATGTCAACAAAAGGATGAATGTTCATCGTAGCTTTATGTGCAATAACAAAAACTGAAACAAGTTTACGTCCATCAGCAAGAGAATAAATAAACAAATTGTGGTACATTCATACAATGGAATACCGCTCAGGAATAAAAAGGAACAAATTACTGAGACAGGCAACATGTATGTATGACATCATGCTGTGCAAAAGAAGCTGAACACAATAGTCACACAATGTAGTCTTCTTTTATATAAAGTTCTGGAACAAAACAAAGTTCAAGTGGAAAAAAATAAAAACAGTCGTTGTCTAGAGGATGGTGGAAATTGACTGAAAAGGGACACAAAGAAACTTTTCGGGGGAGATGGAAATGTCCTATATTGTGATAAGGGTGTTTAGTAATCATGTCTTTTTATTCTGTATTTTTGATGCTTTGACCTCTTGGGCCTTGCTGACCATGGAAGAACTGCCTCTCCCAGGGATAGCTAATTCCTAGTGATGGCAAACAACTTGTCTGAGTCCACCTTTCATACGCATTCCAATCAATCCAGACTCACACTACCAACCAACTCCTCTACAAGGCTCTCACAGCCAGGGCCATTATTTCCCTATCCCAATCATCCCAGGGCCACATGTCAGACAACCAGAGATAGAACCTATGCCCCAGAGTCCATTGAAATTATTCAAACTAGCCAATCTTAAAACCTCCTTACCCTGCCTCACCCATTCCTTACCACCAAAACCACAATAAAAGTTCTTGCATGCAATGGCAGCAAAAGCCAAAATTGACAAATGGGATCTAATTAAACTAAAGAGCTTCTGCACAGCAAAAGACACTACCATCAGAGTGAACAGGCAACCTACAAAATGGGAGAAAATTTTCGCAACCTACTCATCTGACAAAGGGCTAATATCCAGAATCTACAATGAACTCAACCAAATTTACAAGAAAAAAACAAACAACCCCATCAAAAAGTGGGCGAAGGATATGAACATACACTTCTCAAAAGAAGACATTTATGCAGCCAAAAAACACATGAAAAAATGCTCACCATCACTGGCCATCAGAGAAATGCAAATCAAAACCACAATGAGATACCATCTCACACCAGTTAGAATGAGAACACATGGACACATGGACACAGGAAGGGGAACATCACACTCTGGGGACTGTTGTGGGGTGGGTGGAGGGGGGAGGGATAGCATTAGGAGATATACCTAATGCTAAATGACGAGTTAATGGGTGCAGCACACCAGCATAGCACATGTATATATACGTAACTAACCTGCACATTGTGCACATGTACCCTAAAACTTAAATAATAATAAAATAAAAAACAGTGGAAAAAAAATAAAAGTTTTTGCCCACATTTTCCTCCTGCTCCCTCTGCCTCCTGACCCACATTGGTACATCCTTGTGTGCTCCCTTTAGGGATCAGTGAGTATAACAAACTATCTTTTCTATGACAGTCATCTCCTCCTCACCATACCTGAGTAATAATGAAACATATACTTTAAAACGGGGTGGACACAGCAAAGATTTGTGCATTTTAATATACGTAAATCTCCCTTAAACAAGAAAAAAATATAGAAATAAATTAGTGAGTGGATGAGTGGGGAGTAGGTAGAAGTACAGATGAAAAAAGAATGGCAAAATGTTGATATCGTTGTTATAGTTGAGTACATGAGAGTTAATTATACCATTCTGTTTATTTATACTATTCTGTTTACTTTGAAAATTTCCATAATAAACAGTTTTAAAAGAAGTAAAAGCAGAACACAGTACCCTTCATTTAATATTTTAACCCCATGAACAACATCTGTAGACTTCAGAAAATAAGTATGGCAAGATAAAAACATTCATGCCAGACTGTGGGGAGAGGATCAAAAGATTAGAAAGAGAAAAAAGTCAAGAAATACAAAAAAGATACTGAGAGTAAGATACTGTAACAGAGGGAGGAAAACCCTGAAAAATGATGTTTATCAAGTAACTATTAAACAGATTCTAAAATAAACTGAATAGTTTTATTTAGAAGTTCCAAAACATAAAAATATATTTTAACTTGGGGACCATAGAAAATATTATGTAGGCTTGGTCTGAATTAAAAGTAAATTTAAAGTTATATTAAAATAAGTTCTAGGCTGGGCGTGGTGGCGCACGTCTGTAATCCCAGCACTTTGGGAGGCCAAAGTGGGCAGATCACGAGGTCAGGAGTTCGAGGCCAGCCTGGCCAACATGGTGAAACCCTGTCTCTACTAAAAATACAAAAATTAGCCATGCATGGTGGCATGCACCTGTATCCCAACTACTCGGGAGGCTGAGGCAGAAGAATTGCTTTAACCCAGGAGGTGGAGGTTGCAGTGGGCTGAGATTGCGCCACTGCACTCAAGCCTGCTGGGTGACAGAGCAAGACTCCATCTCAAAAATAAAAATAAAATAAAATAAATTCTAGTTGTGAGTTACTTTTAAAACTTTTTTTTTGAGACAGGGTCTCACTCTGTCACCCAGGCTGGAGTACAGTGGCATGATCAAGGCTCACTGCAGCCTCAACCTCCCAGGCTCAAGCAATCCTCCTGCCTCAGCCTTTCTAGTAGCTGGGACTACAGTCACGTGCCACCATGTCTAGCTAATCTTTTAATTTTTTTTGTAGAGACAGGGTCTCACTTTGTTGTCCAGGCTGGTCTCAAACACCTAGGCTCAAACCATCCTCCCACCCTGGCCTCCTCAAGTGCTGGGATTACAGGCGTGAACCACTGCATCTTGCCCCTCTTCCTTAAAACAATAACAAATACCAGACTCTCCCCATTTTCCAAGTGTCTAACGTTTGGTGATCCAGGATGCCACTGCCAGCTACAGGTCAGGGTGGGGACTTATGGAAGTCAGGTGATACGTGGAGTTTCTAACAGAGTCTACCTCCTGGTAAGTCAAGTTGGACCCCCACCCCTAATTTAGGTTATATACCTGAATCCTGAGTGTCTATTAACGAACGGATATATTTTGCAATATTGACTGCCAGACCCATGGAATTAGAACTATTAGAGAAGGAAGGTCCAATGGAAGTTTTTGAGCTCCCCCAATCCAAATATCATCAAGGTAATTACAGAGATCAGTGCCACCATCCAAGTCTTAAAAGATGTATAGGTAGCAATTCCTATTATATTCCCATTTAACTGTCCAGTATAAGTCTCCAAAATGGATGTGTCTTGGAGGATGACAGATTGTAGGTTTCAACTGCATGTGCTTTTTCAAATGCAGTCTTCTTATGGAACAAAGCAATTCATTCTCTGACCTGTTGTAGGTACTAATTTGGTAACACATTTTTCTCTATCCTAATAAATAGAGAAAATCAGAAGCATTTTACTTTTACCTGATAAAGATATCAGTATATTTACCATATTTTCACAAGGCTATGTCAACTTTGTGCCAAAGATTAGCAGACAGCAAAGGCTGGCAAACTATGACCCACAGACTAAATTTAGCCCACCATCTATTTTTGTAAATAAAGTTTTATTGCAACACAGCCTCGCTCATTCTTTTATATAACATCTATGGCTACTTTCATGTGTTATACTAACAGAGGCCATATGACCTGCAAAACCTAGAGACCGAAAGTTTTCGCTGCTAATACCAGGATCAGCAAAAATACAAGGATATCTATTCTTGCCACTTCATTCTTTTTGTTCACTTCATTCATTTTGTAAAGCACAGAATTCTACATTTGCAGTTATTTTCTTTCATCCTTTCAAAGTTATCATTAAGTTGTCTTCTGGCTTTCATTGTTTCTATCAGATCGTGCATATGTGTGCGTGTGTGTGTGTGTGCGTGTTTCTTATGGTCTATGTTCATGTAGTGTAGTCTCTTAAGGTGCTTAATTATCTATGATTGTTTGCCAAACATTTTATTTTCAAAATCTTGTTGTAGACATAATTTGAAGCTTATGACACTATCTTCTTCCAAGAAAGATATTTGATTGCTTCTACCAGGACCTTTGGAGCATTAGCACAGTGGAATCACCTCACTCCAATTTTAGAGAACAATATGATTCAAAACTAAGTTCACCCATATTCCTAGGGTGCAAAAATCTGAGGTAGTAAACCAAAGCTGGAGAGACGCTCTCCAAAATGGGTAAAAGCACCAAAGGAAAAAGTAGCTCTGAACACTGGGCTCATCTCTCTGGGCCTCCATCCTCCTCTGCATCCCACTAATTCTTAGTAATCTTGTTGGATCTCCAGAGATATCAGGAAGATTATAGTTGATTAAATTCTATATTAGATCAGACATATATATTCTATAGAATATATACATTTCATTCAGCTTTTCTACATGTACTCAGTGGGACTAGTGGTCTGAATTACCTACTCCATCACTACTAGAGCTGGAAGTCTTCAAAGTAATAATCGAACTTATTAGTGATTTTAAAAATTGAAATATAATCCACATTCAATAAAATTAATACTTTTAAAACACACAATTCAGGAGTTTTTCGTATACTCAGAGTTGTACAACAATCATAAATACCTAATTCCATATTTTCATCACCCCCAAAAGAAATCTTATACCTATTAGTAGTCACTGCCTATTTCCCTCCATTCCTCTAGCTCCATCAATCATTAATCTACTTCCTGTCTCTCTGGATTTGCCTATTCTGGACATTCCATATAAAGAGAATGATTAATATGTGACCTTCTTGTGATTGACTTCTTTTATTTAGCATAATGTTTTTAAGGTTCACAGATGTTGTTATATGTATCAGTACTTTATTCCTTTTTATGGCTGAATAATAATACACTATATGGATATACCACATTTTATTTATCCACTCATCAGCTGATGGACAGTTGGGTGTCTACACTTTTTGGCTTTGAATAATGCTGCTATTCATAAATTATTTTGCATAATGCTACATTCATACACATATTTTTGTGTGGACATATGTTTGCATTTCTCCGGGGTACACCTAAGAGTAGAATTCCTGGGCCATATGGTGACTCTTTTTAACTTTTTGAGGAACTTCCAAACTGTTTTCCAAAGTGACTGCATAATTTTACAACCCCACTGGCAAAGTATGGAGATTCCAATTTCTCTATATCCTCATCCACACTTGTTATTGTCTATCTTTTTAATTTTAACCATCCTAATACATATGAAGTGGCATCTACTTGTAATTTTGCTTTGTATTTCCCTAATGACTATGACGTTGAACATCTTTTCATGTGTTAATTGTCCAGTTGTACAACTTCTTTGCAAAAATGCCTAGTCCAATCCTTTCTCCATTTTTAAACTGGATTATGTCTTTTTATCGTTTAGTTGTAACAGTTATTTACATATTCTAGATACTAGTTCCTCATCAGACATATGATTTACAAGTATTTTCTCCCATTGTGTCGGTTGCCTTTTCATTTTCTTAATAGTGTCGTTCGAAGAACAAAGTTTTTAATTTTGAATTGGGTGAGGTAGTACATGCCTGTAATCCAGACTACTCTAGAGCCTGAGGTGGGAGGATTGTTTGAGCCGACGAGTGCGAGACCAGCCTGGGCAACATTGTAAGAACTTGTCTCCAAAAAAGTTTTTAGCTTTGATGATGTCCACCTTATCTATTTTTTTTTTTTTTTTTGAGACAAGGTCTGGCTGTTGCCCAGGCTGGAGTGCAGTGGCACGATCTCAGCTCACTGTAACCTCCGCCTCCTAGGCTCAAGCCGTCCTCCCACCTCAGCCTCCCGAGTAGCTGGGACTACAGGCGTGCGCCACCACGCCTGGATAATTTTTGTATTTTTTGTAGAGATGAGGTTTCGCCATGTTGCCCAGGCTGGTCTCGAACTCATGGGACCAAGCGATCTGCCTGTCTTGGCCTCCCAAAGTGCTGGGATTACAGGCGTGAGCCACTGAGCCCAGCCTATTTTTTCTTTTTTCATTGTGATTTTGGTGTTAAGTCTTAAAAACCTAATATAAGATTATACAAAGATTTATATGTATGTTTTCTCCTAAAAGTTTTATAGTTTTGTTGTTAAGTTTTTGATACATTTTAATTAATTTATATATTTTTTTTGAGGTAGGGGTCCAACTTCATTCTTTTGCATGTGGTATCTAGTTGTCCTAGCACCATTTGTCAAAAAGACTATTCTTTCACCATTGTCTTGGCATCACTGTTGAAAATTAGTTAACCATAGTGAGTTTACTTCTGTACTCTCAATTCTACTCCATTGATCTATGTGTCTATCCTTAAACTAGAACCACACAGTCATGATAATTGTAGGTTGGTAATAAGTTTGGAAGTGTGAGTCCTCCAACTTTGTACTTTTCCAAGATTTTCCAAGATTATTTTGGCTATGCTCCATCCCTTGCATTTCCATATGAATTTTAGGATCACCTTGTCAATTTCTACAAAAAAAGCCGGGATTTTTATAAAGAATGTGCTGAATCTCTCTATTAATTTGGGAAGTACAACCATGTAAATAATACTGTCTTTCAATCCATGAACATGAGACTATTTGTCATTAATGTAGGTGTTGTTTCTTTCAATTATGTTTTAAAGTTTTCAGTATATAGGGTTTTCTTAATTTCATTTTCAGATTGTTCATTGTTAGTGTATAGAATACAATTGTTTTTTATATTAATCTTGTATCCTGCAACCTCACTGAACTCATTTATTAGTTCTCAAATAGTTTTTCAGTGGATTCCTTAGAATGTTCTATATAAAAGATTACGTCATATGTGAATGGTGTTATTTTATTTCTTCCTTTGCAATCTACATGCCTTTTTATTTATTGTCCTTGTCCAACGGCCTGCTGTGCCTTGAACTTCCAGTATAATGTTGACTAGAAGTAGTGTAAGCAGACATCTTTGTCTTGTCCCTGGATCTTAGGAAAAAGCATCCTGTCTTTCACCATTAGATATAATGTTAGTTGTGGGTTTTCCATAAGGGACTTTTATCAAGTTGAGGAACTTCCCTTCTATTCCTAGTTTGTTGAGTGTTTTTTTTTGTTTGTTTGTTTTTTTGCCATGAAAGGCTGTTGAATTTTGTCAAATGCTTTTTCTGCATGTATTGAGATAATCATGTGTTTTTCATTTCTTATTCTATCAATATATTACATTAATTGATTTTTGGATGTTAAAGCAACCTTGCACACCTGAGATAAATCCCACTTGGTCAGGATTTATGCAGGTCATGCATCCTTTAACAATGGGGATACATTCTGAACAATGTGTCATTAGGTGATATTGCTGTGCAAACGTCATAGAGTGTATTTACACAAACCTAGATAGTATACCCTAATACATACCTAGGCTATATGGTATAGCCTATTGCTCCTGGGTTACAAACCTGTGCAGCATGTTATCGTACTGGCTACTGTAGACTACTGTAACACAATAGTATTTGTGTATCTAAACATAGAAAAGGTGCAGTAAAAATATGCTATTATAATCTTTTGAAATCACCACCATATATTCAGTCTATCACTGACAAAATGTTGTTATGTAGCACATAACTGTAATTTTTTCTTTTAGAGACATGGTCTTGCTCTGTCACCCAGGCTGGAGTGCAGTGGTGTCATCATTACTCACTGCAGCCTCAAACTCCTGGGCTCAAATGATTCTCCCACCTCAGCCTCCTGAGTTGCCGGGACTACACATGCATACCATCACGCTAATTTTTAAAAATTTTTTGTAGAGATGGGGTCTGCCTATGTTGTCCAGGCTGGTCTCAAACTCCTGGGCACAAGTGATCCTCCTGCCTCAGTCTCCCAAAGTGCTGGGATTATAGGCATGAACCACAGCGCCTGGCCTAATTTTTTAAATACGTTGCTGGATTGGGTTTGCTTGTATTTTGCTGAGGACTTTTGTGTCCATATTCATAAGATATATTGGTCTGCATTTTACTTTCTTTGTGATGACTTTGCCTGGTTTTGGTATTAGTATGATACCGGCCTCACAGAATACGGAAGTATTTTTTGTAGAGACAGTGTTGCACTACATTGTCCAGGCTGGTCTTGAACTCCTGAGCTCAAGCCATCTACCTGCTTCGGCCTCCCAAAGTGGTGGGATTACAGGTGTGAGCCACAGCATCTGGCCCTTTACTGTTTTTTTGGAACTGTTTGTAAATAACTGGTTATTAACTCTTCATTAACTGTTTGGTAAAAATCACCAGTAAATGTATCTGGGCCTGGAGTTTTCTTTGTGGGTAGTTTTTATTACTAATTGAATCTTTTTGCTTTTACAGATCTATTCATATTATCTTCTTGCATCATTACCAGTAGTTGGTGTTTTTCTAGGAATTTATCCATTTCATCAAAGTTATTGAATTTAATGGGAGACAGTTGTTTATAGTATTCTTTATAATCCTTTTTATTTCTAGAAGGTCAGTAGAAATGCCATCCTTTTCATTTCTTTTTTCTTTTAGACAGAGCCTCGCTCTATCACCCAGGGTGGAGTGCAGTGGTGTGATCTCAGCTCACTGCAACCTCCACCTCCCACGTTTTAAGCAATTCTCGTCCTCAGCCTCCTGAGCAGCTCGGATTACAGGCACGTGCCACCATGCTCAGCTAATTTTTTGTATTTTTAGTAGAAATGGGGTTTTGCTATGTTGGCCAGGCTAGTCTTGAACTCCTGGCTTCAAGTGATGCATCCACCTCAGCCTTCCAAAGTGTTGGGGTTGCAGGCATGAGCCACCGTGCCTGGCCCCTTCATTTCTAATTTGAGTAATTATTTTCTGGGTCAATCTAGCTAAGGGTTTGTCAGTTTTTTCAAAGAACCAACTTTTGGTTTTGTTGATTTTTCTCTACTGTTTTCCTATCCTCTATTTCATTTGTTTCTGTTCTAATCGTTATTTCCTTCCTTCTGTTTGCTTTAGGTTTAATTTGCTTTTCTTTTTCCATTATCTTTAAGTGGAAAGTTGTCTTCAAATCTGGTTTTTGTTTTTTTAAACATAGGCATTTACAGCGATAAATTTTCCTCTAAATTTAGCTTTTGCTACTACATCCTGTAAGTTTTGGTATGCTGAATCTTCATTTTCATTCATCTCAAAGTACGCATTTCCCTTTTGATTTAGTCTCTGACCCATTCACTATTTAGGAATGTACTGTCTAACTTCCACATATTTGTGAGTTTCCCAAATTTCTTTCTGTTTTCACTTCTAATTTCATCTAATGTAGCTGGAGAACATACTTTGTACTATTTCTATCCTTTTAAATTTATGAAGGTTTTGTTTTTCTTTTTGTTTTGTTTAGCTTAGCATAAGGTCTATCCTGGAGAATAGTTCACATGCACTTGAGAAGAACATAAATTCTGTTGTTAAATGGAGTATCCTAATAGATGTCTGTTATGTCTCACTGGCATATGGTGGTGCAGGTGTTCAAGTCTTCTATTTTCTTATCTTCTGCCTAATTGTTCTATCCATGATTGAAAGTTGTGTATTTAAGTCTCCAACTACCATTGTTCAATTGTCTATTTCTGTATTCACTTCTGGCAGGTTTTACTTAATGTACTTTGGGGCTCTGTTGTTAAATGCATGTATGTTTATAGCTCTATCTTAATTGATTCACCCTTTTATCATTATAAAATGTCATGCTTTACCTCTCATACCAATGTTTGTCGTAAAGTCCATTTTGTCTGATATTAGTATTGGTACTCCAGCTCTCTTTTCCTCTTCATTTATCTTTTTTTATCCTTTGACTTTCAATCTATTTGTATATTTGAATCTAAGGTATGTCTCCTGAAGACAACATATAGTTGCATCTTGTGTTTTTATTTTTACTCCAATCTTACAATCTCCATCTTTTGACTGGATTATTTAATATATTAACACTTTTTAAATCCATTCATATATAACATTATTACTGATATAGATTTACATCTGCCATTTTTTCCCTTTTTTCTTATCCATCTCATGCCTTTTTTGGCTCTATCCCTCCTTCACTTTTTTTTTTTTTTTTTTTTTTGCATGAAGTGAATATTTGGTAGTACGGTATTTTACTTTAATAATTTTTCACTACTTTTTATTTGCTTTGTGGTTGCTCTAAGCTTACCATGTACATCTTAACTGCAAGAATTTATACTATATTCTAATGAGCCACAGAAACATTACTCCTATATAGCTCTATTCCCTTTATCTCCTTTTTGTGGTATTGCTGTTATACATATCAATAAACATCACAAACTCCATAATGCATTGTTATAAATTATGACCTTCTATAATTTTATGTCTTCCAAAAATGCTAAGAAAGGATAGTAATTATATGTTTATAGCTCTTGTTAATATTTATCTTATCTTTCTGGCTTCCTTCATTAGTTCCTGTTGATTTGAATTATCATCTGGAGTAATTTCCTTATCCCAGTA
Source organism: Homo sapiens (assembly GCF_000001405.40). Lineage (NCBI taxonomy): Eukaryota > Metazoa > Chordata > Mammalia > Primates > Hominidae > Homo > Homo sapiens. The sequence goes on along the minus strand of NC_000003.12, from coordinate 123,230,301 downwards.
CAACTTTAATACCACCCATGTCCTTTTTGCTGTATGCGAAAACATATTACATTTCTATATGTTATAGGCCCAAATGACATTATATATACACTGTTTTATATGATCACTTTTTAAATCAGTTAAGAGTAGAGAGTAGAAGAAAAATGCATTAATGTATTTTTACGAGTCAGAGTCTTGCTCTACTGCCCAGGCTGGAGGGCAGCCTACCTCACTGCAACCTCAAATTCCTGGGCTCATGGGATCCTCCCACTTTGGCCTCCCAAAGTATTAAGATTACAGGCATGAGCCACCACACCGGGCCTTTACTGTCTTTTTTAATTACTTAATTACATTTACCCTTGTTCTTTGCTTTTTTTCAAATGGATTCAAATTATTTTCTAGGGTCACTTGTTTTCATCCTAAAGAATTTCCATTATTATTATTATTTATTTTTTTTTTTTGAGATGAAGTCTTGCTCTGTTGCCCAGGCTGGAGCACAGTGGCGCGATCTCGGCTCACGGCAATCTCCGCCTCCCGGGTTCAAGCAATTCTCCTGCCTCAGCCTCCTGAGTAGCTGGGATTACAGGCGTGTGGCACCATGCTCAGCTAATTTTTGTATTTTAGGTAGAGACGGGGTTTCACCATGTTGGCCAGGCTGGTCTTGAACTCCTGACCTCGTGATCTGCCCGCCTCAGCCTCCCAAAGTGTTGGGATTACAGGCGTAAGCCACAACATGCAGCCAAGAATTTCCTTTATTATTTCTTATAAGGTGTTTCTGCTAGTAACGAATTCTCTTATCTTTCATTTATCTGTAAATATCTTTACTTTGCCTTCATTTTTTTAAAAGATAACTTTGCTAGATATAAGATTCTTGGTTACTGGTAGTTTTTATTTTCTTTCTTTCAGCAATTTGTATGTCATTCCATTGCCTACTAGTCTCTATTGGTTCTGCTAAGAAGTCAGCTGTTAATCTTATTGAGGTTCACTGTAAGTGATGAGTTTTGGTTTCCTTTTAACTTTTATTTTAGGTTCAGGGACAGGTTTGTTATACAGGTAAACTCATGTAAGTGACAAGTTCTTTTTCTCTTGCTGATTTCAAGACTTTCTCCTTGTCTTTAGTTTTCAGCATTTTACTATGATTCATCTATTTGTGGATCTCGTGTGTATCCCATTTGGAGTTCACTGAGCTTCCTGCAAGAGCAGACTAATGTTCTTCAGTAAATCTGGGAACTTTTCAGCCATTATTTCCTCAAATATTTTTTCTGCTTTTTCTCCCCCTTCTTCTTCGGTATCCTATCACACCTATGTTAGCATGCCCCATTTTTTTGAGGTTCCATTCATTTTTCTTCATTCTTTTTTCTGTTTTTCAGATTAGATAATCTCTATCAATCTATCTTCAAATTGCTAACTCTTCTGCCAGTTCAAATCTATTGTTACGCCCTTCTAGTGAATTTTTCATTTTAGTAATTTTACTTAATTCCAGAATTTCCACTGTGTTTTTTAAAAATAATTTCTCTTTATTGGTATTGTCTATTTGATGCAACATTATCATACCTCCCCCTTTACTCCTTTAATAGTTTCCTTTAGTCTTTGAACATGATTATAATGACTACTTTGAAGCCTCTGTCTGTTAAATCTGACAGCTGATTGCTCTCAGAGGCAGTTTCTGTTACCTACATTCTGTCCCCTCTACCCCATGCCCACAGTGTGTGGGTCATATTTTCTTTCTTTTTTTTTTTTTTTTTTGAGATGGAGTTTTCGCTCTCGTTGCCCAGGCTAGAGTGCAATGGTGCAATCTCAGCTCACTGCCACCTCCGCCTCCTGGGTTCAAGCAATTCCCCTGCCTCAGCCTCTCGTGTAGCTGGGATTACAGGCATGTGCCACCCTGCCCAACTAATTTTTTTTTTTTTTTTTTTTTTTAGTAGAGACGGGATTTCTCCATGTTGGTCAGGCTGGTCGTGAACTCCCAACCCCAGGAGATCCGCCCGCCTTGGCCTCCCAAATGCTGGGATTATAGGTGTGAGCCTCCACACCTGGCCATATTTTCCTGTTTCTTTGCATGTCTTATAATTTACTGGAAATTGGACATTTTAGATAACATATTGTAACAATGTGGGTACTAGCCCACTCTCCCCCTACCACCCCTGACCAACTGGGCTTGTTATTGTTATCTGCTTGTTTACTAACTGACTGGATTATTTTAATGAAATTTGTTACCCTCTTCTCCCACATTTGTATGTGAAGTGTTGTATTCAGTCCAAATTTAAAGAATATTAACAAACTAAAGCATGTCTAGAGGAAGCTTCTAGGATGGGGAGAACTTGAAATGCCATAAATGAAAAGGCTAAGTGAACTGGAGTTTTTTTTTTTTTTTTCTGATGGAGCTCGCTTTGTCACCCAGGCTGGAGTGCAGTGGTACGATCTCAGCTCATTGCAACCTCTGCCTCCTGGATTCAAGCAATTCTCTGCCTCAGTCTCCCGAGTAACTGGGATTACAGGTGCCTGCCACCACACTCAGCTAATTTTTGTATTTTTAGTAGAGACAGGGTTTCACCATCTTGGCCAGGCTGGTCTTGAACTCCTGACCTCGTGATTCAAAAAGGTGCATGTTTGTTGCAGTTTAATTGAAAATTTTGCCCTTTGTCAATATACAATGATAAATGTGTTTGCTTTGTATTCTATAGTTGATATTGTCTTACATTTTTATTTCTTTTTTTATTATACTTTAAGTTCTGAGATACATGTGCAAAACGTGCAGGTTTGTTACATAAGTATACATGTGCCATGGTGGTTTGCCACATCCATCAACCCATCATCTATATTAGGTATTTCTCCTAATGCTATCCCTCCCCTTGCCCCCAACCCCTTGACAGGCCCCCGTGTGTGATGTTCCCCTCCCTGTGTCCATGTGTTCTCATTGGTGAATTGGAGATATTTATATGAAGTAGACTAGTCTAAGAGGATGGAAAGGACACACAGTTGCTGACTTAACTGTTATTCTGGTTCTGCTGAAGGAAGGGAGGAACAGATCACAAAACAAACTAGTAGACATAGGGAAGCTGACTTTAGCTCAATTATATAAGGAAGTTTTTTTTTTTTCCTAAAGCCTTAGGTTGGAATAATTTTCTTAAACAAATAGTCTGACAATGGCATATGCTACCTTATAAAATAATGAGGTGTTCATTTTAAGCAAAAGTTTATATCATTTCACAACTGTTGACGATAGTATTCCTTCTTTGGGATGGGAGGTTTGAGCAGACGATCACTAAAGTATTTACACCTTCCGTGACAGTCAAGAACACTGGCCTTGAATGTAGCCATTTTAACAAAATGCAAAGCACTTTACATGCCTATAAATATGCAGTACAAAGAACCTATTTTTCATTTCTAGAAAAATGTTTACAAAGAAACCTTAAATGTTTTCCTAGCCATATACAAAGATCAAATCAAAATGGATTAGACTTAAATCTAAGACCTCAAACCATGAAGTTACTAAAAGATAACATTGGGGAAACTCTCCAGGACATTGGCCTGGGCAAAGATCTCTTGAGTAATACCCCACAAGTACAGGCAACCAATGCAAAAGTGGACAAATTGCATTATATTGAGTTTAAAAGCTTCTGCTCAGCAAAGGAAACAACAAAGTGAAGAGACAACCCACAGAATGATAGAAAATATTTGCAAACTGAGAAGGGAATGTGAATCCCTATATTCATCTGACAAGGGATTAATAACTAGAATACACAATGAGCTCAAACAACTCTATATGAAAAAATCTAACAAGCCAATTAAAAAATGGGCAAAAGATCTGAATAGACATTTCTCAAAAGAGACATACAAATGGTAAACAGGTATATGAAAAGGTGCTCAACATCACCGATCATCAGAGAAATGCAAAACAAAACTACAACGAGACATCATTTCACCTCAGTTAAACTGGGTTTTATCCAAAAGACAGGCAATAATGAATGCTGGTGATGACGTGGAAGAAAGGGAACACTGTTGGTGGGGATGTAAATTAGTACAACCACTATGGAGAACAGTAGTAGTTTTGAGGTTCCTCAAAAACTAAAAAGAGAACTATCATATAATCCAGCAACCCCACTGCTAGCTATATACCCAAAAGAAAGGAAATCAGCATATCGAAGAGACATCTGCATTCTCATGTTTACTGCAGTATATTCACAACAGGTAAGACCTGGAAGCAACCTAAGTGCCCATCATCAGACAAACGGATTAACAAAATGTGGCACACATACACAACAGAGTATTATTCAGCCATAAAAAAAGAATGAGATCCTATCATTTGCAACAGCACGGATGAACTGGAGGACATTTTATTAACTGAAATAAACTAGACACAGAAAAGAAAAGTTTACATATTCTCACTCATTTGTGGGAGCTAAAGTTTAAAACAACTGAACTCATGGAGATAAGAGAGTAGAATTTTGGTTACTGGAGGATGGGAAGGGTAGTGGGGGTGGGAGAAAGGGTGATGGTTAATGGGTACATAATATAGTTAGCTAAAATGAATAAGATTTAGTACTTGATACCACAATAGGGTGACTACAGTCAACAATAATTTATTGTACATTTAAAAATTAACAGAGCACAACTGACATGTTTATAACACAAAGAAATAATAAATGCTTGAGGTGATGAATACCCCATTTACCCTAATGTGATTATTACACATTGCATACCTGTATCAAAATATCTCATGTACCCCATAAATATATTACACACCGAATATGTACCCATGAAAATTAACTTTTTTTAATTTTAAATTTAAAAAAATGTTTTTCTAGCAAAGAGATCCTCTGAGGTTGCTATTTGAAAGTATTTTCCCGATTAGTCACACATCTGGTAGCTTACTTTATAAATCACTGAAAGGATTGCTTTGAACTTCTATATTCTCTCATGTACTTGATTTAAAATATTAGAATAAAGTAATTCATTTTCAAGAGTTTCTCAGTTTTTCCCAAGGATTTTTTTAAAATAAAATAACTGAGATCCAGAACTCACCAGAAGAAATCTTACCAGCACCTTTACAGTCAACAGAAAATGCTGATGTGACTCCATTGGCTGACCCCAGTTCGCACATGGAAATTTGATAAGGAGGCCTCAGCTTGATTTCCGTCTGCATGTCAGAAAGATTTATCTTTGTTGAAAGAGACCTGGGATTATTATATCGCTGCTTGGTCCTCTGAATGAAGTTATCTATGTAAAATAAAAAATAAATTTCCTTGCAGTCACTTGTCAATTAATCATTTCAGAATATGATGTTTATGGATAGTAAATATTACAGGTAGTTTATTATTCAAAATTGTTCAATTCGTCATGAAATAGTCCAATATTACTTGTGTTTAATGATTAATGTATCATGGAATCATCAGTTTTACCCTCTAGAAATCAGTAATTTTAAATAAACTAAGGATTTAACACTACCTAAGTGTATTACATCCACTTCAAGAAATTACAAAAACAAAAAACAGCTTTAACTTTAAACCAAAGTCTTGAATTTTTTTTTTTGAGACAGGGTCTTGCTCTGTCACCTAGACTGGGGTGCAGTGGTACAATCATAGCTCACTGTAACCTCAAACTCCTGTGCTCAAGTGATCCTTCTGCCTCAGTCTCCCAAGCAGCTGGGGCTACTGGTGTGAGCCACCATGCCCAGTTTATTTATTTATTTTTGTACAGACAGGGTCTATGTTGCCCAGGGTGGTCTCGAACTCCTGGCCTTAAGTGATCCTACTGCCTCGGCCTCCCAAAGTGCTGGGATAAAAGGCATGAGCCACACCACACCTGGCCCAAAGTCTTGATTTTTATAGAGATTCCTATCTCATGAAATATTAAATCTGTCAGATTTACCAGCTGCAATTACATAAGAACACACACTAGAAGTTGCATGTTTTTATAAATCTGTTTTTTATTGCTTACACCATTAGAATGTAGGTTTTAAAGAATAAATTGAATAAAACTAACATAAGACATTTCCTAAATATTTTCCAAGTGGAATTTTATTTTTACTATTTACAACATGGTGTTTTTTTTTTTTCTTCTACATCAGAAGTTGAGCAAACTACTGCCCACAGGCCAAATCTAGCCTGCTGACTATTCTGTAAAGTTTTATTAGAATATAACTGCACTCATTTACGTACTGCCTATGGCTGCTTTCGAGCTACAACGGCAGGGCTGAATAGTTGTGACAGGGACTATATGATCCTTAAAGTCTAAAATATGTACTATCTGGTCCTTTCCAGCAAATGTTTGCCATCCCCTATTCTACATGAAGCAGACTATAAAAGATTATTACAGAAACGCAAAAGTCTGAATCTCTGGCTTATAAATTTCTCATTGAGAAGTTATCCTCTGGCATTAATTCTTCGGACCAATACTCACAATCCCCTTCACAGCTCAAACACAATTTTTTTCTAATAAGCATCTAAGTAAAAAGTTACCATAATTTATAGATCATTTACCAAATTATTATATCAAAAGCAAGATAGCAGAAGTCCCCCCTCCACCCAATATTAGATTTAAAATTGCTTATGATTGGATGCAGACAGAATAAAAAGGAAAAAAAAATCAGGCCCTTACCAAATTCAATGAAACAGTATGGTCTGACAGCAGTATTTGTCTTCATCATGTTATAAGTAGTAATGAACTCCTTCTGAAGCTCATCCAGGAAAGAGAAGGCGAGAACATTTGGGTAATTTTCAGTGCACAACATCATGTAGCTCACTCCCAGAGAGCTAATAAAACTACAGTGTAAAAAACATTGGTTTTAAAATTTCAAATTAAATCAAGGTAATTCACTGCTTCACAAGACTGGTTCTATACACCATAAACTGCTACTACGGTGGCAATGAAGATCTTAACATTTATTATATATTCTAGGAAAAAATTTAAAGGAACCAAAATACAGCACTATTTTAAGTTGTGGTTTAAAAACAGAAGACAAAAAATAGAATGTACTACAGAGGGACACACAATACGGTTCTAACATTTCAGTTATCACTTGGGGTAAAAAGCAGGGGAATGGATATACAAATGTATTGTAAGTATTACAGATAGCTTAAAGTCTAACCCTTCAATATGTTTTCCACTTTTGAGTCCAGAACCCTTTCAAGATTCTGATGACAGGAACACTCTCCCTAGAAAGATGCCAGAACACAGAAGATTGCACACAATTTCAAGGTGATCACTGACCTCTTGAAGTTATCATTGACACACCCCAGAATCAAATCCTCTACTTTACACAGTAATTAATTATGAACCATGGGAGGGGGGAATTTATGAGTTTATATAAAAAACAAAAGGAGAAATGAGGGCTATGGCTTAAAGCAGAATGCTGAGTGTTGACTGGTAAACGTAGAGGAAGTGCTAGCAATGGAAAAATCAGCATTTTGCAACCAACATAGTAAAGATTGGATCAGGCAAGGACAATCATGGATGTTAAATCTAGGGGGAAATTTTTACGGGTTAGTATATTTGCATGGTTTTAAAATGTCTTTCCATGGATTGTTTCTTAGTTGCAAGGGGAAAATATTATACAGTAGAAACTAGGTAACTCCTTCACCAAGTACTCTCTAACATCATTCATGTTAGATGGACATTGTGTGTCTCCAGATGTTATATCCTGAGAAAGACACATCAGCTATATAATATTCTGAGAATGCATAATTTGAATTTAATCATTAAGAAAACACCAAAATGATCAACATTCTATTTTTGAAAAGGAAAAAGTGTATTCTTTAAAAGTGCCAGGGTTGTAAAAAAGAAATAAAGGATGTGGAAATGTTGCCAATCAAAAGAAGCTAAAGAGGCCGGGCATGGTGGGGGCCTGTAATCCCAGCACTTTGGGAGGCCGAGGTGGGCGGATCATCTGAGGTCAGGAACTTGAGACCAGCCTGGCCAACATGGTGAAACCCCGTCTCTACTAAAAATACAAAAATTAACTGGGCATGGTGGTGCATGCCTGTAATCCCAGCTATTCAGGAGGCTGAGGCAGGAGAATCGTTTGAACCCAGGAGGTGGAGGTTGCAAAGAGCCGAGATTGCGCCATTGCACTCCAGCCTGGGTGACAAGAGAGAGACTCTGTCTAAAAAAAAAGAAGCTAAAGAGATATGACGACTAAATACAATACCTAACACTAGTCCAAATCCTGTGCCAAAAAGCAATAAAAAAAAAAAAATGCTATAAAGCATATTCCTGGGTCAACCGACAAAAAAAGGAAAGTTGGCAGTAGAGTAGATAAAGTATGGTAGGAACATTAAATTTACTGAGGCTGATATGTGTACTGTGGTTAAGTAAGAGAATATCCCTAATTTTAGAAAATATACTCTGAAGTAGTTATGAAGAAAGGGGCATGGTATTTATAAGTTTCTCTCAAATGGTTCAGGAAAAAAAAAATAAATCAGATAGTTAAGTAGGTAGGTAGATAAAATGAGAAAACAAATGTGGTAAAATGTTGACCAAAGGTGACTATGGGAACAGGTGTTATTTGAACTTTTCTTATTCATACAACTTTTCTGTAAGTTTGAAATTACTTCTAAATAAATTCAGAAATTAAAAATGAAAAAATAAGCACTGAAACATGAAAATTAACCATATTCTATTGGAAAAAAAGCTTTCTAGAATCTAGTATATACCCCACTATAATAAATAAGCAGAGCACAAAACACAAAGTAACCCTTTTTAATGAGTCACCTAAACATCATTGCATAGCACTGTCAATATAGCTGGTCTAGATCAGGGGCAGTAAACAGCATGCAGGATGTAATTCACCACTCCTATGCTGGACTCTGCTAAACTACACAGTAATCTTTTTTTTTTTTTTTTTTTTTTTTGAGATGGACTCTTGCTCTGTCACCCAGGCTGGAGTGCAGTGGCACAATCTCGGCTCACTGCAACCTCCGCCTCCCGGGTTCAAGCGATTCTCCTGTCTCAGCCTCCTGAGTAGCTGGGATTACAGGCACACACCACCACACCTGGCTAATTTTTATATTTTTAGTAGAGATGGGGTTTTACCATGTTGACCAGGGTGGTCTCAAATTCCTGACCTCAAGTGATCTGCCCACCTTGGCCTCCCAAAGTGGTGGGATTACAGGTCTAAGTCACCACGCCCGGCCTACACAGTAATTTTTACTGTAAAATTCTGATCCATACTGGTCACCTTACTATTTTCTTTCTCGAATAACATAGAAGCAGAATTTATTAATGTTTAGAATAAATATGTTCACAGGATTCAAATTTAACAAGAATGAAAAATAAAAGGGTATACTGCACTTAAAGTGTCTTATCACTCTTGCCCAGATACCCAGTTCTCCTTCCCTTGGGCAATTCAGGTTAGTAATAATTTCTTATGTATCCTTCCTGTGAGAGCTTGTAAGTAAATATGTGTGTGAATATATACATGTGACATATATATATATATATGTATATATATATATGAGACCTTTTTTAAAGACCATCCTAGGCAGCCAAATGGGCTTGCCACCTACTAGTCGTCTATTACTAGTGGTATGGGATATACTAGTGGTGAAATAGTGCTGATCTTATGGTTCTAGAGTAACCTGGTTGTTCCTTTCTGAAGCATCACTTAATACACAGTCATTTAGTGCAATGTTTTTCAAAGTGCAAGTTGTAAACCACTATGTCATAAAACTAGTTTAGTGAACTACAGCATTTTCCAGAAATTGAAATAAAATATAACAGAAAATATTGGAATATTGTTTCATAAAACTTTTTAGTTTCCTATATGTGTATATACAGCATTCACAAAGTAAAATGTATCTCTTAAGGATCATAATCAAATTAATTTAGCCATAGCATATTGCCTTTTTCTACAAATTAATATCTAAATCAAAGGTCAAAATATGCTTTGTCAAATGATTTTCTTTCCAAAAAAAATCTTCACTGTCATTATCAAAGTTCTTTGACATGTCATTAGCATTCAAATATACCCCATAATAACCTCAATAACCTGAAGACAATTGGTAATTGGCTTCCACATCCTAGGAACTCCCAATTGGCTAGCTAGGAGTTATTTGATTATCCTCCATTAATATGACTGAAGTTTTTGGAACCCATTTTTTGTATTATGTCAGAGTCTTACTGTATTTCCATATTAATAACAGAGTCAGCCACAGACACCTACATGACAGTTTATCCCAAATGGTCTATCTTACTTGTGCTAAATGTAACTAGACAATTGTATGTGAAATAAAGGAAACCCTATGTCTTTAACATGGCATGTGAGCATTTTCAGGGAGTCTTTATTTTACTACAGTTGCAAGATTCTCTCTGAAAAGGCTATAGTGTGTTCTATAACATTATGGCTTTTCATAGTAAATTTAGTTTTATAATGCTTTATTTGAAATGCAAAGCTAGTTTTCCCAAAGTATATACAGTTCCATTTATGTTTGTGATGAAAAAAATTCTGCTTTTTCAACAATCATGGGACAGATTGAAATACTCCCACCACTTCACTGAGGACTACTCATAAAATAGTCTAAAGTCATTACAGGCATGCCAGTTTGTGCATGCTTTTGCTGTGTTCATCAGGTTCACCTAGCTAATATTTTATAGACAATCTGGCGGATGTCTATCTGCCTTGAGGAGAAAGAAGAGAAATAGTAGTAAGAGTAATAGCACCACGTAGTTTACTGACCGCTTAGTATGAGCTAGGCCCTTTGCTAAGTATTTTACATATTTAGTTTCATTCTCTCAATAAAGGGGCACTATTATCTCCATTTTACAAATGAAAGAAAAGAAACTCAGAGAGGCTTAGTAACTTATCCAAGGTCACACACCATTAAGAAGCAAAGATAGGATGAAGTTAGTTGATTCCAAGGCCCACATTCTTTCCACAATACAATACCAACTTCCATGTAGTATAGATTAACCAATTATCCCTAATTCACCAATGTTTTTTCACTTTTTCCAAGCCACAAATCAATCTCTATTTTATTCCCGAAATTAAGAGTAATGAAACTTCTGAGTTTTGGAACCTGTATTACAGTTATCTTCTGGAAGCCCTCCCAAACACTCCACTTCATTTTGTACATCTTTACTCCTCCCTCTCTACATTCCAGCCACCCACTGGCCTTATTTCAGATCCCCAAGGATGCCAACCCACTTCCAGCCCTCCCACTTCCAAACTGAGAAACTTCATGATTTTGTCTTCCCCACTTGCAATGCTCCAATTCTGAACTGGCTAATTCCTACATATCCTTCAGTTCTTAGACTGAAAGTCCTTCCCAGAACACACAATCTAAACTGATCCCACTCCTACAGTATATCATAGCAGCTGTTAGTTTTCTTCACAAACTAACCCAATTTGTAATTGTATATTAATATATTTTTGTTGCAATGTCTCTCTCACTAATATACACACTCCATGAGAGCAGGGATGATTTCTGTATTGCTCACCATTATATTCTTAGCACTTAGAATATTTTGTGTCTAGTATACCATAAGTGCTCAGTAAATAAATGAGTGCAAAGGTGGCATCATTCCTTTACTCATTTATACACTAATTTGTTGAGTATATCATGCACCAGTAATTGTACAGCTTAGTAGTATCTACACAAAGCAGCAGCTCAATAAATACTTGACTAAATGACAGAAGAGAGTAGAACTTCACTTGTCTTCTAGTTACTGTTCTCCAGAAGGCTTTATTGAGGGTTCAGGTCAGTGAATCTTCGACATGTCCTTAAGAGAGGGATGTTCTCAAGAGCCAGGTAGAATTACTCACCTTCACAGTGAGTACCCCGAGAATGGCTATGCAGGTCTCAAAGACTTGTCTGCTCTCCCTTTATCACTGTCATTACTCACACACAGACAGACACACATACAAACACACACTCTCTCCTCTTTTCTCTATCTTGGGCACAATTTTTAAATTGCCAAGGTTTTTTCCTACTTTGCTCTAATTTCCTTTATATTGTTTAGCTCCATTCCATTTCTGGGCTTTGGTGCCAGTGGGGTTTGGTCTTTACTGGTACTGCTTTTCTTTTACCTGAGGAATTTATCCAATTTCATTATATTTTTGGTTCTCCTCCCTGGCACACCCACTAGGAACTTCTTTAGGGTCAAGTATAACCTAACAGGTAAGACTGGCAGAAGTCCAAATACCAGACATAGGAGATTTACCCCTTCTAATCACTTTGCTAAAAAGCTAATTCTATAATGTGTCCAAGCCATTCCACAAGTGATTCCTATGTTCAACAAAATGAATAAATGGTTTTACACATTAAACTTTTTTCTAGTATCTAATTTGATTTACAAACTGTCGAAGAAATTTTACATATCACCAATTAAACACTGACATTATTAGGACAATTCTGGCCTGTTGCACCAAACTAAATAATTAGTAATAGCAAATATCTTCCTCTCAGCAGACAGAACACCTAGCATAGGGCCAGCATTCTACTTCATAGGCTCTGATGTCAAAGATATAGTCCCTGCCTGCCAGGAGCTTACCATACTACTACTGGGGATGTGCTTATCACAGTGATTTACAAACCAAGATATATACATAAAATGTAGCATGCTAAATGACAAGGTACATAGATAGCAAATGATTTAGTATTACAAACTGATTTATGAACTGATATATTATTTGTATTACATATAACATGTAATTTTCATGCTATAATTGTGCCACTATACATAGAAACTCTGCTTATCCTTTGTAGTCACATTTGCCCAGTGAATAGCTTTCCTGGGTGCAGAAAAGTTCTTTAATAGGACATACCATCTCTAATCTACTGTTAAATTTGCCAAGTATAAAAAAATGTTTTGGGCCGGGTGCGGTGGCTCACGCCTGTAATCCCAGCACTTTGGGAGGCCGAGGAGGGCAGATCATGAGGTCAGGAGATCAAGACCATCCTGGCTAACACGGTGAAACCCCATCTCCACTAAAAAAAAAAATAAAAAAATACAAAAAAAATTAGCCGGGTGTGGTGGCGGGCACCTGTAGTCCCAGCCACTCAGGAGGCTGAGGCAGGAGAATGGCCTGAACCCAGGAGGCGGAGCTTGCAGTGAGCCAAGATCGTGCCATTGCACTCCAGCCTGGGCGACAGAGCGAGACTCCATCTCAAAAAAAAAAAATGTTTTGGAATAGAGCCTTCCACATTGAATTCCATTCTCTAAAATAAAGTGTTGAAACTTTAAAATATTAAATAGGGCCAGGTGCAGCGGCTCACACCTGTAATCCCAATGTTTTGGGAGGCTGAGGCAGAAGGACTACTTGAGCCCAGGAGTTAGAGACCAGCCTAGACAACAAAGTGAGATGCCATCTCTACAAAAAATTGTTTTAAATTAGCCAGGTGTGGTGATGCACACCCATAGTCACAGCTACTCAGGAGGCTGAGGCAGGAGGATCACGTGAACCCAGGAGTTCAAGGGTGCTATGAGCTGATTGTGCCACTGTACTCCTGCCTGGGCAACAGAGCAAAACCCCATCTCTAAAAATAAAAATAAAATATTGAATAGAGGGGCTCAACATTAACAAAGTGAGCATATCTTATGAATTGTATTATCACCAAATATGTCTCATAGAAAACAAGATGAAAACAAAAGACTCTGCCACTAGTGGAACAGTAAGGAGATAAGAATGAGGGCTCAGTAACACTGAGTGTCCATTACATGTAGCATTTTACCAGGAACTTTCTATTTTCTCACTTACTCCTTTCTTACATGGCCAACTTTCAATTACCCTCCAATGGTGAAGCGCCACATCATGAATAAATCATCCTATGAATAAAAGACCCATTTTAGCCATAAATTTTAACATCATTAAAAATGAAAATATTTATTAATATGAAATATGCCAGATGATGGTAACTTACAACAGTAACCTAAAGGAGAATCTGAGATCATTTTAAGAAGTCAATGGTAATTACACCATGAGAGACTTGGATAAAACACAGAACAAGCAAAGTTTGCCTTTGACATCTTTATTTCCTTTTCTTCAGAGTTAATCTCCCAATTCACCCTTTCTCACTTCCCTAACACAGCCACACTCCAGAGAATGAAGATCCTGACTTTTTTAGATAACTGATCAGATAATCCCTAACTTACATATTGGGTATATTTCCCAAAGCTTATTGCATCTAGATCTCATTTTCCCACAGAAACTGTACTATAACAGTAATTAGGTTCCTAGGCCAGTTCACAAGAGCCTATTTAACATACATGGTGCTGAAAAGCTGTACATTTTGCCATAATAAGCAGGAGAAAAGGAATGTGATACTAGTAATGAGACAAAATAGGAAAATTGAATACCCAGGTTATCTCCTTCCCCCAACTGGTTTAGTAGTTATAGGTTGGTTGCATTTCCCTGCCACACCCTCTCCCTGCCAAACACCTAGTCTACAATGAGACAATGCTGTCCCATCAATTTTAGGATTCACACATACTCTGTTCCTCATTATTATTGACCAAAAAAAGAGGGGGGTGGTATTTCCCTTCATTCTCTTCCCTGGTTCATTTCTCTCTCCATAAAAAGTGAAAAGAATTGGGAGAATTAGGAACACATGCTGCCAAGAAAGGGGTTAAGGGTAAAGAGCAGCAGCCATTTTTTACCAGATAATAATGCGATGCCTGAATCCAAAAGATTGTGGTTCATATATATCATTTACTATTTTTGTGACGTTGAAGGAGCTCCTTTACATTCCTAAGTCTCATTTACCTTATCTGTAAAATAGGGTAGTGATAGCACTACCCAGCATCTACCTGCCCAGCATCCCTTCCCTCTTTCCCTTTGGGGAATTACCTTCAGCGCCATTCTGTATGGCTTTGGTAAAGCTCAAAGGGGTAAGGACATGTGATGCAGTCTTAGCCAAATAAGAGTACCTCATCCCCTCTGACTACAATGATTAATCAGTCTAGAAATGGTCAATTATACAAGCAAAGACAATGTCTTGTTCTTGAGACATGGAGAGGAGTTGCTCAGTTGGACTGAAGTAAGCCTGGAGCTGTCTGTGTAGTGCTTTCAAGTCGTAGAGAGTATCTATCTGCAAAAGGTGAGAGACTGTAGAAATGAGAAAGATTCCTGATAACATCTGTGAAGCCAGCTCCACCACTACCCTTCAAAATACCCATTTTTCCTTAAGCTAATGTGAGTTGTGTGTCTGCCCCTGGCAATGGAAAAGAGCTCTATTTAATAGCCCTTCACAGAGCTGTTAGAAAGCTTAATGATAATGTCAGTAAAGTACCTGGCAATAGCAAGTACTCAATAATTGGGTTATAGTTTAAGTTGTTACTCTAGTAATCAGAAAATTTCCCGAAAGAGTGAAAGGGAAACACTGCTAGACACTAAAGCCAAAATGCAGGTAAGCCTAAAACAGTATTCCTGGCTGGAGGTAGCAGTGTAGGGAGAAAGTGAACCCTCAGGCAAGGAAAAAACATTAGGAGGCTCACAGCGATTATACGGCTTCAAATGAATTCACAGTGAAAGAACTAAAAAATTTTACTTCTTGCACTAAAATTCACAATAGGATATGATTGGCTTCCCAAAAGGTATTTGTCTTTTCAGCATCTTACTGTTTAAATAAAGAGATTTCAAAATGTACAACTATGATTTTTAAATCTCTAAAGCCAACTGCAAAGTTTTAAAGATCTCAGATGACCCAACCTAATTTCCATATGGTTCATACTTACTTTAGCCATGTTTTTTTCTTAAGTGGTAACATAAGTTTATTCATTAAAAATTCATTACAGTCTAAGGAAAGTACCCTTCGACTTATAAAACAGATGAATTCCTTAAAATTTTATATAGAGAGAATTGGAATATCACTATAGAATGTGAGAAGAAATCACAAAACTGAACACCCCACACTACACACCATCCTGCCCAATCAACAAGGTTTCTCTGGCACTCTGAATGCTGTCATATTCCTAAAACAACCATCCCTCATTTAGTAGCTACTACGACATGCACAAGGAACTGTGCTAGCACAAGCCATGCTCCACAGAATGTCCTTCATTGGCGAAACAGAAGTATCCAGCTACTACATTCATTTGAAATTCATCATTTTCCCAATACAGAGGAGAAGAAAACTAAAGGAATTTTCTCAATTTTATTTTATTTTTAAATTTTATTTATTTATTTATTTTGAGGCAGAGTCTCACTCTGTTGCCCAGGCTGGAGTGCAGTGGCACGATCTCAGCTCACTGCAGCCTCCGCTTCCTGGGTTCAAGTGATTCTCTTGCCTCAGCCTCCTGAGTAGCTTGGATTAGAGATGTCCATCACCACACCCGGCTTTTTATTTTTTATTTTTTTTATTTTTAGTAGAGACAGGGTTTCACCATGTTGTCCAGGATGGTCTCAAACTCCTGACCTCAGGTGATCTGCCAGCCTTGGCCTCCCAAAGTGCTGGGATTACAGGCGTGAGCCACCAGACCCAGCCTAATTATCTCAATTTTAAATGTTACTCCCCTGATTTTTTTTTCCTTCAAACTCTGGTCTTCCCTTGCCTATTCAACTAGAATTTAATGTGAGGTATCAACTGATTTGGCACATAATTATATACTTAGTGATTTTGAGATTCTGTAAAGAAAGAGTATCTCAATTTCTACACAAATTTGAAAACCACAATGCCAAGAGTTGAGGAATCAAAAATAGTATAAGCCATGGCAGATCAATTCCCTCAATGAGTTACAACCCTGTTATAAAGAGAGGATGGAGAAATAAAATTAAATTAAAAATAAGAAATTTTAATAAGTGATGAAAAAGGCAGTCAACCGAGTTCTACAGGTGATCTGTGAAAGGAGTGAGATCATTAGAGACATAAAATAGTAATGAGAAAGAAGGTGATTCAAAAGAAGTAGGGTTTGAAGGAAAGAAGCATTTAATATGGCTAGGAGAAAAGAGGGACAGCATGGTGGCAATTTCAGGCTGTGCTATGATGTTGCTACAGCAGACCTGTGAGTTTTATCTAGCAAACTCATAGTTGTTAGAAAAACAGTTGTGGTGTGAGAATTTTAAGTCAGGTAACACACACAAATTCTCAATTTTACGCATTTCAGTCTAAGCTCAATGTCATATAAGGTAACAACCTCATTAAACAGAAACTAAACCACAAGATCTCTTATCAATGATAGAAAACATATGAAATCCAGGTCCTTGTCAGGAACTAGAACTAGAACTTCTGTTTTCCAATCCTTATTGAAGGTTTGGTACAAAAAAACATGCATAGACATTTTTCTATGCATGGCTCTGAAATGCATTTATCTGAATTGTATTCTTGAACTAGACCAGATTAGACTTCTGCTGATTTATCCCACTCCTAAACTCTCATAATTATAGTTGCTGGAAGAATGTTATCCAAATGCTGTCCTCTTTATGTACTTCTGGTCTCAATAACAGGAAAAACAATGTTTTTATCCAATGGACACTAAATCCTATGGATTACCCCCTTTGCTTTGGCCACAAGGAAACTCAACGGTAATATCTGCAACCTTTTTCTAACAAATGGATGGACTATCTAGTTTGCATCTCCAGAAGGAAATGTTACCTCAGTTTATTATTCTCCTATCTCTATTTTCCTTCTTTTGACTCCCTTACTTGGCCCCTTGAATTTTTTTTTTCCTAAATTGCCTCAAATCCTTTGTGTGGAATAAGCTGGAGTACAACTAACTAAAACTAAATGATACAAAATCTAGAATTTTCAGTTAAATAGAATGAAGGGATGTTAAAACGTTACATTTTACTTTACTTTTAAGAAAAGTCAAAATAAATTTTTTTAATTTTAAAAGAGAGTCAAAAGAAAAAAAATTGCAAAAGTTTAAGTCCAGCACACCTACCAGAATTAATATACATTCAAGCCAATCTCCTAAAACTTTGATATTTGTTTATACCACTATACATTCACAAATAAAACTCAGAATAATGACCCAGGACACTAACAGAGCCTATTAAATAAAATATTGAAATATTTCAAGTTTTTCCTCTAAAAAAATAGAAGTAGGTTGAGACATCATTTTACATATATTTTAATCACCATAATCACAATATTTTCTAATTAAACCCTCAGAAACCCCAATTAAATATAACATCTTACCATTATCCAGGTGATCTAAGAAATTGTGGACATTCTCCAAGGTTCTAACCTGGGCCCTCTCTCTAAACCCAGTAGGCACTTCTCCCCTCACAATATCAACCACATCTACGTGAATGATTCCAAAATCTCTATCCCATCTCCACTGAACTACCTTGTCAAAACCTCAATTTATTTATTTTATTTATATATATTTTTTGAGACAGGGTCTTGCTCTGTCACCCTGGAATGCAGGGGTGAGATCATGGCTCACTGCAGCCTCAACCTCCTAGGCTCAAGCGATCCTCCCACGTATGTCGCCACAGTAGCTGGGACTATGTCACGCCTGGCTAATTTTTTAGTTTTTTGTAGAGACAGGGTCTCCCCATGTTGCCCATGCTGATCTCAAACTCCTGGGCTCAAGTGATCTGCCTGCCTCGGCCTCTCAAAGTGCTGAGATTACAGGTGTGAGCCACTGTGCTTGGCCTAAAACCTCAAGTTAAATAATTAAAGTGGGCCAGGTGCAGTGGCTCATGTCTGTAATCCCAGTACTTTGGGAGGCCAAGCAGGAGGATCACTTGAGCCCAGGTGTTTGAGGTCAACCTAGGCAACATGGTGAGACCTCATCCCTACTAAAAATAAAAAAATTAGCTGGGTGTGGTGGTGTGCACCTGTAGTCCCAGCTACTCAAGAGGCTGAAGTGGGAGGATCACTTGAGTCCAAGAGGTTGAGGCTCAGTGAGCTGTCATCATGCCACTGCATTCCAGCCTAGGTAACAGAGCAAGCCCCAGTGTCTTAAAAAAATGATCAAAATGGAGCTTCATTATCTTTCTCTTCTGCCTCACACCTCATAAACAGTCTGTTCCAAAGATCTCATTTCTGGCAATGACACCAACATTCTGTCCAATTCCAAGGCTTCAGTCATCTTTGCCCCTTCCTTCTTTTCATCTCTGGTATTCCATCCTATCCAGCTTGGTCACTTCTTTTGAAGTGATCCAACTTCAAAGTGATCCCCAATCAAACTATTTCTCATTATCATTCTAGTTCTTTTGGTGTTCTAATTTTCATTTGCACGTTTATTTTCTTACTTCAGGCCCTAATAAGTTGGCCTCTCTGCCTTATCTCTCTCCTCTTGGACTGTCCACTCACCCTAAGTTCCACTGTCTCAGGATTGTTTTTATCAAGTCACTTCCCTTGAACCTGCAGCACAGCTTCCTATAACATATTACATCAAAGTCACGTCCTTCAATCTGAACTTTCAGGGCGATCCAGGATCTGGCCCCACAATGATTATCACGCATGTCTCACAACTATCCATAAATCACCATCCACTGACCCAGGATAAGCATGTTAATACACCTACCATGCTAAGTCACATTCTTTGCTTATTCTGCCTCTCCTCCGTACACCTGGAATGCCCTCCTCCCTGCCTTAGCCAACTCTTATTAATTCTTCAGGACATGGCTCATGTCTCATCTCAACAACGAAGCCCTCTGCTTATTATATCCTATATGGACTGTGTTTTTACCTTATTTCCTTCTGTATGCATAATCAATATCCAGCTTGATATCAGACATTAATTGTTCTCTAATTGTTTCACGTCTAAGCTTTCCAAGGTGGTCTCATCCATTCCCATGGTTTTAATCACAAACTGTAAGCTGACTTCCAAATCTAAATGTCTATACTTGTCCTCTTCACTAAGCTTCAGACTCATATATCCAGCTGCTTACCTAGCAGTGCCCCTTGGATGTCTAATGGGCATCTCAGATTTAACATGTCCAAACAGAACTCTTACTTTTTACCAAGGAGACGCACTTATCCTCTCCTTTCTTGCTCATTTCAGCTACATTATTCATCCAGTTCCTCAGGCCAAAAAACTACAGGTGATTATTCTTCTTTTACCTTCACATCCTATTTCAATCCAGTAGGAAGATTTGCTGGTATTAATCCCAAAATATAGCCCCAATCTAACTACTTCTATTCATTACTACCCTAGCTCGTTACAATCAGCACCTCCACCTGAACTTCTCTGAGTCTTCCATCTGACCTCTCTGCTTCCACTTCCTCCTTTATTCTTCACAGTGCAGGCAGAATGATCTACTCTAAGCCAAATGAAATCATGTAACTCTATAGCTTAAAACTACCCAATGGCTTCCTACTGCATTAGACTAAACAGACTAATAGACTCCAAACTCACTACATAACTTGCCCCATTCCTACCTTTCTGGCCTCACTTTCTGCAACTCTATTAATTGTCCATAATTCTTCAGGATCACTGGTTTTCTTTCTGTCTCTTGGCATGTAAAAAAGGGCTTCTCCACTGGCTGCTACCTCTGCCTTGCTCTTCATCCACAGCATCCTTCATATAATTACCTCCTCTCTCATCTTTTAGGTCTCTGCTCAAATGTCACCCTCTCAGAGAGTGTCTTGACCACAATAAATAGTCACTCTCTATCCCATTGCCCAGTTTTACTTGATTTGTATGTGACTCAGTGATAAGTGCTACCCCCTCCCACTAGACGTAAGTTGCTTCAGTTCTTTGAGGGCAGATATCAGGTAAAAAATTTTTATTTCCAATTATAGTTTGCTTACTACAACCCTAGGTATGTAAGAATGCAAATAAATATTTAGTGATCAACTTAAAAGAGGGATATCTATGATCTGCACAACTATAAAATTTCCCAGAGCCAGATACAAAGAAACTACAAAAAGGCTGCTGCTGACATGATGACTATTTAGTATAAGTTCAGAACAATATGATGCTCGACTTGAACAGGTTTTCCTAATCACTCCTTTCTATTGCAACCACTTAAACTTCATTAAAATGACAACTACTGGGCAAATGAGTCAAATGAAGCAAACTGAAGTCTTACTTAATGTTATAATGTCCAGTTTTCAGTGTACATCTATCAGGAAGTTGAGCAAGTTTCCTCGAAAGCATTTTAAAATACTTTCTGCACTCCTGCATTCCTGTGCTTTGTTCATAATCAGTAGAAGCAGAAAGTGGCAGTCCATCTCTGACACGAATGACTGAGGCAGATAAAATCATAGACATTTCAACCAACAGAGAAGACCTAAAACAAAATGAACAATTTGGGTTACATAAAAATTAAAGCCAAACTTGATAAGCATATGTAAAAATGTTCAACTTACTAGTAATATAAGAATAGTAATTAAAATGGCCAGGTGTGGTGGCTCACACCTGTAATCCCAGCACTTTGGGTGGCTGAGGAGGGTGGATCACAAGATCAGGAGTTTGAGACCAGCCTGGCCAACATGATGAAACCCCTTCTCTACTAAAAATACAAAAATTAGCCAGGCGTGGTGGTGCACACCTGTAATCCCAGCTACTCAGGAGGCCGAGGCAGGAGAATTGCTTGAACCCGGGAGGCAGAGGTTGCAGTGAGCCGAAATCGCGTCACTGAGCTCCAGCCTGGGCGACAGAGTGAGACTCCGTCTCAGGAGGAAAAAAAAAACAAAAAACTAATTAAAACAACATACTATGCTTCACTTAACATATAGCTTTTGTTTTTTGTTTTTTGTTTTTTTTTTTGAGACAGCATCTTGCTCTGTCACCCAGGCTGGAGTGCAGTGGCGCCATCTTGGCTGACTGCAACATCCCCCATCCAGGGTTCAAGCAATTCTCATGCCTCAGCCTGGGTTCCCATGCCACAGCATAGGATGTGGCTGGGACTATAGGCGCCTGCCACAGTGCTGGGATTACAGGCATGAGCCACCACACCCAGCCACATTAGCTTTTTAAAAAATAATACTTCTGTCTGGCATTCTCATAAGTACAGATGGAAGTAAAAACTGGTACAAACAGTTCTCAAAATGATTTGGCAATTTCAACAAGAGTCTGAAGGCATACCTTTTAACCTCAATAAATTTAAATATATACCTGTCTTGAGAAAAATAATCAGAAATCCAGGCAAAATTTTAAACAGAAAGACATTCTTCCACTCAAATAACTGAAAGCAATCTAAATATCCTATAAAATGGTGATGGTTAAGTAAATTATAGTATATTCATATAACAGAATATAATGCAGCAACTAAAAGTTATGTTTGTGGAGAAAGTTTAATAATGTGGTAAAATGCTTACATGTTAAGGAGAAAAAAGTAGGATAAAAATTGCAAATGTTGTTTTACACAAACATAAGGATAAAGAGACGAAGATAAAGAGAAGGAAAAAGGGATTGAAAAACGGATGCAGAAAAAGATGCCAAATTAAGAATATGCTCACCTCTAAGAAATGGTATTATTGGTTATTATTATTTTATAATTTCCTAAATGTTCTCAATATTCACAGTAGACATATACTACTTTTATAATCAGAAAAAAATTATTTAAAATAAATCCTAAAGCTAAAGGAATATTGGTTTTAATGTTGTTCTCAATCTTTTTACCAGAAAGTAAATCTTAATGGCCTATTTTATTGGATTCTCTTCTTGCTTTACAAAAACAGATGAAAGGACTTCACAGGCCTGAGTCTGAAGGAACTCAGGTCAACAGTCACTCAACCTTTCATAAAATACACAGTGGCTCTCAAACTTTAGCTTGCATAAGAAGTTGAAAGTTTAGTTAAAAATGCAGATTTCTGAGCTCTGCCCTCAAAATTCTGAACCACTGACTGTGGGATAGGGCTTGACAATTTGCTTATTGTCTAAGGCCCATACTTTTTAAAACATTAAATTAAAACATGTTCACTATCTAAGATTAAGTGATAACTCTTCTCTGTCAGGCCATCAAAGCACAATGTCACTAAAGGCTTCCTCACTAGTGGTGAGGCAACTGGTGAAAATTCAAAAATCTGATAAAAATCTCACAGGCATTTTTCCAAAAATATTGTATCTTAGAGACTAAATTAATCCTTACCTGCCCACTTAATCTAGGTCAATATTATCTCATTCCAAAAAGGAAAAAATGAGTAATATATATAAAAAAAAATACCACAGAAAACCAGTTGTTACAAAGCTTGTAAATCAGGAGCTGATAGTTTTCACTGCTGTGTGAAGTCAAAATATGACTTCCCATTCATGGTGATAACTGATCTGACAATAAAAATTAACCCAACTAATAAATCTAATGCATTAAGTTCACTATCCCTTTTTCCTCTTTTCATGAGGAAAAAGGAGAAATCTCTAGGTGTTACTGTGTCATTACCCTTTAATATTTTTCTCCTTCAGAGACAGGGTCTCACTGTGTCACCCAGACGAGTGTAGTGGTGCGATCTCAGTTCACTGCAACCTCCACCTCCCAGATTCAAGCAATTCTCATGCCTCAGCCTCGCGAGTAGCTAGGATTACAGGCATGCGCCACAACACCCAGCTCATTTTTGTATTTTCAGTAGAGATGAGGTTTCGCCATGTTGGCCAGGCTGGTCTCAAACTCCTGGCCTGAAGTGATCTGTCCACCTCAGCCTCCCAAAGTACTAGGATTACAGGCATGAGCTACCACGCCCAGCCTCTCCATTCATTTAAAGAGAAAAATATCCAGAAGCAAATTAGTCTTTTTACTACAGTGGAGTCTTCAAACTGAAGTCCCAGTGTGACATATCCCAATTGGTGTTTTTTTCCATTCATCTAGTTTTTTTCTCTCCTAAAAGCAGTAGCATGAAAAAGTTGGGATCCCTGAAGAGATATCTATACTATAAACCCCTCTTTAATTTTTTTTTTACCATGTTTTACTTAATTATTAAATCACAATTGTAACATTTAGCCTAAGTGTAAGAAAGTAGGAAAATGTCTTACTCTATCCCCTTAAGCGTTTATTATTTAACTATAAAACTGTTGTCTTTCCAGAAGTACACTGCAACACAATAACCATTCTGGGAATTAATTTGAGGGTGAGTTGTAACTTGCAGTTCTAAATACCCACATTTTAGTATTTAAAAGCAGATTGGATGGGGTGCCATGGCTTATACCCATAATCCCAACACTGCTTGAGGCCAGGAGTTCAAGACCAACCTAGAAACATGGTGAGGCTCTGTCTCTATAAAAAAAATTAAAAATCAGCTGGGCATGGTGGCACACGCCTATAGTACTTGCTTTGGGGAGGCTGAAGCAGGCCCAGGAGTTCAAGGCAATGGTGAGCTATGATTGTGCCACTGCAGTCCAACCTGGGTGATGAGAGAGATCCTGTCTCAAAAAGTAAAATAAAAGTAGACTGTATTATTTTATGTCTGGCCTCTCTAGGATCCTAATAGAAATATTATGAATAGACTTCATTAATAGGTTGCCAAATTTCATGTAGTCTTCAAAGTTATTCTTTAGTGACTTGGAGGACAGATCAATAAATATATGATCCATGCTTTCTAAAACACATACTGTAAAAAGAATACAATTTGTAAGTTCCATTCGTTTACCAAACATTTACTGAATATCTAATGTGTCCCATGAATTATGCCAGATAGCAGGAATGAAGAGTCCTACCATCAAGAAACATCACTCCTCAATTAGAGAAACTCAGTTGAAAAGAGCAAACAATGCAGGTGTGTTGCCCACCACTTCACTAACTGGAAAACTAAAGTTGGACAAACTTACATTTCAAATACTCCTTTTTTTGTTGTTTTTTTGTTTTGTTTTGTTTTGTTTTGAAACAGGGTCTCACTCTGTTGCCCAGGCTGGAGTGCAATGGCTCACTGCAACCTCTGCCTCCCAGGTTCAAGCGATTCCCCTGCCTCATCCTGCCAAGTAGCTGGGATTACAGGTGCCCGCCACCATGCCTGGCTAATTTTTGTATTTTTAGTAGAGATGGGGCTTAACTGTGTTGGCCAGGCTGGTCTCAAATTCTGACCTCAAGTGATCCACCTGCGTCGGCCTCACAAAGTGCTGGGATTACAGGTGTGAGCCACTGCGCCCAGCCTCAAATTTTCCTAATATGTACTTTAGCCTTTAACCAAAAGCAGAACACAGTAGTTACATTCCCTGTCAAAATTATTACAAGGTTGTCAGAGAATGGTTTCTACTTATCCATAGATAAGATTTTTCTTAGGGAAAAAATTAAACCTCTTTCTACCACAGTAATTTGATTCAGCATCCAAAGCACTTGAATTTAAGCCTGACAAACGGGGATGAATGTCCAATGATCAACGTCAGGCTTAACTAATTTGTAGACAGATTCCAACCACCTTAGGCTAAGCTGTCTCTCCATCAATTCAATAAACATACCCCTACTTTTTTTCTTTTTACCACGGATTCATAATATAGTTTGTTTTTTTTTAAACTAATCTTATCTGGACTGTGCTAGCAGAAAAGGAAATCTGTCCATGTCAGGCCTAAGCTAGGTTAAAGTATCTTTAAGGTCTTAAGGAGGGTTGTGGTTGGGAAAATCCCAAGGAAGAACCAGTGGAACTGTGGAAAGCAAGAGATTACAACAATTGCATGGGAAGATTTAGGAGTTTTTAGCTTATCGGGGCCATAGATAAATGTTTAGGGCACTGGGCCATTTCTCCTCACCTTTAATACAGAGAAAATATTACACCTGCCTTTGTACAGCAGCAGTTAACTCACAGGGAACCTGAATAGTGGCTATTTTTTCCTCTCCCCATCAGCAACTGTTGGAGGAAAAAGCACAAGCTAGAATCTAGGTAAATCTGGGTAAACTTTTATGTAAAGGCTGAGGAAAATAAATTCCCACAATGCCAAACTACTATAGTAGTGGTTAGCAAGTTCCTGGACCCAAGATAATAAGACACCCCTCTTCTTCAGAACCTTGTAGGGGTAATGACTACAGGCTCAATGTCTCAGGAAGTTATCTCTCAAAAGGTAATAAACAAAGCCCAACATGTAAGTGGATTTTGTATATACGTTCTAACCAAATGCTTTCACAAATGCCACTTTTAAGATAAAAACATTTTATACTGGGGGCAAAAGCACTCATATTTATTTTAGTTCATAACTTCCCAGTCTTCAGTCATCCAAGTACCACTTTCAGAATTATCTTCATCCACCTGTACTATTTACCTAATATTGGTCTTTGAATTGACTTACTTTTCTTGTCCTTTATTTTTTAGCAATAATATCTGTGAAATCAGTTTTGAGATGTTAAGTTTTTCTCCTAATTTAAATTAAATGAACTTGTTTCATTCAAATATGTATGTGTGTGAAAATTTGGGGAGAATTTTTTAATGTTCATTTGCTTATCAAATTATCTTGCATATGTGACAGTACCAAAGTTTGGGAAACAATACCAATATGGTACATATTATTTTATTAAAAGTGCTCGCTGAGGGTGGGGGATAGAGTGGGTGATAAAGGGGATGGAATTTCCGCCATTTTGCCTATGCCTTCTACCTCACTAGCAGTGTTCGACATTCCTATTATGGGTGCTTGCACTGCACAGTATGTATAAGACCTCAGGCTTCACAACAGATTTTACCCACATCTAGGACAGGGCCCCCAATACATGCTCAAATGTGTCAATCCCAACATTTTTATAGTGCCACATAGTTCACGGTTGGGTAGGTAAAACCACCATTTTACAGATGAGGAAACTAAGGCTCACTTTCTCAATGTCACACTGCTAGTATATAGCAGAACTGGTACTTCGGTCTAAGTTTCTAGTATCTCTACATCACTATGCTTCATCAGTCTCCCAAAACCAACAAGACACAAGAAACCAGGGATATAGAAACTATCTATTCACTTGCTGCCTGGGTTCTAATCCTGGCTCCACCATCTACCAGCCATGTAAATTTGGACAAGCTTTGCCTTTCTATATCTCAATTTCCACATCTATATATTGTGGCTACTAATAGCATCTATCTCATAGGCTTGTTTTAAAGATGACAATAGTATCTATCTCATAGGATCATGTAAAGTGCCTGAAACATTGCCTTGTAACATGCTAAAAGCACTACATTAAATATTTGCTGTATTATTTATTGATTACTCTCCATGGACCACGCACTTTATACACATTACCTCATTTAAGCGTTCCAAAAACCTGTGAGATAGGTATTATTAGTTCCATTTTACCTTTGAGGAAATTCAAGCCCAGAAAGCTTGAGGAATTTTTTTTAATCCCTAAACGAGTAGGTGACAAAGTAGGGATTTAAACTCAGGCCCAATTCTAACAACTCTGTGAGACACTCAAGGAAGGTCACAGGCACCCCTGTGATAAGACCTAGGCCTCTTTCATATACCAACATAAGATATACTTCGATTTTAACCAGTTGCACGCAAAAAAAAAAAAAAAAAAAAAAAAAAAAAAAAAAGGCACTAAACAGATGTGATGGTTTTCAACATAGGAAATACCCGAATGTCCCATTACTTTAGGATATGGTCACAGGTGTCAGAGTCAAATACTGAATGAACCTTAATATATCAGAAATTGTAGGTACCGTTTAAGGCATTGCCTGATTCCTTACAATCTTAGCATGTAAGCAAATATCAGTAACATGGAAAGTGATTCAGAGTTTGAAAAGTGGCTGTTCCCCTGACTGAAGATCCCAACATCTCCAGTCTGGTGGCTGATACTTTTGCTCTGGGCTAGGCTTTGCCTTGGCTGAATAGGCATAGGAGGGACTGGTTCTCAAGCTCGCCCCCTGCCCCAGGTGGATGATCCAGGAAACTAAGCAGCAGGGAAAAATTATCTTAAGCTGTCTTCACTGGCAGAGAGATTCAAGCCAGCTGGGGCTTGTCCTTTTCTTTTGGAAGCCTCCTCCACTTGCCGAGCCAATTGCTCAGGTCTCCCTTCTGCCACATCGTTCCCAAAGTGACTCTTGAGACAGGGTCTCAAGAGATTTCCGTGAGCCAACGCGGGCAAATATCTGGGCTCAGGGCTCACTCCATCCCCACAAAACGTAAAGTAAGACACTGGTTCAAGTCCCATTCTGCCTAAAAGAAATAGGAAATGCCACCTCAAGCTCTCATGGGCCACCTACACAGGTAGATCACCGTGTTTCTGACACCTGGGCGCCAGGGAATCCCCACCACCATGCTGACAGCCAAGTGCGACTGTCCCTCCCCTTCAAACACTCCTTTCCTGGCTGCCCAACACCCGAGGCGGCTCAGACGAGGCGCAACCGCCGCCCGCCTGGCCCCAGAGAACCCTCAAGTCGAAGGGGACGGGGTCCCCGCTTGCCCGTCCCTCCAGAGCTCCGCGGCCCCGACTCCCATCCCAAAGGCACGGACTTGGCTCCTGCCCGTGGGGTAGGTCTTCAATCCCGAGGGCGAAGGCCGAGGCTGTGGCGAGAGGCAGGGAGCGGGAGGGGAGAGGCCGGCAGGGATTCGAACGACCCCTAAGAAAGGAAGAAGAGGACTGGGAGGGGCCGGGGAGTACCTGTCGAGACGGGACCCGCCGCTCCGAGTGACGCGCCCCGAAGTGCATTGTGGGGCCTGGGAGGGACCTTTCGGCGACGCTGCGGCGCGTCCAACGTGGCTCGCGCCCGCGGAATCAAACCACGCCCCCGTTCCCTCAGCTCACCCAGGCCAATCGGGTTCTGCAGGAAGGACACAACAACCCCCCAGCTCCCGGGGCCCTCCTTAGTCCCACCCGCTCCAGGAGAGATTGGCAGCTTCTCTCGCACCTGCGCCAGAAAAGTACAGCATCCTCTGATGACAGAACTACGTTGACTTCAGAAATAGGGCCAATCTCTTCCGCTCGCCGCCCTGTTTCTGCAGGCATTTTGTCTCTCACACGCGGCCCTACAGCAGACACTTATAAAGGGGACAGGGAGAAAAGCCCCCTCTGGGTGAGCAAGGAGAAGACCTGGCCCCGTCTATTCCCACACACAAGAAGGAAACTAACCATGGCAGAGAAGTGCCAGATGCTGACCCTGCGACCCCTTCCAGCCTTCGCATCGGTCATGCATTATTAAACAGGCATTTCCTGACTGTTTACCATGTGCCAAGCACCGTGTTAAGCACGGGGTTACAGGAGTGGACATAACACTTGATGGAATTTAAGGAGTAATTGGAGCAAGAGATATTAAAGCATAAATAGTTACAGAACTACAAATTGTCAGTATTGGGAGGGAAAATTAGTGGGTGCAATGATCAATTAATTTTGGACTATCAGGGAAAAGACTTCTGAATAAGTGCCTTTTAAGCGGCAGGCATATTGAAGAGCCTTAGAGAATGTTCCCCGCCAAGGAAATATTGTGTGAGGTTGTCGGGGCATGAAAGAACTTCTTGTGCTCTAGGAACTAAAAGGGAGTCAGTGTGGATGGAGTGTAGGGAGCAAGGAGAAACTTTGCCCGTTGACCTTAAGATATCTTCCAAAATACAGCCTGAAATCTGTAATGTGGCCAATAAGAGTCAGCATGGTCTGGCCCTTGTCTCATCTCAGCCCAAGGTCAATGGGCAGCTAATAAAGACTATTAAGTAGGATCCTATTTGCATATTTAAGAATCACTCAGGCTGTTTGTGGAGAATAGTGTGGAAAAGGGCAAGAAGGGCTGCTGGAAAGCCATTTGGAGGCAGTTGCGTCAGGCAAAGCCAGAAATGATGGGGCTTGAACTAGTGTAATGGGAGTTAGAGACAGAAAGAGGTAGATAATTTCAAGATATGTATAAATTAGAAATGGTATCCAAGGGACTTCATAACGGATTGGTTTGCCGGGAAGGGTCAACAAAAAGGAATATTAAGGATGACTCCTTAAGTAACTAGATGGATTAAGAAGCCATTTACTGACTCATGGAACACAGAAAGAGGAGCAAATGGTTTGGAATATGTTAAATTTGAAATGCCTATAAATGGAGATGTCAAGTAGATTTGGATATGTAGGTCTAGAGTTCAGAAGAAAGGCCTGAACTAACATAAATTTTGTCCTAGATATATACTCAACATAAATGTATTCATATATTCACCAGAAAACATATGTATAAGAATGTTCATGAAATAAATAAATTTTAGAATATTCTGACCAGGCGCGATGGCTCACGCCTGTAATCCCAGCACTTTGGGAGGCCGGGGGCGGGGGTGGATCACTTGAGGTTGGGAGTTCGAGACCAGCCTGGCCAACATGGTGAAACCCCATCTCAACTAAAATACAAAAAAATTAGCCAGGCATGGTTGTAGGCATCTGTAATCCCAGCTACTTGGGAGGCTGAGGTAGGAGAATTGCTTAAACTGGGAGGCAGAGGTTGCAGTGAGCCAAGATCATGCCGCTGAACTCCAGCCTAGGCAACAGAGCAAGACTCCTTCTCAAAAAAAAAAAAAAAAAAAAAGGAAGAAGAATATTCACATAGTAGAATACTATACAGGAAAGACAATAATCTACAACCATATGCAAAGCATGCATGAATTTCACAATCATAAAAATTGAGTGAAATAAGTCAGACACAAAAAAGATTACTATATGATTCCATTTACATAATGTTCAAAATAAAAAATCATATAAGGTAATAGAAGTAAAATATTGGTTACCCAAGGGTAACCAATAAGTTATAATTATTAGTGTTAATAATTAGAAAGGAGCAATAAGGGGCTACTGGAGATCTAGTAATGTTCTTATTGATCCAGGTGTTGATTACATGGTGTTTTCAATTAATGAAGATTCACTGGACTGGATATGGTGGCTTGCTCACACCTGTAATCCCAACACAGCATTTTGGGAGGCCAAGGAGGCCGAGACAGACAGATTACTTGAGCTCAGGAGTTCAAGACCAGCCTGGGCAACATGGCCAAACCCTCTCTGAAAATTGGCCAGGCATGGTGGTGCACGCCTGTAGTCTCAGCTACTTGTGGGGCTGAGGTGGGAGGATTGCTTGAGTCCTGGAGGTCAATATTGCAGTGAGCCATGTTTGTGCCACTGCACTCCAGCCTGAGCAACAAAGTGAGACCCTGTGTCAAAAAAAAAAAAAAAAGGAAAAGAAAAAGAAAAGAAAATTCATCAAGCTGTATGCTATATTTATGAAATTTTCCAGTATGTATTTTACTATTGAATAGAAAGTTTATGTTTTTCCAAATGTTAAGAGCAATCCAGCCATGAATAAATAAGTGATACCAGACTAAACCTTCCACTACAAGTAACGGAAAACTGGACCAAATCTATGAAACAAGTGTTTCCAGGCATTGGACAACTGGCATAGTAAAGTTGTGATCTTGGAAGGAAGGAAAACAAACAAGATGAGTCCCCAGAATATCCACAGATTTCTTTCTGGAGGTAAGCACAGGATAGAAGAAAGCCAAGCAGGGTTTGTTGAGGACACAGAAATTGGAATTAATAGAGATTGAGACAAATGATATTTGTGGGGCAGGGTGCCAGAGAAAGAGCTCCAGAAATATACATAAGGATTCCTGTGAATCTTTGGTATAACTTTAAGGATAGATTGTATGAGGCTGGTAAATAACAATTACTGGGGAAATTTAAGCTGAACAGCTACAAGAACTTGAATAGAGTTTGGAAACATTTAGGCTCTGACTGATTAGAATGGGAAATCTTATTAAATCTTATTAAAACCTGAAGCATTTGGTAAAGAGACCCTAAAAAGGCCACACTTTAAAGCTAAATTAGCCCAATAGTAAAGACTATTCTAAACCCACTCGAACAAAGCTGAAAAAACTGATTTGCAAGTAAATTAACTGCTTTCTTGAATGAAACTTAACAGTCTTTAAAGAAAGACAACAAAATTCAGGTACTTAACCATGTAATATATGCAATGCCTAGTATCCAATAAAAAATTACTACACATGTGAAGAAGCATTGAAACATGAGTCACAAATGGGAGAAGAATCAGTCAATAGAAACAGACCCAGAAATGACAAGGATGATGAAATTAGTTTTCAAAGCAGATAAGAACTTCACTTTTCTTCTTTAATTTTTTTTTTTTTTTTTTTTTAAGTTTTAGAGGGCATCAGCGCACTGGGGTTACAAGCAGGTAAGATAAGAACTTTAAAGAAGCTATTATAAATATGGCCAAGAATTTAAAGAAACATAAATAATGTGATAAATGAAAACCATAAAAAGAACCAAATCAAGCTTCTAGAGCAGAAAACTACAATATCTGAATTGGTAATTTTGCTCTATGGGCTTAACAGCAGATTATACACTGCTGAAGAAAAGATCAGTAAACAAAGTAACAGTGAAAAATAATTATCTACATTAAAGTGCAGAGCGAAAAAAAGTTTAAAATAAAATGAACACAGCCTTGGTGACCTATGGTTAATACAAAGTTATCTAACATGTATAATCAGAGACTCAGAAAGGAGAGGTGATACAAAATATTTGAAGTAATAATGGCCAAAATTTTCCAAAATTTGATAAAAAATATAAACCCATAGATTCAAGAAAATAAACTAGGCCAGGCACAGTGGCTCACACCTGTATTCCCAGCACTTTGGGAGACCAAGGTGGGCGGGTCACCTGAGGCCAGGAGTTTGAGACCAGCTTGGCCAACATAGTGAAACCTTGTCTCTACCAAAAATATAAAAATTAGCTGGGCATGGTGGTGCATGCCTGTAATCCCAGCTACTCGGGAGGTGAGACAGAAGGATCTCTTAAACCTGGGAGGCAAAGATTGCAGTGAGCCGAGATCACACCATTGCACTCCAGCCTGGGTGACAGGGTGAAATTTCATCTTAAAAAAAAAAAATGTATATATACAAAAATTAGCCAGGCAGGATGGTGCATGCCTGTAATCCCAGCTACTCAGGAAGCTGAGGCAGGAGAATCGCCTAAACCCGGGAGGCGGAGGTTGCAGTGAGCCGAGATCACACCACTGCACTCCAGCCTGGGTGACAGTGCAAGACGCTGTCAGAAAAAAAGAAAGAAAAGAAAGAAAGAAAGAAAGCAAACAGCATAAACACCAAAAAAAGCTACACCAAGGCATGTTACACTCAAACTACTGAAAACCAATGATCAAAAGAAAATATTAGAAGCAACCAGAGAAACATTGAATCCACCTTGTGTATATAGAACAAAGATAAGAGGTACGACTGACTTCACACTTCACCTCAGAAAGAAAGAAAGAAAGAAAGCCAAAATATAATGAAATAAGAATGTTAAAGTCCTGAAAGTAAAAACTCTGTCAACTTTGAATTCTATGTCTAGGAAAAATTCTTTCAAAAAATGAAAGTGTGGCCAGGCTTGGTGGCTCATGCCTATAATCTCAGAACTTTGGGAAGCCAAGATGGGAGGATTGCTTGAGTCCAGGAGTTCAAGACCAGCATAGGGAACATAGTGAGACTTCGTCTCTACAAAAAAATTTAAAAAATAAAAAATTAGCCAAGCATGATGGCACGTGCTTGTAGTGCCAGCTACTCAGGAGGCTGAGGTGGAAGGATTGCTTGAGGCTGGGAGGTTGAGTCTGAAGTGTGCCAGGATTGTGCCACTTCATGCCAGCCTGGGTGACAGAGCAAGACTCTGTGTGAGAAAAAGAAAGAAAGAAAGAAAGAAAAGTGAAATAATGATATTTGTAGATAAACAAAAGATGAGAGAATTTGTTGCTAGCATACCTGAATTATAATAAATGTTGAAGAAAGTTCTTCAGATTGAATGAAAATGATTCCAGATAAAAACCCAAATTCACTTTGGGAGGCCGAGGCAGGTGGATCTCGAGGTCAGGAGATTGAGACCATCCTGGCTAACACGGTGAAACCCCGTCTCTACTAAAAATGCAAAAAATTAGCTGGGCGTGGTGGCGGGAGTCTGTAGCCCCAGCTACTCTGGAGGCTGAAGCAGGAGAACGGCATGAATCCGGGAGGCGGAGCTTGCAGTGAGCGGAGCTTGCGCCACTGCACTCCAGCCTGGGCGACAGAGCGAGATTCTGTATCAAAAAAAAAAAAAAAAGAAAAAAGAAAAAAAGAAACTCAAATTCACACAAAAGGAACAAAAAGTATCAGAAAATGTGAATATATGAATTAATATAAAACTTTTCCTCTTTTGAAAATGTATATAATTAACCACGTAAAGCAAAAGTGGTAACAAATTGTTTTTGTTACCACTTTTGCTTTAATCACTTAAAGCAAAAGTGTAACAAAAATAAAAATGTTTACAACAAATGAAGAAGTAAAACATATGTTAATGATATTGTAAGGGAAAGGGGAATGAATATATACTGTTAGAAGGTTTTTAACACCATGCATGAAGTGGTGTAACTGTATTTGAAGGTAGAACGTGATAAGTTAAAGATACATATTAGGGCTGGGCGCGGTGGCTCACGCCTGTAATCCCAGCTCTTTGGGAGGCTGAGGCGGGTAGATCACCTGAGGTCAGGAGTTCGAGACCAGCCTGACCAACGTGGTGAAACCCTGTCTCTACTAAAAATACAAAAAAAAAAAAAAAAAAATAGCTGGGCATGGCGGGCACCTGTAATCCCAGCTACTTGGGAGGCTGAGGCAGGAGAATCACTTGAACCTGGGAGGTGGAGGCTGAAGTGAGCCGAGATGGTGGCACTGCACTCCAGCGTGGGCAGTAGAATGAGACTCTGTGTCAAAGAAAAAAAAAAAATAGCCATCTGATACATTATCCTCTACCTACTCTTTTCTCCATATATCTTAAATGTCTGATACCTTTGGTCTTATGTCGGATCAGAATGGTCAGGCTTTTATATCCTTGCTTCATAAAGTCACCAGATGTGGATTCCCCCAAGATGGGCATGATATCAAACAAGGTAGCTCTCCAAAGGTGAAGCACATACAAAAAGCTATCAGCTGGAGGCTACCTGCTGACTCTCCCTGCAGCTGGGTGGCAAGTCCTCCCTTGAAGGAGGACCCAGACAGGGAATTTCTGTGTCTGCCACAGACATACATTGTTTCCGTAGGATTCCCACCAAAAATGCGAAACCAGAAAATAATCACATGGAAACATTAAAGTAACCCTAATTGAAAGACATTTTTCATAACAAATGGCCCCATACCCTTCAAAAATGTCAATGTTAAAAAGATAAAGAC
Organism: Homo sapiens; assembly: GCF_000001405.40. Classification (NCBI taxonomy): domain Eukaryota; kingdom Metazoa; phylum Chordata; class Mammalia; order Primates; family Hominidae; genus Homo; species Homo sapiens. The sequence goes on along the minus strand of NC_000003.12, from coordinate 123,195,432 downwards.
TGAGGATATTTTCCAGATTAAAGGAGACTAAAGAGACACGAAAACTAAATGCAGTGTAGGATCCTGAATTAGACCCTAGACTAGAGGAAGAAATAGCCATAAAGAACACTATTTGGACAACTGATGATATTTGAATATGGACAGTAAATTAGATAGTAGTACTGTATCAATACTAAATTTATTAATTTTGATCATTTTAATTTTATTTTAGTTAAGATTAAGTTTTAAAATTGAAGCAATGTAGAACTTTAAAAATATTGATTATATGTGTTGAAATGATAATATCTTGATATGTAGTTTAAAATATATTATGGTCAATGTTATCTGTTTCCTTTTACTTTTTTAAGGTGGCTACTGGAAAAAAATCACATATGTAGCTTACATTCTATTTTTATGGGACAGCACTGTTTTATACCGTTACTTTTTCATAATATATAATCAAGATTATTTGTAGCACTCCCCCCATCCCGTGTTTTTTTTTTTGCACTTTCGGATTTCTCTATTGGTATGTGAGCCAGCTCTCTGGAAGGCCTGGGCTTTTAATCTGTGACGGGAGATAAATGGTTAAGACTATGAAGTCACCTTTGTGCAGCCAGTCTGAGGGAGCCCCCAACTCCACCGCCAGGCTCCAGGTGGAGTTGCTGGGGCGGCGGGGCGGGGCGGGGGGAGGTGCAGATGTGTATTTGGGTAGGATTATGTCTGAGTCTTGGAACAGAGCGCTACAGAACCAGGGGAAAAGAGTTGCCAGCAGGAGGGGCTGGAGAGGCTGGGGCTGGGATGGAAGCAGGGATGTCTCAACGCTGCATTTGCATCAATAGTTTTGCCACCATCACATCGTTTCCTTGTCTCTAACACTGTATGTCTAGAGCTGTCCTAAACACAAAGGTGTCATATTTATATTATGTTATTTTTCTTTCAGGTTAGCACCATCTTTGACAGCAATATTTCTAAAAAACAGAAAGAAAAGTTTCTTATCTGTATCTTGGAAATTCTGAAATAACATTCCCACTGTGGTATAAATGGTTTATTATTCAATGTTGTGTTTTAATTAATGCTTCACATATTCAACAAACATTGTGCATCCTCTCTGTGCTGGGCAGTGACAGCGATAAATATGATATGGTCCCTCCTTTAAGGCACTCACAGGATGGGGAGAGAAACATGTATAAAGACAATGACAACTGCTATGGTCTGAATGTATCCTCCAAAATTCATATGTTGAAACTCAATTGCCAATGTAATAGCATTAAGAGGTGGGGCCTTTAGGAGTAATCAAATCGTGAAGGCCCTCATAAAAGGGATTGAGGGAGTGGGTTTATGCTCCTCCACTCTTCCACCATGTGAGACACAGCATTTGTCCCCTCTAGACGATGCAGCAACACGGTGCCGTCTTGGAAGCAGAGATCAGGCCCTCCCCAAATACCAAACCTGCTGGTGCCTTGATCTTGGACTTCCCAGTTTCCAGAACTGTGAGAACCAAGTTTCTGTTGTTATAAAATTACCCAGTCTAAGATATTTTGCAATAGCTGTACAAATAGACTAAGACAGCAGCCAAACGAGATAAATGCCAATAAAACCTGACCAAATGTCTCTGGGAGGATTTCAAAGGGACGGAGATAGAGAGAAACATGGAACACTTTTTACAAGAAGAGGTGATATTTGAGAATTATAGGAACAATAATCACTTATCAGGCAGACTGTGGCAGGTCATGGAGAAGAGAATCCATAGTTGTAAAGCACAGCACTAACTATTTAGGGAACTGCAAGTGGCCTGCTATTGCTAGAAATGTAGATAGGAAATGAAGCCAAAACAAAGGCCAGGCTCCAAAGAGCTGATATGCTAAACTGCCAAATTTGACTTTTCTCCTCCATGCAATGGGAAGACACCAGTGGATTTTCAGCAGAGGAATAAGAAGACTGGATTGGTATTTCTAAAATAAGCATATTCTATAATTGTTAAAAAATTAACCATAAAACAGTTATAAGACAGCTATAAGAAAATAAAGATGGATTTGGCTTTGGGATAAAGAAGAGTTTCTAAGCATGAAAGCAATGAAGAAACCACAAATAAAAAGATAGTAGACCAGATTGACAAGTATAAAACATCTATACATAAAAAAATGAATGAAATTAAAATTCCAACCACAAATAGAGAGAAATATATGCCATATATGACAAAGAATGCCCACATATAATAAGAAAATGAGGAACACTCCCATTGCAAATAGGCAACAAGCCTGAGAAAACAATTTGCAAAAGAACTATAACTGGTCAACAAACATTTAAATGATAATTAAAGGGGAAAAAATGAAATATTCTGCCTTTCTAGTATTAATGGAAGTTGTATTTCATTTTGGAGTAAGCAAGTAGTTCCAGTTGAGAAAGGAAAGCTCTACTTAAAGGAATAATGGGAAATAAATATAATAGAAGGAATGATAGAATTAGAAAATAATCATTTTCAACCCCAAATGAAAACAGTGATTTAGACGTTAAGTATTGGTGGTAAAGTCATTAGATGAATAGTAGATGGACAGAGGACATTCTTATACTGCCAAAGTATATCACAGAAATTACTCTCTGATTCAAAGGAGAAAACCCACCTGCACGAAGGAAGCAGATTGCCACTACCATAATTCAGGAGTCAATCTTAGTGGCCCTCATCGTTGACCAACAAGATATCATGGGTCAGTCTCCTGATGTGACCCAATAATGAGCATACCACATCACCTATGATGTATTTTTCCCAAAAATGTTTAACTTTAGTCTATCACATTTTCACAGCTAGCTCCCTGTTTACAAACGTTACAGGGAATATAGGACAAAGTTGAACAGTACTACAAGCAAGCAACCAGAAAAATCCTGAAAAATAAAACATTCTACAGGCAACTTCAATAAGTCAGTGTATGGAGAGAGAAAAAAAAAAAAAAAACAGAAAGAAACCATAGATTAAAAGAATCTCAAGAGACATAACAACCAGGTGCAATGCACGGTCTTGGGTTGGCTTTTGTTTTGAACAAACCAGAAAAGACATTTTTGAGACAACTGATGCAATTTAACTGTGAAATAGATACTAGGTAATATTAAGAAATTGGTTTTTTTTGTTAACTGTGATAATGCTTTTCGACTATGGAAGTAAATGTTCTTTTTAAAACTACAAATGAATAAAATATATTTAAATTTTTTTGACTACACTAAAAATCAAATAAATATGTTTAAAAACTTTTCATTTTTACCTGTGAAATAGGCCAAAGTTTCCTTTCATTATTTATCAAATTAAAAATAAAACCATTAGTAAGAGTAGGATAGCCAAAGCTTCATTCAGTCTAATCCTTTTCTGGTACAAGTACAAATTAATTCAGCCATTCTAGGAGATAATTTAACAATGTGTATTGAGAGTCTTTAAAATATTCATGTCAGGCTAGCACAGTGGCTCACACCTGTAATCTCAGCAATGTGGGAGGCCAAGGCAGGAGGATTGCTTGAGCCCAGGAGTTTAAGGCTGCGGTGAGCTATGATTGCGCCGCTGCATTCCAGCCTGGGTGACAGAGTGAGACCCTGTCTCCAAAAAAAAAAAAAAAAAAAAAAAAAAAAAAAAATATATATATATATATACACACACACACACACACATATATATTCATGGCAATTGTACATGTCTCCTTCTTTTCTTTTCTTTTGTTTTTGAGAGAGAGTCTTGCTGTGTCGCCCAGGCTAGAGAGCAGTGGTGTGATCTCTGCTCACTGCAACCTCCACCTCCTGGGTTCAAGTGATTCTCATGCCTCAGCCTCCCAAGTGGCTTGCATTACAAGTGTGTGCCACAACGCTCGACTAATTTTTTGTATTTTTAGTAGACAAGGGATTTCACCATGTTGCCCAGGCTGGTCTCGAACTCCTGCCCTTCTTTTCTATAAATGTATTCTGATGAAATAATCAGAGATGCCATGAAATATCTATCTACATATATACATATATACATAGTTTATAATAGTGAAAAGTTAGAAACCACCAAAATGTTCAATATTAAATAATGGATGGGACATCATAATATGGTATATTTCATAAGTATGAAAATTGCCAAAACTGGTAATAATAGGAAAATGCACATAATAAAATGCTAAGTGGAAAATCAGTAAATAATGCTATAGATTTTTAATCTTTTCAAATATATGGAAAAAAGACTGGAAGACAATACAGCAAAATATATGTACAGTTTATCTCAGGGTAAGATGTGTGTTTTTTTCTTTTTCTTTTTCTTTTTTTTTTACTTTTCTGTATTTTACACATTTTCAATAATAAATGGATATTCTTGGCCAGGCTCAGTGCCTCATGCCTGTAATCCCAGCACTTTGGGAGGCCAAGGCAGGCAGATTACCTGAGGTCAGCAGTTCGAGACCAGCTTGGCCAATATAGTGAAACCCCGTCTCTACTAAAAATACAATCAGCTAGGTGTGGTGATGGACGCCTGTAATCCCAGCTATTCAGGAGGATGAGGCAGGGAGAATTACTTGAACCCAGGAGGTGGAGGTTGCAGTGAGCCGAGAACACTACAGTCTGGGCAATAGAGCAATAGAGCAAGACTATGTCAAAAAACAAAAAAATTCTTTCATAATTAGAGGGAAACGTTGTTCATAGGAAAACACCTCCCAGAACAAGAAGAGAAACCCAGAAGGTTGCATCAGGTTCGCCTGATGCAGTGTGGGGCATGGGCTGAGAATGAGAGTTGCAAAAGCCTGTTTATATAAAATTACACGCTGTCTTAAATGATTTTTTTTTTTTTTTGAGACGGAGTCTCACTCTGTCACCCAGGATGGAGTGCAGTGGCGCGATCTCGGCTCACTGCAACCTCTGCCTCCCAGGTTCAAGTGATTCTCCCGCCTCAGCCTCCTGACTAGCTGGGATTACAGGCATGAGCCACCATGCCCAGCTAATTTTTATATTTTTAGTAGAGACGAGGTTTCACCATGTTGGTCAGGCTGGTCTTGAACTCCTGACCTTGTGATCTGCCCGCCTCAGCCTCCCAAAGTGCTGGGATTACAGGCGTGAGTCACCACGCCCGGCCTTAAATGAGTTTAACAACAAAAATCACTTATACTTGCCATAAAAATTATAATGTGGAAGTATATAAAGTAAAAAATGAAAAGTCACCTCAACTTTTATGCAATCTTTCTCTTACTCAGTTAGTGAATATTTTTTCATTCACAGCTTTTTCAAAAAATGAGATCACATTCTACATATTGTTCTATAACTTGTTTTTAATGACTTAACAAAATTTTATGGAGAGTCCCCCCTTTCTATCCATCAGAATACATGGGCTTACTTCATTCTTTTTAACAATGGCAGGTTGTAATGAGGATGTACTATAAGTTATTGAATCATTTTCTATTAGCAGATGTTTAGGTGTCCTTTTCATGCCGTTACAAACAGCACTGTCACCAACACCGTCATATGTGCATCTTTACATAGTGTGTTTAGGTAGAACAGATTATTTGGAGTGGGATTTCTTGGTCAAAGGGCATGCAGGTTTAAAATTTTTCTCCCCAAAATCCTATACTATATTAACTTGTACTCTCACCAATAATGTGCTTGTTTCCTCATACCCACACCAAAACTAGACTTGTATCATCAGCCTGTTTTCAATTGTGTTTTGTTTTGTTTTGTTTTTTAGACTGAGTCTTGCTTTGTTGCCTGGGCTGGAGTGCAATGGTGCAATCTCAGCTCACTACAACTTCCACCTCCCAGGTTCAAGCGATTCTCCTGCCTCAGTCTCCCACGTAGCTGGGATTACAGGTGCCCACCACCACGCCCAGCTAATTTTTGCATTTTTAGTAGAGACAAGGTTTCACCATATTGGCCAGGGTGGTCTCAAACTCCTGACCTCAAGTGATCCACCCACCTTGGCCTCCCAAAGTGCTGAGATTACAAGTGTGAGCCACCATGCCCGGCCTTGCTTGCAATTTTTATGTTACTAATGAAGTTGGTATTTTTTATTTGTTTCTTGGCCAAATGTGTGGAATCTTTTGTAAATTACCTATTAATCTGTCCCTTTGCCTAAACAATATATGAATACTATTATTAATTTGATAGAACCTTAGATTTAAAGTGGCTTCCTAAAATATTACAAATTCTGTTAACTAAGGATAAAATGTTTCAGTCTTCACCTGAAACAAGGATTCTCATTTCTTAGACTCTTGTTTTGAATGTTTGCTTATTTGGATCCAAAATTCCAAAAAGTTGATGTTCTCCTCTTTTTAGAAAATAGAATCTCATGTCATACTTTGCAGATAGTTATATTATCATAATTTTCCAGATGGGGAATCAGAGCACGAAGTGTTGTACTTAGAGTCACAGAATGATTCACTAGCAGACATGCATCCAAAATCCATTGCTCTATCTTATTTTTCAATTACGTGCCCCACACTTTCCTCCTTCAATTCACTCCTCACCACAGTCTCATTTACTGAAATAAAGAGCCAGTTAGTATTCATAGGTTTTATTCAAACACATAAATATGTAAGTTCATGAAAGAGTGAAATGATTGCACCTAGGCTATAAATTATTTCTTGTTCGTGTTTACAAATAAGGTTTTAATTACTGTATACTTCTTGGTCATAGGAAAAATGACTTAGGAATAATTTTCCTCCAACCAAAATTTAGTAAGAAATAAGTTTTAGTACAGTGGTGTTTGCACAGAGAAAGAAACCTCAATGTGACATTGCTGCTGTAGTTTAAGAAAAAAAAAATAAGGTAAGCTGCAAGGAAAGGACTTTAAACTTTTATTACGGGAGAGGGTTTTAAGTGGGGGATGTTCTCCAGATCCAAAATATGGTTTCCCTAACTGCTATAAATATATCAGTCACTTCTTCACCGCCTCCATACGGCAGTGACCTTGTAGGATAGATGGAGTGGAGAGAAAAGCCTATTTCTCAGAAATGAGGAGTTGGCAGTGTGGTACAGCAATACCTTCTCTTTCACTATTTTCCGGGGACGACGAGATGTTATTAATACTGACAAAAATGATTTTAAAATAACTGCTCCTGTTTGTTTATTATGTGCTAATTACTTTGTACTCATTGAATTTTCCTAGCAGCCTTATGTTTCAGTATTTTTTTAAAATTTATTTTACAGGACTAAGCCCCAAAAAACTTGCGCAATTTCCCACAGCGAGTCAAAGTAAGAGCCAAGATTCCCATCAAGACCTGCCAGCTCACATGCAGGCTCTGTTCTCCAAGATGCTTTGCTGCCACTTCCATTTGGGGGTTCCGGGATGGAGAAGGCAGTGTGAGGTGCCCTTGGGGCACCTCATATGTCTTAGAGATCCAGCCCAGGTCAAGTCTGTCTCTTGGCTTTGCAAATTCAGAAAGCCAATGTTCTGAGCTGCTCCATCCAGGAATGGGGTAAAGCACTGGGCTAGGGGCATCCTCTGAGGGACCTAGCTGGCTGCTGGGGAAAATGTGTGTACAGACAAAATCCCCAGGACTGTGGAGGGGTGAGGAGTCAGAGGCCAGGTAAGCCACAGAGGTGGGGAGATGGGAAATACAAAGAGCATGCCACAGCAGATGTCTGGTCCACTCCAACCATCACAGCAGTAGGCTGGAAGTCACATCGTGGAGTGGTCAGGGTTCCCCAGAGGCCAGCCAAATGGCAACCAGGAGTCCTGAGGAACTAAAGCAGCAGAAAGGCCTCTGAGAGCCTTGCCTCCTCTTACTGTGGGAGACCAACCTGTGTGCGTCTGGACGCTTGCTGGGAGATCAGGGCAATCCGTGGGCTGGGGATGCAGGAGCACAGGGCAGGCACAGCTCTTGGAGGTGCGTTGACTGACCCAGCCAAGCAACCCTACTAGAAACGAAGCTGCAGGTTACTTCACCACCACAACCAATTAACCCTTGGGTTTAAATTTTTGGTTCACATTCCTGAAAGGATCCATCTATTAATTACGAGCCAACTCATTTCCACTTAGCCACAGTGGATTGGAACATGTGAGCAAAGGAGTCAGCCAGCAACCAATTAGATTCTCTCATGAGTTTTAAGAAACACAGAGAATGAGTGAGTCAGATGGTATGGGCATGGAGCTGCAAGGTCATGTGGAGAGCTGGCCGGAGAGCCCGTGAAGTGCCATTTGTGGCCCAAATTACAGGGGAGTGGACATTTAGAACATAGCAAAGGAAGCCAAAGAGAAATGAATAAAATTATATGTCTCTGGTGAGAGAGAGAGAGAGAGAGAGAGACAGAGAGAGAGAGAGACAGAGAGAGAGAGACAGAGAGAGGTATCTCATTTTACGGTTTCCAGTGAAGACAGGCTATTTCCTATAATTAACTCTCTGCAAGATTCCCCCCAGTGTTGATAATAAACCCTCTTTTTATTTGAGTTTCTTAGAGTGGATTGCTTTTCTTACCAACAATTTCTGACCCAGAAATTCATAAATTTCTGATTTATGAATAAGAATGCCATTGTATTCATGAACAATGGGATGCTCCTTTCCAAGGAAAATTATGCTGACACACATGGAAAATGTAATGAGTAATCCGAATGTCACTTTGTGAGAAGAGTTGTCAGAACCCAGGATGTTGGATCATCTCACAAGTTTGGTTCAGACTGAGGCAGCAGCTGGAGAATACTGCTTCCTAAGGAAGCAGAGAGAAACGAACAATTACTGAATATCTACAGAGAGACCCTTAGATGTTGAATATGGGTTATATCATTTAAATCTCACAACTCATCAGGCATGGTGGCTCACTCCCATAATCCCAGGACTCTGGGAGGCCGAGGCAGGCAGATCGCTTGAGCCCAAGAGTTTGAGACCAGCTTAAGCAAGATGGCGAGACCCCGTCTTTGCAAAAAAATACAAAACACAAAAATTAGCCAGGCATGGTAGTGTGTGCCTGTGGTCTCAGCTACCCAGGAGGCTGAGGTGGGAGGATCACCCGAGGCCAGTAAGTCAAGACTACAGTGAGCTACGATCACGCCACTGCACTCCAGCCTCAGTGATAGAGTGAGCCCCTGTCTGTAAAAACATAATAATTAAAAAACCCTATTATTTTATTGTAGAAGAATCTGAGGCTACAAGAAGTTAACAAAACTGCCCAAGGTCACAAAACTAGGAAGCCTCACAGCTGGGAATCAAAGTCTTCCTCTTCCTCTCAGGTACTCTGTCTTATAGGGACTAAATGCTAACAGCAACTCACCACAGCCCTTACCCCATTGAGCAGTGATGGTCAATTTTTGTATCAGCGTGGATGGGCCACTGGGCACAGAGGCTTACACCTATAATCCCAGCATTTTGAGAGGCTGAGATGGGAGGATCACTTGAGTCCAGGAAGAGATGAGCCTGGGCAACATAAGGGGACCCCTGTCTCTACAAAAAAAAACTTAAAAAAAAATAGCCATCTAGCTACTCGGGAGGCTGAGAGGCAGGAGGGTCACTTGGGCCCAGGAATTCAAGGCTGCAGTAAGCTGATTGCACCACTGTACTCCACCCTAGGTGACAAAGCCAGAACTGGTCTCTAAAAAAGCAAAACAGTGGGATCTCAAAATCAAAATGATTGAACTCATGGATATAGAGAGTAGAAGGATGGTTACCAGAGGCTGGGAAGGGTAGTAGAGGGCTGAGGGGAATGTGGAGATGATTAATGGGTACAAAAAAATAGAAAGAATGAATAAGACCTACTATTTGATAGCACAACGGGTCAATAATAACTTAGTTGTATATTTTACAGTAAACAGTGTAATTGGATTGTTTGTAACTCAAAAGATATATGCTTGAGAGGATGGGTACCCCATTCTTTATGATGTGCTTATTTCACATGGCATGCTTGTATCAAAACATCTTATGCACCCCATAAATATATATACTTACTATGTACCCACAAAAATTTAAAATAAAATAAATAAGCAAAACAAAATAAAACAAAAACATGGCTGGACCATGGTGCCCAGATATTTGGTTAAACATTATACTGGATGTTTCTGTGAGGGTGTTTTTGGTGACATTAACATGTAACATTACTCATCTGCTTGTAGTCACGCAGACTGCCCTCCGTAATGTGGGTGGGTCTCATCCAATCAGTTGAAAGCTGGAATAGAGCAAAGTCTGGCCTTCCCTGTGCAAAAAGGAATTCTGCTGGCAGATGGCCTTCAGACTTGAGCTGCAGCACGCATGCTCTCCACTCTCCGGATTTCCTAGCCAGAGGTCTCCAACCCCCTGGCCATGGACCGGTACCCGTCCGTGGCCTGTTAGAAACTGAGCCACACAGCAGGAGGTGAGCAAGAGCATTCCTGCCTGAGCTCTGCCTCCTATTAAGTCAGTGGTGGCATCAGATTCTCATAGGAGTGCATGTGAACTGCGCTTGTGAGGGATCTAGGTTGCGCGCTCCTTATGAGAATCATCCCCGTCACCCCATCCATGGAAAAATTGTGTTCCATGAAACCAGTTCCTGGTGCCAAAAAGGTTGGGGACCACTGTACTAGCCCATTCTGCAGATTTCAGATTGGGCAGCCTCTATAACCTCATAAGCCAATTCCTTAAAATAAATCTCTCTATAAATACACACAAGCTATTGGCTCTGTTTGTGGGGTGAACCCTGACTAATACAGGCAGCAATGAATAACTACTACTGGCACCTTTTTTTTTAAGTCTGTATAAGTTAGGGCCGTTACTTCTGACACCTCAGGCTTATAGGAAAGAACATTCAGAACCACAAAATAGAATACATCTGTTGCAAAAACTCCCCTCCCTTGTCTATTAGGTTTATTTATTTGTTTATTTATTTATTGAGATGGAGTCTCGCCCTTGTTGCCCAAGCTGGAGTGCAATGGCATGATTTCGGCTCACTGCAACCTCTGCCTTCTGGGTTCAAGCGATTCTCCTGCCTCAGCCTCCCGAATAGCTGGAATTACAGGCATGTACCACTATGCCCGGGTAATTTTTTTTTTTTTTTTGAGACAGAGTCTCGCTATGTTGCCAGGCTGGGTGCAGTGGTGGGATCTCGGGTCACTGCAACCTCCACCTCCCAGGTTCAAGCAATTCTCAGGCCTCAGCCTCCCAGGTAGCTGGGACCAGAGGCATGCGCCACCACCCTCAACTAATTTTTTTGTATTTTAGTAGAGATGGGGTTTCAGCATGGTGGCCAGGATGGTCTCGATCTCCTGACCTGGTGATCCGCCCACCTTGGCCTCCCAAAGTGTTGGGATTACAGGCGTGACCCACTGCGCCCAGCCGAATTTTTGTATTTTCAGTAGAGACGGGGTTTTGCCATGTTGGCCAGGCTGGTCTCGCCTTGGCCTCCCAAAGTGCTGGGATTACAGGTGTAAGCCACCAGGCCCAGCATATTAAATTTCATTAGATTCCATTTTAGAGTGACTTTTCTGACCTTGTCTTCAGATTCCAGCTTAGCTCAGTGTTTCAAGTAGTGGGAATATATAAATTAACCAGGATATTACTCGTCATATTTTAACACCAGCAATAATAAGTACTGATTCCGGGCCTATATTCTTCAGCACAATCACAAATCTCCATAACCTCCATCTGCACACAAGTGTCATTGATACCTGCAAGTGCCAGAGAGGAGATGCTAATTTGAAAACTTTTATTGGCTGTAATTTGTTTGGAGGTGGTGAACTGAATTACAAATCAAGCTGAAGGTGTGCTTTAATATTCTTCATTAGTATACAGAGTTGCTGGAAAGATGTAGGGAGGGTGAGTCAAGGATGAAACCTCAGATTATTCAGTCAATTATGCATATTCTATTTTGGAACACTTTTCTCATTTCAGGCAACCAATAATTCTTTTGGAGGGAAGGGGAAGAGCAAATGGACAGTATTTACTAAAGTTGCATTTTGAACCTTGTGCCAATGACAAGGATACTGTTTAGACAAATACTCATATTTTAATAAAATAAAATTAGGAATAATAACAAAAAAATACAAGTCCCATATATTTAGAAGTGAAAAGGGGTCAGGCACAGTGGCTCGTGTGTGTAATCACAGCACTTTGGGAGGCCAGGGTGGGAGGGTTGCTTATGCCCAGGAGTTCTAGACCAGCGTGAGCAACATAGTGAGACCTCATCTTGAAAGGAAAGAAGAAGAAAGAAAGAAAGAAAGAAAGAAAGAAAGAAAGAAAGAAAGAAAGAAAGAAAGAAAGAAAGAAAGAAAGAAAGAAAGAGAGAGAAAGAAAGAGAAAGAAAATGAAAGGAAGGAAAGAAAAGAAAGGAAAGGAAGGAAGGAAGGAAGGAAAGAAGGAAGGAAGGAAAAGGCTTACTTACAAATAATCTGTGAGTTGAAGAAATGAGAACCCTTAAAATTATACAACAATGAAAGCACCACATACTAAAACTTAAGTGATGCAAATAGAAGTAGAAAAAATAACTATACATTCTTATGACTGTCTATATTAGAAAACGAGATAGCAAATTAATGAGCAAAGCATTCAATTCAAGAAGTTAGAAAAAGAGTAATAGAATGAATTAAAAATAATAGAAGGAAGAAAAAATGAAGATGAAACCAGAAATTACTGAAAGTAGAAAGTAAATAATGGGATGATTACCAAAACCAAAACAGATTATTTGAAAGGTAAAAGGACAAAGCTCTTTTAGCCCCCAACCAAAGGAGAAAGCAGAGTAAGAGACCCACAAATGAATAAAGCCAGTTATAAAAAGGGTGATATAACTATAAACCTAGCAGAGAACTCAAAACCTATTTGGGGATTATGTAAATGGATATCATGCCAAATTCTGAAAACATAGTTGAAATGGAAAACTTGAGAAAAAAATATAAATTACTAAAACTTTCAGAGAAGGGATAGAAAATTTAGATAGACCAATAACTATTTAAACATTGAATCAGTCACCAAAAATTGACTCCTCAAAAGGGCATTAGGCCTAGATTTAAAAAAAAAATTTTATTTTGAAATAATCCTAGACTTAGAGAAAAGTTGCAAAAATAGCATTGAGAGTTCCTTTATAATCTTCATCTGACTTCCCCTACTGTTAACAGCTTACGTAACTACAGTACAGTTATCAAAACCTGGAAATTAACATTGGTACTGTAACAAAAAGACTAAAAACTTATGTAATTTTACTAGTTTGCCCATGAATGTCCTCTTTCTGTTTTGGTATTCAATCCAGGATCCTGGGTTGCATTTAGTTATATGTCTTCTTAGATTCTTCCAGTCTGTGACATTTCCTTGCTCTTTTCTTGTTTTTCATGACTTTGATACTTCTGAGTAGCACTGCTAACTTGTTTTGTAAAATGTTCCTCATTTGGGTTTGTCTGGTGTTTTCTTACGATTAGATTAAGCTTATGCATTTTTTGGCAAGGATATTATGTTTGGTCATTCTCAATGCATCCTACATAAAGAGGGTACCTGATGTTAGATTCTTATAACCGATAACATTATTTATTACTGCTGGAACAAATCTGGCCCTTAAAGCCTGCTTGATGGCTTCAGGATGGGGCACTCATCATGTTCCTTTTCTCTATGAAGAAGAGAACCTTGACCTTAAGGTCAAGGGATCTGGTTTTTTTGTTTTTTAACCTTAGTGCAGAGAGTTCATCATAATCATTTCAAGAGTTCCTGAATTCATAGCAAATTATCATGACCAGTCCATTAAAACCCCTCTCTTTCTTTATATCATTTTTAAGCCCAATGCCATTCGCATTACTTGAAATGCATCAGTACACACAATGACATCACATATTCTTAAGGACATTCGTATCCTTACTTACAGACACATCTCACACACTGGTGAGGGAGATGCACATGGGGACAAAAGGGAATCTGTAAATTAAAAAAAAAAAAAAAAGCCAAGAGAGGGGCTACCTGTCCTGGCAGTGCTAATCGTGTCCCCAGGTTGGAAGGATGATGAGAGCAGCTCTCTGGAGAGGTGGTCCATGGACGTGAGAGCCAGGCAAAAATGATGGGCAGAAACCACGGAGGGTCTATCCAGACCTACAAGCAACACCATGAGGCCACAGGGAATTTGCTGGACATGGAGCAATCTTTCCAGGCCTGTCTGCCCTTCTGTCCACTTTGAGTGTCCAGTGTTAACACGTTCAGATCCTGGTACCTGGGTAGCTTCACATGGAGTCACCTGGCAATTCCTTAGGTTCCTAGAAATATAAACAGCCAGAGTCTGACTGAATTTTGTCACTGATTTATTTCAGGATTGATAAAAAAAAGTAAATTGTTCTCCCTAGAGTGGTGTTCTCCTAATACATTCCATCAGGAAAACGTTCTCTTTTTCTGTGGCCAACCACTATGAAGGTTGTAGATTTTACAGAAGAACCAGAACTGAGGGCCACATCCTGGACAGTCCTGGCCACGAGCTTAAGTGATGGGGCTTGTCTGTGGATTGTCTTTGTTAGAAAGATGGATGCAACTGTAGTGCTGGTCACCAATGCTGGTGACACACGGCCTCTAGAAGCGGGCTAATCCAGTGGGAATCCGGCCAGACCTGCCAGAAGGCATTTTATTTTATTTTTAGCCAATCTCCTCCACCTTCCAGGTAGTCATCCACCCATGTATCTCATATATATGTTGTTAAATACGCCTGTATCTTTATGAAATATGTGTTGTGTTATGGTATGTGTGTAATCATTTCTTTCCCATGGGTAGTAAATGACATTGCACAAAGTCTGATACAAAAGTCTGGACTAATTTTTAGAATGTTAAATAGACTGCTTCTTCCACAGGACTTTAAGGTAATGTGCTGATGAATAGACTATGCAACTTTATTGCGTTTATATGGTTTTCAATGCCCTTTGAAATGTGATTAATTCTTTTAAGGATCATGGACCCTTATGACACTTAGCTCATAAATAATTAAATCCAATTAATACTCCAGACTGAACTAAACCTAATTTATTTCAAGTTCCAGTTCCAGCAGAGGAGGCCTTGGTTCACTACTTCTGAAATAATATCACTACCTCACTCTATCTTCCCTTCAATTCATTTGAGTACTAAAACATAGGTGACAAAAAGGGGAAGTTATGCATGTAGAGTTTACGTTAAAATATAGTATTTTATTAATTTGAAAAATGTTAAAATTCAGAAAAGTAGAGAGAATAGTAGAACAAACTGCATGCCTCCACATTTTTTCTTTAAAAAATAATTTATGAAGTATGAAATAATACATGAAAAGCCATTAAAATAATATAAAGAACATCACTATGCCCAGCCCTCAGATTAAAATCTTACAAATACGGTTGAAGGCACTTCCCTGACTCCATTCCCCTCCATTCTTTCACTGCCCAAATCACCGCTATTCTCAATTTTGTGTTTATTATTCCCATGCAACTCTTTTAGCTTTTACTACTCATAGAGGCATCCAAAACAATAGTATTGTTTTGTAGATTTTAAGCTTTGTATAAATGAGATCATACTCCCAATATCTTTCAACTTTTTAATTTTCAGTGATTTTTTTCTTGTTAATAACTATGGCTCTAATTCATTCCAACTCCACTGCCACCTGTTTTTAATTGCATGATTAAAATTTATTTTTGTGATGACCAACGACGTTGATTCGAACATTCTCAAACACATCCTCTTTTGTACATATGAAGGAATTTCTCTAGAATATGTGACCATGTGTTTATAGACAGCAAATCTAAGTTTAAAAAGAGCAAAAACTCAGCCTAATTTTTCCTTAATTATGTAGAGCTCTGTAAAATGGTAGAATATATGAGGCTTCTAATAAGACAGACCTGATAGTGATAAACCTCATATTCCATTGAGGTCCATTACTTTATACCTCTCAAATATAGTTTTTGAACCCAAGGTAATTTTATTAAGTTGGAAAAAAGTCTAAATTCAATCATTTATTTTGGTGTGAATTTTAAAAAGAAGAAAGAAAGTGAAAGAAACAAATATACATAGCAGCAAAATGGAAAGAAATGTTCTACCTACTGGCCTCCGCAGAGCTCAGAGAAAGGCCTCCCTCTGGCCTCCCCTAAGCATAGAGAAAAAAAAAAATAATCAGAATTAGGAATTCAAAATGCCCGGAAAGCCAAAAGAATGCTTCTTTCAACACTTTCTGCAAAAGCCGTATGAACTGGGGAGGCATCTTCTCCCACCTCCTCACTTACGACAACCTACCAACCTGCAGAGAGAGTGCCTTGCAACCGTGATGTGGGCTGAGAGTGGTGGTTCATAACCTTTTTTGCACTATGGATGCCCTATGACGACTACCACTAGCACTAATACCTCTACCATTCCTACTCCTATTGCTGACCTGCATTTATTGAGAGTTTGCCATATGCCATGTTAAGCAAACTCCACTTTAATGCTCAGAACAACCGAGTATGAAGAAATCATCATGCTGTTCTCTGTGCAGAGAAAGAAGCTAAGGCACAAGAGAGGTTAGGTGACTTGCTCAAGATCACCCAACTAATAGTTAATGGCAGCCTGGCTAAGGATTGTGATCCAGATCTCTGTTGGCTCCTGAGCTTACTTGTGCTCAGCAGCTCTGCCTCACTGTCTTTTTGATAATACATAACTGTTATCCTTGATAACACTTTATTAGACAATGCCTGTTATGAACACTGCTTACCACCCAAAAATAGATGAAAATGAAAATCATTGGTCATTCTAATAGAGGTGTTATACTTTTTAAAAAACTGCTTTATTGAAATATAATTCACATACCATATAATTTACCCACTTAAAGCATATGAATTCAACAGTTTTAATACCTTCACAAAATTGGACAACCATCATTGCAGTCTAATTTTAGAATATTTTCATGGATCCAGAAAGAAGCCCCATATCCATTCTCCCACCCTGCAATTCCCCAGCTCTGGGAAACAACTAATCTACTTTCTGTCCCTATAGATTTGCATATTCTAGATGTTCATATAAATGCAATCATACAATATATGGTCTCTTGGAACCAGCTTCTTTTTAATTTTTTATTTTTAATTTTAATTTTTTTTTTAAATTATACTTTAAGTTCTAGGGTACATGTGCACAACATGCAGGTTTGTTACATATGTATACATGTGCCATGTTGGTGTGCTGCAGCACCCATTAACTCGTCATTTACATTAGGTATATCTCCTAATGCTATCCCTCCCCCATCCCCTCACCCCACAACAGGCCCTGGTGTTTGATGTTCCCCACTCTGTGTCCGAGTATTCTCATTGTTCAATTCCCACCTATGAGTGAGAAGATGTGGTGTTTGGTTTTCTGTCCTTGTGATAGTTTGCTGAGAATGATGGTTTCCAGCTTCATCCTTGTCCCTACAAAGGACATGAACTCATCCTTTTTTATGGCTGCATAGTATTCCATGGTGTATATGTACCACATTTTCTTAATCCAGTCTATCATTGATGGGCATGTGGGTTGGTTCCAAGTCTTTGCTATCGTGAATAGTGCCGCAATAAACATACGCGTGCATGTGTCTTTATAGCAGCATGATTTATAATCCTTTGGGTATATACCCAGTAATGGGATGGCTGGGTCAAACGGTATTTCTAGTTCTAGATCCTTGAGGAATCGCCACACTGTCTTCCACAATGGTTGAACTAGTTTACACTCCCACCAACAGTGTAAAAGTGTGGAACCGGCTTCTTTCACTCAGCTTGTTTTCAAAGTCCATCCATGAGGCTGGGTGTGGTGGCTTACTCTTGTAATCCCAAAATTTTGGGAGGCTGAGGCAGGAGGCTCACTTGAGCCCAGGAGTTGGAGATCAGTCTGGGCAACATGGCAAGACCTCGTCTTTACAAAAAATACAAATATCAGCCAGGCGTGGTGGTGGGCGCCTGTGGTCCCAGCTACTCAGGAGGCTGAGGTGGGAGGATCACTTGAGCCTGGGAGGTCAAGGCTTTAGTGAGCCCTAATTGTGCCACTGCACTCCAGCCTGGGGGACAGAGTGAGACCCTGTCTCAAAACAAACAAACAAAAAATACAACAAGAAAGTTCATCCATATTGTAGCATGTATCAGAACTTCACTCAGTTGAATCATATTTCATTGTATGTATATGTCAAATTTTGTTTATCCATTGGTCTGTTGATAGACATTTGGGTTGTTTCTACTTTGGGAGTATTTATAATGTTTCTCTGAACTTTCATGTATGTATAAGTTTTTCTGCCCATATGTTTCATTTCTCCTAGGAATGTAATTGTTGGCTCAAATGGTAACTCCATGTTTAACTTTTTGAGGAGCTTCCAAACTGTTTCCCAAAGCAACTGCACCATTTTACGTTCCTACCAGCAATGTATGAGGATTCTGATTTCTCCACATCCTGGTCAACAGTACCTGTTGTTTATCTTTTTATTATAGTCATGCTAGTGGGTGTAAAGTGTACCCACTTTGTCCTTCGAAGCACAAAATGTTTTAATTTTGATGAAGTTTCATTTATCTATTTTTTTCTTTTCTTGCTTGCCCGTTTTGTCATATCTAAGGTCAAACCTTATTTTTAATAAAAATATTTTTAACAAATGAAAATCAGAATATATTAGATAAATCAATTTGTATCCAATTTTTTAATATCATATTTCATTGTAAGCATTTTCAGCTGTATTTACCTAAAAATTCCCACCACCCCCCCATTTTACTTTATGTTTATGCTGTCTAGTTTTATCAAGGCCTCAGAGATTTAGTGGCATTAAAGAAGAAGCTGGAGGGCCAGGTGCGGTGGTTCATGCCTGTATTCCCAGCACTTTGGGAGGCTGAGGCAAGAGGAGTGCTTGAGCCAAGGAGCTCAAGACCAGCCTGAGCAACATGGCGAAACCCTGTCTCAACAAAAAAATACAAAAATTAGCGGGGCATGGTGGCACACGCCTGTAGTCTCAGCTACTTGGGAGGCTGCAATGGGAGGATGGCTAGAGCCCCTGAGATTGAGGCTTCAGTGAGCTGTGATTCTGCCACTGTACTCCATCCAGCCTCGGAGCAAAGTGAGACCCTGTCTCAAAATAAATGAATAAAATGAAATAAAATAAAATAAAATTAAAATAAAATAAAATAAAATAAAGGAGAAGAAGAAGGTGGAAAAACATTGGGGGAAAAAACTATCCCAAGCCAGTAAAAACACTCGGGAAAAAAACCAACACCTCCAAGTCAGTAAAACTCCATTCCAAAAATTTAACAATATTTTTATTTTTAGAGTAATATAATCACATCACAAAAATGTAATAAGTATAGAAAAAGAATAAAAGTATCCATACGCTCATCACCTAACAGCCCTATCATTATCTTTTTCATGTATTTTCAAAAAGCATATTTTTGAAGAATTGCAATCATAAATATATTCAAATTGACATTCTGCTGTTAAAATTTAACCCACCATAAGATTTCTTCCATGTTTTCCCCTAGTTTTTCATAACTATCATTTTTTACCACCTGCAGAATATAACAAATGAATGTACCATAATTTACATGTTCTTTTATTAGCTATTCCAATTTTTTCAGGGTTCTCTCCTCCCTCATTTTTTTCTATTATGAATAATGCTTAGATGATTATTATTTTTTGCTTGTAGCTGTTTCCATGTTTGAGATTATTTCCTTAGGATACATTCCTACAGCTGGAATTGCTAAATTGAAAGTTATAACCTTTTTTGTGCCTCTCAATTTATATTGCCAGATTACTTTACAAAATGTTTGAACCACTTTAAAATGCTATTGGTGATGATTGATAATGATTCTTTGGGTACTATCATTTAAAAAATGCTTTGCTAATTTGAGTGGGGGAAGAAAAGCTCCTTGTTTTAATTTGTATTTCATTTTATTACTACTTAGATTATACTTAAACATCTCTTCTTAGGTAGGGCTTTCTAGTTTTGTTTTCTTTTAAGTTAACTATCAACGTAAGGAATACGGACCTGTTATATATTAAATATGTAGTTATCTATTTCTATAGATATGTGTATAGATAGATATTTCAAGCAATCTGGTATCTTTAAGTTTTATTTCAATGGGAAATTTATGTTTATAACTTTGTCATAGAGATATAACTCCAGTAAATTTATTCTATACTGGCTGAATCAAGGTCTGTAAATTGGTGAGTTTTTTTCCCTTCTAGGCAGAATAAGGGCACGTGGGGTGAAAAGACAGATTAGTAAAAAAAATATTCATGTAGATAAGGTATTATTTTGCTTAATATTGCTCATGTTAAAATTTTACAGCCAAGTTCCCATCATTTTGTAGACATCTTTTAGTATGTAATTATTTTAAATATAGCCTATTATTTTAATTATCTCTAATTAAAAGCACTTTCACATATCAATGTGTATTCTAATAAAAAGGAACTTTGAATTCTTTCTATTTTACCATAAGGTCTCTATTTCTCTCTTTAAAGTAACTTTATATGTAGGCAATAAGTCCTGGGGAGTTCCTTTAGATAAGCTATGAATTTTAAAACTAACTCACATTTTTATTTTATTGTGCTACAAAAATAAATGTTAAAAGACTTTTCACTAAGTGTTTCTTGCCTTCACTAAGTACTTTTCTTTTATCTGATTATTCACATGCTGCTTTCAATGAATACTAACTACTTCTATTTGACATTCTATGTCATAGTGAGAAGGTGGATTCACCATATCCTAATTGTCATTATTATTCCATTACCCAGGTGGTCCTCAGGAGACCACAAGAATGTGTCCTGTTATTTGAAGTTACGGTCAATCATTACCACCTGAATTAATGCACAAGTAAGTTAAGTCATGAATATCCTGATTCAGAAACCTGTCTTGAAAAACTAGAGATAAGAAGGCATTTGGAGCAATTTCAGAATATATTTTTTCTCCATTGATTTTTAAAAGAGCCCAACAGAAGTTTACAAAATGGGTTGGGCAAGGTGGCTCACACCTGTAATCCCAGCACTTTGGGAGGCTGAGGCGGGCAGATCATGAGGTCAGGAGTTCAAGACCATCCTGGCTAACACGGCGAAACCCCGTCTCTACTAAAAATACAAAAAATTAGCCGGGTGTGGTGGTGGGCGCCTGTAGTCCCAGCTACTTGGGAGGCTGAGGCAGGAGAATGGCATGAACCCGGGAGGCGGAGTGTGAGGCGAGCCGAGATTGTGCCACTGCACTCCAGCCTAGGCAAACACTGCAAGACCCCGTATCAAAAAAAACAAAAAAAGAAGTTTATAAAATGATATCCATTTACTTACTACTCAACTTGGACTTCTCCCTTCGCATTCCCATTAATATATTATTCTAGGGCTGCTTTAGGAAGTTCTGAGAGTGGGCTCTCATTTCAATCCAAATGAGGGAAAGCCCAACTTACTCCCTCTGCTCCACTGCTCCACCTGCATTATTATATTCATCCCTTCTTTCTTTCCCTATTACTATCTTGATCTCATCAAGGCCTCCCATTCCTACCTTATTCCCTCTTTCTTGGTACTCTTTTTTGTCTTCCCTGCCCTTTCTTTGAATACTACCAAATAAATATCAAGCCTTACTTCTAATTTAATGGAACCTCATTTTTCTCAACTCCCATTCTTTCCTCCGTAGTAACATTTGTTGTTTTTATGATCATGCATTATCAAAGTAATTCATGCTCATTATAAAATCTGCAAAAACATAAACAAGTAGAAAGAAATGAAAACCATCTGTTATTCCAACTTCCAGAGGTAGCCATTTTCAATTTGTTGCTGCATTTCCTTCAAGTCTTTTTTTAATTAAAATATGTCTTAAAGAAATCAGGATCATAGTAGATACATTTTGTTTCTAGCTTTTTCATCTCGCATTTCATCATGAGCATTTCACTCATGTAAAATTTTAAATACATCACTGAAATGAAAATTGGAATATCTAGAAAAACAGGATTAAGAAAATGAAAATCAATCCTAGTTTTATCATCCCAAGATAATCACTTTAAATATTTTGATCTATTTCTGGTCTTTTTCTTCTATGAATATTTTTAAACGAAAACTGGATCATACACTACATACAGTTTGTGAGCTATGGGGTTCTACGTGAAAATTTCCAACATTTATTCAACACTCATTGAGTACTTATCCTTTTCTGGTTTGGGGGCAAAATGGCAAACTAGACAGAAAATGTTTTTGCCCTCTAGATCTTACATTCTAGAGGGGAAGAAAGAAAATACATGAACAAATAAGACAGATGTGATGCTCTTGGGATAAATGCTATGGAATAAAAGAAAGCAGGGTGAAGAACGGAGACTGGCTCTTTATATAGACTGGTCAGAGGAGAGTTCCATGAGTAGACCCCTAAGAAAAAATAAATAGAAATAAAAACATTGTATTGTTTTTCTGGATTTTGTGTTATTTGTGGTATATTTCAGCTTTTTAAGTGTTTAACTTGTGATTTCCTTTTTTCAAGTAAATAGATATTTACCATTGTCACAAATTTTGCATATATTTATATATTTTTCTGAGACAGGGTTTCACTCTGTTGTCCAGGCTGGAGTGCAGTGGTGCCATAGGCCCATTGTGGCCTCCACCTCCCAGGCTCAAGTGATCCTCCCATCTCAGCCTCCCAAGTAGCTGGAACTACAGGTGCACACCACCCCAAGTAGCTGGAACTACAGGTGCACACCACCACACTCAGCTAATTTCTGTATTGTTTGTAGAGATGGTGTTTCACCATGTTCCACAGGCTGGTCTCGAACTCCTAGGTTCAAACAATCCACCTACCTCAGCCTCCCAAAGTGTTGGGATTACAGGCAAGAGTCACCGCACCTGGCCCAATTTTGCGTGTGTGTGTGTGTGTGTGTGTGTATATATATATATATTTTTTTTTTTTTTTTTTTTTTTTTTTTGAGATGGAGTCTCACTTTGTCACCCAGGCTGGATCTTGGCTCACTGCAACCTCCACCTCCCGGGTTCAGGTGATTCTCCTGCCTCAGCCTCCTGAGTAGCTGGGATTACAGGTGCCCCCCACCACACCAGGCTATTTTTGTATTTTTAGTAGAGACGGGGTTTCACCATGTTGGCCAGGCTGGTCTCAAACTCCTGACCTCGGGTGATCTGCCTGCCTCAGCCTCCCAAAGTGCTGGGATTACAGGCGTGAGCCACCGTGTCTGGGCCATTTTTATATATTTTTTAAAAAGTGGGCCCCTAAATTGCAACAGCTTCAATCTTCAGGAATCGCAGACCTATTCCTGGCAGTCCTGCCTGTGAGGGAGACTAGGAAATGTAACTTTTTTTTTTTTTTAAAGAGATGAGCTCTTGCTATGCTGCCCAGGCTGGAGTGCAGGGCTCGTCACAGGTGTGATCACAGTGCACTGCAGCCTCAGACTCCTGGGCTCAAGTGATCCTCCTGCCTTAGCCTCCCAAGTAGCTGGACTATAGGTATATGCCACTGCGCCTAGCTCATAGGAGATGTAACTCTTAAGGGAAGAACAGGGTTGGGTGGCACTGGCTCAGCAGACCAGAAACCCAACCTGGCAGTGAAAAAGCCAAGAAACAGATTCATGCTACGGAACTCTGGAAAGGCTTAGGATTTGGAGGCCCCAACTACATTCGAAAGGGAGGCTGAAAATAGGGGGATGGACTGAGTATGTGCAACATATATTTTCATTTGTCCAAATGAAAATAAATGAATTTAAAAATGTGTCCAAACTGTAAAGGGTTGTACACAGGTAAAGACTTATTCTTTCATAGGGTTATTAGATTGGTTCACCAGAGAAATGTGGTAGGTACTAAATCCAGACCTCAACAAAATATTTGACATTGTCTTTCATTGTACCCTTTAGGAAAGGTTTGAAAATATCAGTTAGAGACTGAGGTAATTAAGTGGGTTAGGGACTTGCTGAATGATTGTACCTAGGGATGCAGAACTAACTAGTGGATTGATGGGAAATTTCTGTTGGCCTGCTACAGGATTCTAGGCTAAACCCTATTTTTTTTACAACATTTAAATTCTTGTCAAATTTGCAAGTAACATGAAGTTAAAGATAGAAAACTTATCAGAGACAGAGACAGGATTGAAAACATCCTGGCAAACTAAAATTTTCAAGAAAAAATTTAACTGAAATAATTGTCTTATAGCAAAAATAAAATTTGCGAAGATCTTTAAAAATTATAATTTCCAGAGCTAACAAGAGTTTAGGAGAACAGGTAATTTCATATACTCTTAGTAAGAACATAAATAGGTAACTTTTTAAAGGAAATCGACAACATATCACAGGCTTTATTTATTTATTTGAGACAGAGTTTTGCTCTTGTTGCCCAGGCTGGAGTGCAATGGTGCGATCTCAGCTCACTGCAACGTCTGCCTCCCAGGTTCAAGCAATTCTCCTGTCTCAGCCTCCTGAGTAGCTGGGATTACAGGCACCCACCACCATGTCCGGCTAATTTTTCTATTTTTAGTAGAGACGGGGTTTCACCATATTGGCCAGGCTGGTCTCGAACTCCTGACCTCAAGTGATCTGCCCGCCTCGGCCTCCCAAAGTGCTGCTATTATAGGCATGAGCCACCGTGCCCGGCCCTATCACTGGCTTTAGAAACATGCATATTCTTTGACCCAGAAGGCCACTTCTGAGAACTCAAAAACGTGTAAAATAACAAAACCAGAGAGGTATATCCAGCATTATTCATAGCTCGGAATAACTATAAATAATATGTATATCTAATAAGATGGATTTCTAAGTAAATGATCACATTTACCCAGGATAAAGTACTACATAGCAACAGTTGTCAACTGGGAGTGATTTTGCCCTCTAAGGGACAAAAATGTCTGGAGACAGTTTTCGTTGTTATGTGCAGCAGAGTGGGGAGGTGCTACAGGCATCCAGTGAGTAGAGGTCAGAGGTCTGCAACATCCTACAATGTTCAGAAAAGCCCCCAACAACAATTACCTGACCCCAATGTCCATAGTGCCAACGTCGAGAAACCCCGTTGCATAGTCTTTAAAAATTATGTTAAGGAAGAATATCTAATGATATAGGAAAATACTCAAAATATCTTGTAAAAACTTATTTTAAAAGGTTACAAAATGGTAAGATTTTCGTGTGTGTGTGTGTGTGTGTGTGTGTATGTGTGTGGAAAAAAATGTTTAATAGTGATTCATGAGTACCAGGATTACAAGTGGTTTAAATCTCCTTCTGCGTGCTTTTCTGCACTTTTCCAGGTTTCTTATAACAAGTGTGGTTACCTTGAAAACAAGCAAATCAAAATATTCAGTGAAAATGAACTATCAAGGATTGGCCTTTTCTGTGGGCAGTGTGAAAAAGCTTTGATGGATAGTGTTGAAGGTGAGCCTACATTCTTAGATTAGATTAACTGAGATATAAGATTTGGAATGAGGAGTTCACGGTCCTCTCTACCCTGAGTGGGCCAGGTTTCACCTGGAGCCTTGTATTCAGGGCTGGGCACCACATTTTATCAAGCATAGAGGAGTTGCATATTTACGCTGTGCCTATTGTGCAGAGAAAGGGGTGTGTGTGTGTGTATGTGTGTGTGTGTGTGTTTATATTCCTTGATTTAGTAGAAATGATGATCTCAGTCTGATCTGATAAACTGAAAGTCATTTTTAGGTAAATTCTGGGATGACTCTGGGTGAATGCTCAGGGTTTCAGAGTTCCCCTCCTCCCTTCCCCATGAGGTGTGGACAAACTTTCATGTTGTCCTGGTGACAGTTAGGGAAGAGGGTCCACCCTTGGTCCTGCAGATCCTCCCTCCCTCTGCCGGTCAACACTGCACGGGGTGGTGGCTGCTGAAGCCTGAGACTCAGCCACCTTTCTTCCTTCTCTAGTCCTGGCTGGAGCCCTTTGTCTTCCACTCTCACTGGCACCACCTCATTGCCCCTTGTGCTGTGGATCCCTGAGGCGGGCCTGTGATCTCACCGAGGTCACACAATCTGGTAAGCTCCTTAGCCAGACTCCCAGACATTGTCTGCAACCTTCTGTGGAGGTCCAAGGAAATCCTGGGTCCTGGCCACACAAGAAGCAGGCCTGCCTGGAGAGAGTTTGACTCAGCCCTCCTGCTAAAATGGGTTGCTGAGTTATTTATTAACGGTGTGCTCTTTTTTTCCATGTATACTTTTTAGTTGGCAGGAGATTAGGGAGGACTTTTTATTTTGATGTAGTTTCAAACTTATAAAAAAATTGCACACATCTTTTGCCCAGATTCACCAGTTGTTTACATTTTGCCTTTTTTCTTTCTCTTCGTGTTTGTACTAATGTGTGTGTATGTGGGTATCTACATAGTAGATAAACAATTCAGAAAAACAAATATATCTACATAGTATAGCAGATACACACATACATACACATAGATACATTTGTTTTTCTGAATCATTTGATAATTTTTATATACAGGTTTAATATAATTCCTATCAAAATCCCAGAAAAATTTTGATATGGACAAGATTATTCCAAAATTTATATGAAAAGCAAAGGGAAGTAGAACAGCTAAAGTAATTTTGAAAAACAAAAGTAGTAGGAGAACTCAGTTTATCTGATTTCAAGGCATTTTATAGAGAAGTTAAGACAGGGTGGTATTACTGGAGGAATAGACACATAGATCAAAGGGACAAAATAGAGAGCCCAGAAATATACCCGTGTAAGTACAGCCAACTGATATATATTTTTTTATTTACAACTTTAATCTTTTGTTTTGTTTTGTTTTGTTTTGTTTTAGAGCTGCAGTCTGTTATGCTGCCCAGGCTGGAGTACAGTGGCTATTCACGGGTGTGATCACTGCACACTACAGCCTTGAACTCCTGGGCTCAAGTGATCCTCCTGTCTCAGCCTCCTGGGTAGCTGGGACTACAGGCATGCATCACTGCACCTGGCTTCCAGTTAACTGATTTTTTACAGAAGTGCAAAAGAAATACAGTGGAGGGAAGATAGTCTTTTCAACAAATGGCTTGGGAACTGAACCTTGACTTAAGTTTCACACCTTATATAAAAATTAACTTAAAATTGATCATATCTTTAAATGTAAAACTTAAGAAAAAAAGAAGAAAATTTTTGCTATCTAGGGCTTAGTGATGAATCCTTATATGTGACATCAAAAGCATAATCCATAAAAAAATTGTAATATTGGACTTCATCAAAATTAAGAAATTTTGCTCTGTGAAAGACTGTTAAGCAGATTAAAATACAAGCTACAGACTAGGAGAAAACATCTGCAAACCACATTTCTGACTGAGAATCAATTTAGAATATGTAAAGAAGTCTCAAAACTCAATAGTAATAAAACAATCCACTTAGAAAATGGGCAACAGACATGCAGTGACATTTCCCTAAAGATGATACACAGATGGCAAATAAGCACATGAAAAAATGTTCAACATTGCTAGCCATTAGGAAAATGTGAATTAAGACCATGATGAGATATTACTACATACCAATTAGAACAGCTAAAATTTTTTTAAAAAGTGACAATAGCAAATACTAGTGAGGATGAAGAGAAACTGGATCTCACACATTACTGGTGAGATGCAAATAGTACAAACACTCTGGAAAACAGTGTGGCAGTTTCTTTAGAAGCTAAACACAATCATACTCCTGGGCATTTATCCCAGATAGATGAATATTTATGTCCACACAAAGGTTATACATAAATGTTCACAGCAGCTTTCTTTGCAAGGCTCAAAACCAGGAACAGCCAAAACATCCCTTAACAAGTAAATGGTTAAATAAACTGTGGTACATCCATACCATGGAATACTACATAGCAATAAAAAGGAGCAAACTATTGACCTATGCAAAAACCTGGACGGACACTAACGACATTATGTAGAGTGAGAGAGGCCAATCTTAAAGGTTACATATTATATGATTCCATTTATATAACATTCTCCAAATGACAACATTGTAGGGATGGAAAACAAGTTAGTGGCTGCCAAGGTTTAGGGGAGGTGGAGAGGGGTGTGGATATAAAGGGGTAGCATGAGATGTCTTGTGGTGATGGAATAGTTCTGTATTTTGATTGCAGCGGTAGTTATGTGAATCTACACAGGTGATAAATGGTACTGTACGAAATTTCAAGGGACCCATCCAAAACCAAAACAATCTCAAAAAAGAACAAGGCTGGAGGACTCACACTTCCTGATCTCAAAACTTACTACAAGCCTATAGTAATCAATGTAGTACTGACATACAGGCAGACATACTGACCGATTAAATAGAATAGAGAGCCCAGAAATAAACCCTCACATATGTAACCAGATGATTTTCAACTAGAGTGACAAGACTACTCAGGGAGGAAAGAACAGTGTTTTCAACATATAGTGCTGGAAAAACTAGATATCCATTTTTTTTTCCTTTTTGAGATGGAGTCCCACTCTGTCACCCAGGCTGGAGTGCAGTGGCGCCGTCTCGGCTCACTACAACATCCACCTTCTGGGTTCAAGCAATTCTCCTGCCTTAGCCTCCCAAGTAGCTGGGATTACAGGTGCCCGCCACCATGCCCGGCTAATTCTTGTATTTTTAGTAGAGACAGGGTTTCACCATGTTGGCCAGGCTGGTCTCTAACTCCTGACCTTAGGTGATCCACCCACCTCGGCCTCCCAAAGTGCTGGGATTAAAGGCGTGAGCCACTGCACCCGGCCTGGATATCCATTATGTTACATAAAATACACATAACATAAAGTGTTATGTATGTTGTCTAGAGGTGTTTGGCTTCCAGGGACTGTTCTGTGCCAGGCATGGGAAGGTGATGCTTCTGGGTTCAGAAACTAGTTTGCTCCACCACAACATAAGAAGATATGGAATCTCATCTGGAAAGCATCAGGCCCTTTTAGGAAGACAAAGCCTATGCTCAGGGGTTACGTGACCTGCCCGCATCACACGGAATAACACAGGCACCAGCCCTGCCCAGAGGAGGCTCCCAGTTTGAGAGTGACTAGGCATTGCTGGTCAGAACCAAACTCTGTGCATTGTGCTCTTACTGTTTCCCATTATTTTATTGTTAAGACTCGAACAACAAAAGTGGTATCAGTGCCACTGAATTGTATACTCAAAAATAGTTAAAATGGTAAATCTTAAGTTATATATATTTTATAAAACAATGAAATTGGACCCTTACCTTACACTATACATAAACATTAACTCCAAATGAATAAAAAACTTCAGAGCTAAAACTATAAAACTTCTAGAGGAAAACATAGGAAGAAAGCTGCAAGACATTGAATTTGGCAACGATTTCTTGGATATAACACCCAAAGACTGGCAACAAAGGAAAAGATAAAGTGGACTTTATAAAAATTAAAAGTTTTGTGCATGAAAGGACATTATCAAGGGAGTGAAAAGACAACTCACAGAACATGATAAAATATTTGCAAATTATATGTTAGATAAGGGATTAATATCCAGAATGTATAAATAACTCCTACAAGGGAACGACACAAAACCAAACGATCCAATGTGAAAATGGGCAACAACTTAAAGAGAATAAGAGAATATCTTATTCTCCAAATAAGATAGACAAATGGAAAATAAACATATGAAAAGATGCTCAAGGCCGAGTAAGGTGGCTCACACCTGTAATCCCAGCACTTTGGGACGCTGAGGTGGGCAGATCATTTGAGGTCAGGAGTTCAAGACCAGCCTGACCAACATGGTGAAACCCCGTCTCTACTAAAAATACAAAAATCAGCCAGGTGTGGTGGCAGGCGCCTATAATCCCAGCTACTCAGAAGGCTGAGGTATGATAATCGCTTGAACCCGGGAGGCGGAGGTGGCAGTCAGCCAAGATGGCACTATGGCACTCCAGCTTGGGTGACAGAGTGAGGCTCTGTCTCAAAAAAAAAAAAAAAAAAAAAAAAAAAGATGCTCAAAATCACTAATCGTTAGGGAAACACATTTCAAAACCACAATGAGATGCCACTTCACACCCATTAGGATGGCTACTATTAAAAATGAAACCAAACCAGAAAATAACTGTTGGCGAGGATGAGGAGAAATTGGAACCCTCGTGCCTTGCTGGTGGAAACGCAGAATGGTGCAGCCACTGTGGAAAATGGTCTGTCCATTCCTCAAAAAACTAAAAATAGAGTTACCAGATGACCCAGTAACTCCACCTTCAAAAGAATTGAAAATGGGATGTCACAGAGGTATTTACTTGTACATCTATATTCACAGCAGCATTCTTCACAATAGTCAAAAGGTGAAACTGACCCAAATGTCCACTGATGGATGAATGGGTAAACAAAATATGGTATGCACATACAATGGAATATTATTCAGCCTTTAAAAAGGTATGAGATTCTAATACATGCTACATACTTTCAAGAATGAACCTTGAAAACAGTGTGCTAAGTGAAATATGCCAGATACAAAAGGATGTATGATTTTGCTTATATGAGGTTCCTAGAATAGTGGAATTCATAGAGACAGAAAGTAGAATAGTGGTTACCCGGGCTAGGAGGAGTGGGGAATGGAGAGTTATTCTTTAATGGTTATGGAGTTTCAGTCTGGGTTGATGAAAAAGTTCTAGAGATGGATCATAATGATGGTTGGACAACAATGTAAATGTACTTAGTGCCACTGAATTGTACCTTTAAAAATGATTAAAATGGTAAATTGTGTGCTATGTATATTTTACCACAATATAAAAAGGCATAGACATACACACCTTCACTCAGCTGCAGTAGCCAAATTTCAAGTACTCAATACTCATATGTGGCTAATGGCTATTGGATAACACTGGCCTAAAATAGAAGATTTTGGAGGTGACATATATTTGGTGGGACCATAAGCATAATTTGGTTTTGATAGATAGCTTAAGAATATCAGCTTCCTTCTTCTAGTCAACAATAAAAGAATGGGAAACAGTAAGAGCACAATGCACAGAGTTTGGTTCTGAGCACCAATGTGCACTCACTCTCAAACTGGGAGCCTCCTGCGGGCAGGGCTGGTGCCTGTGTTATTCCATGTGATGTGGGCAGGTGATGTAACCCCTGGACATAGGCTTTGCCTTCCTAAGAGGGCCTGATGCTTTCCAGATGAGATTCCACATCTTCTTACGTTGCGGTGGAGAAAACCAGCTTCTGAACCTGGAAGCATCACCTTCCCGTGCCCGGCGCAGAACAGCTCCTGGAAGCCAAACACCTCTAGAAGGGGAGGGAGCAGCATGAGGAAGGTAAGAGAGACAGGGTCCTGCTCGGAAGGCTCCAGTTAGGTGGTGATGGGGACTCACTGCTGGGCAAGGGGCACCAGAATAAAGATGGGGATCAGTTCTCCCCTAACTCACGTACTTCCTGCAGAGAAATCAGCCTGCAACGCAGGATCCAGGCGAACAGAGGAGGGTGATAGCAAGCCCTCCAGTGGGGCAGAGGGAGGAGGTCTGCACTAAACATCAGTGAAACCACAAAGAACCAAGCATGGTGACTGGGAGTAGAACTAACCCGGATGCCAGGGGGCGAGTGGAGGAAGAGAGTTCTGTCCGCAGGGGGAGCTGCCCAGAGCTGCGACGAAATTTGCTGAGGTCATGCCCAAAGTCAATAAATAGGGATGTGAAGAGGATTCCATTTCATGATGTGTTAAAAAATTTCTTTAAATCTATATTTGACAATATTTCATGTTTTTAAGTCTTCAAATAGAAGCTAAGCCAGGAAAATCTGAACTCTGAGGATGTGGAATGGCCAGAAAGTAAGCCCTGTGCCTCGCAGGTGGGCACTAGTGGTCCTCAGCCAGGAAGTGGCTCTTGTGAGATTATTATTGAAAAGGTGCAGTAAAAAAAACCCAAAAACAAACAAACAAAAAACTTTTTTGAAAAACACAAGCAAATATGTTCCCCCTACAAATACTCCAAATAACGAAGGAGACCCATGTCCAGACACACACATGCTAGAATGGTAAACACCTGTGTCAGGATTAAATGACACCTTGTAAGATGTTCATGGTCCCCAACAGGAAGGGACTCAATAATTGTGTTTCAATGATGTCTAAATGTATGCTTCTGTCTTTCATATCCAATCCTTGGGTGAAGTCCAGGGGCCACTGCCAAGGAAGTGGGTGCTTAGGGGAAAAGAGAAGAGCTGAACTGGCAGGAGGGTCAATTGGAAAGTTGGAGAACTGCACAGAACAAGGGCTCTCAAAACCTTGATTTCCCTTAATGAAACCACCCACAGTGGCACCATCGTCAAAACAGCTGTGAAGAACTTGGAGGCTCTGTCCTCCTCTCAGCAGATTCATCAGCAGGAAGGACTTAGGCCAGGAGGAAGGGAGCTGGGTCCAGGAAAGGAGGGCTGTTCCTGCAGGCCAAGTCCCCATCAAGGCCACCAGAGCGTGCTTCCAAGTACTGCAGCTTAAGCAACGCCCCCCTGAACTACTGGAGGAATCCAACTCTAGGACCGCTACTTATAACTAAAGACAAGATACTAGCACAAGGCCACTCTGCTGTCCATGGAGAAATACCACCAAGCAGACAAAACATGTTACTGCTGTGCTCAGGCTCTGCCTGCACCGCTGGGCACAGGGCTGGGGTGTCAGTCACGCAGGAATGCAGAAAGCAGGAGGACTCACCAGAAAGGTGGGTCAAAAAGGAGATGTACACAGGCAGGAGGCCGAGCAAGGCACCCATCCATGGAAAACGTGGCGTAAAGATTTGGGGTTATTATGGTTGGTGGTGGGGGCTGGTGAGCAGATCTAATATCTGCACCTCGAGAACACACCATCCCTTCCAGCCAGGGTGCACAGCAAGCAGCTGGCACAGAGCCCCCCTTCCCCCACTCCATTCATGCCCCTGAAGCGGCAACTTAATTTTCTTTAAAGGGAGATTGGGGAGGGAATGGAGAGACGAAGAGAAGACAAATAGCTGGAGAAAGATAAATACCTAAGTAAGTTCCAGGAAAACACACACAGAGGAAACACACCAATGCTGAAACCGCAATGATCCAGAAGAAGCTAGTGTTTGGTTACCATTTGCTTCAGCATCCCAATTTCCCTGATCATCTTTTGTTTTTTTCTTTCTTTTTCTTTTTCTATTTTTGAGACAGGTCTTGCTTTCTAGCTAGGCTGGAGTAGTCATGCGATCATAGATCATTGCAGCCTTGAACTCCTGGGCTCAAGAAATCTTCCCTTCCCAGCCTTACAAGTAGCTGGGACTATAGGCATGTACCCCTATGCCCAGCAACTTTATTTTCTGTAGACATGAGGTCTCATAATGTTTCCCAGGCTGGTCTTGAACACCTGGCTTCAAGTGATCCTCCCACCTCAGCCTCCCAAAGTCATTGATCATCTTGACGTATTTCCTCTCATTAGCTTGTCATTTTCCAGCAGGATATTCTGCGGTCCAGTTTCCCTGTTCTGCTCTCAAATGACTGACAGGGGGCCGACACCCTCAGGAGTCACCTCCATGCAGATGGGGCACTGGAGCACTGCTCTGTACCTCCCAGCAGAGGTGGTGGAATGAGGAGGATGTGAGTATCCACCTTTTTTAGTACAGGCTCCACGAAAATAAACCATACCACCAAATAAATGGTTTAATTTTATTTCAAAATTGTACAAAATGGCCATAAGCGGCTATAAAAAATTTGTCTTCAGAACATGTGGAAATTCAGAAACAACAAAACAGGTATCATTCACAGTGTAATGGAAAAGCTTTTTCTGAGGCAGGAATTATAACTCTTCCTTCTTTTTCCCTAGTCTTTCATGGTCTCCCTCCCGGAGGGCTCGAATATAATTGGTAAATCCCAATTCCTGCAGGGAAGTGGGAGAGAGAGAGAGAGAAAGAGCTTTAATCCCTGAGCTGGCTGTGCACTCTCTCTCCCCACACCCCCAGCCCCTCCAGGGGGTCACTCCTATGACAGGGAGAGGTGGGCAGACTTCTGCAAGGTGGAGAGGGTCTGCGTGGCTTGCACCAGCCCCGACCAGCAAGTGAGAAAACCCTCGGCATCTGGAGTCCAGCCTGCCTCTGGGGACAGGACATCTGTGGCAACCCCTTGGGACTCTCCTCCAACAATGTCAAGCCTCAGCCAGGCCCAGGGCCTGGGCCTCTCGGTGCAGTGTTCCAGCTGACTTCTGCAGTTTCTGGGATGCTGCCCAGTGCTGCCCCTCCTCAGTGGAAGTTTCCCTGCCCATCAGCAGAGAGAGAGCTCTGGGCAGACGCCTCTCCCCCACTTACTGTGCGGTCGCTGTCATACTTTTCTGCGAACTTCCCATAGTGGTAGTAGTGGAAAGTGGGGTAGCCCTTGACCGCCTCCTGCTGGCACAGGTCTTGGTTCTTGTCTTTGACACAGTCAACAGCGGCACAGGCAATCTAGGAGCCAAGGTAAAGAGAGTTGGCACAGGGTGTCCCCAGGCTGAGGCCTGGACCCCACAACACAGATTGCACATCTAGTCCACGTCACAGGCCCACTCTGATTTTTCTCCTCAGTGGCAGGTAGGAACTGAACCAAAGCACCCCCAGCTCAGGACTCCTTGGAGACTGATGGTGCTTGTTTTCAATTTCCAGATGGGTAAGGTTAGGGGACTCGGCCTGGAGTGCCTTTAGACTGTCCTTTAAAATCAAGAGTATGATGATCGTAAAGGAAATGATGACTTGAAAGCATTTGTAAACACCACAGGTTCTGTGGTGCTATCTGTAAGGGACTGTAGGATTTAATCATTTCTCCACTAATATTTCCGGAACATTAGCTTGGGGGGACAGTATAGTGCCAAGGTTAAGGGCAAGAGCTTTCAAGTCAAGTTCCCCAAGTGCACTCTTGGTTTGCCTGGACAGTAAGACTTAAGGAAAATAACTCAGCCTCTTGGTGCCTCATTTTTTTCAGCTGTAAAATGGGGATAATAATAGTATCTAGGCTATCAGGATATTGTGAAGACTGAATAAGAGAATTCCAGTGAGGCCAGTGAGCACAGAACCTGGCACCAGATTCATGGTCAGGAAATGTCAGCTGCTATTACAGTCACTTCTTCCAACCCCATATACAAGCTCTGTCCCCACTTAGGGGCTCAGTGTCTGGGCAGGGGTTGGATAAAGGGACAATTCCAACATGATGTGATGTGAGGGATGAGGGAGGTGGTCCAGGTGCCAGGTGAGTGGGGCAAAGGCGCTCTGTATGATTCGCCATCTGAGCCAAGACTGGAAGAGGAGGAGACCAGGGAAGCACATCTGGAAACTGGAGGAGCCCCGCATGAGTAAAGCCATCAGAATGTTTGGTCAGAAAGTGGTTCCCACATTGGCCACTGGCCTCTTCTTGACCATCTAGCAAATTCCACATGCTGGGTAGCTTTTCCTCATCATTTGTTGTTTTTTCAAAGGAAGACAGTATAAAGCAGAAATGGGGAACTTGTTTCCGGTTGAGGGTCATGCACCAGGGAAGCCCGAGAAGGGGTCCTCAATGGCCATACCCAGTACAGAGGTGTTATGGAAGATGGGGCAGATTCCCATGAGAATGAGTCCTCCTACCAGGCAACACACACTGAAACCCTGCCGTGTGCCAAGCCTGTTCTAGATGCTGGGGGACAACGTCGACCTTGACAAAGTCCAGTTATCAAGCGTCTGCTGTATGACAAATTAGATCATTTTAGATAGAGCTCAATGAATGCTTGGAAGAAATTAAAAGAGGGTGATTCAATAAGATAATTTAAAATTATTGAATAACCATGATTCACACAGTTCTTTGGTTGATGGTTATTTGCATTTGGACAAAGCCCCTTTCCAGGTAGGAGAATCCTGTGGGCCCCCATGGCCACGTTTACTCATCATGTCCCTCATGCCCAGGTGAGCTGCCAGATGGATAGCTGAAGAGAAGAGTGAGGTGCGGCCTCCCCTGGCCACCAGGTGCCACCTTCACCCCCCTCACCCTCACGCTTCCCTTCTACTCTTCAGCTATGTAACATTCTATACGGTGAGACTTTTAAAATGGAGTTTACAAACTTGCTGCCTGCAATCTGTATCTGGCTCTCAGTCCTCTTCTATTTGGCCCACATTGAATTTAACAACAACAAAAAAAATAAATCTGAATTAGCTCCAACATAGAAATGGAGCCAGAAGATTTAATACAACAATTTGGCTTTCCAGCTTCTCTTTAAAAGTCAGAAGACTTGATGGCACTTACCCTGCAGTCTCACAGGTGACAACTGGCTGGGCAGAGAGGCAGCTGTCCTTCAGGTAGGCTAAACATACCTTCCCCAGCACCCCCTGGAGCCCAGTTCACCCAGGCCAGCAGACTGGCCCCTATGCACTTCTGATAACCGCAGCCCACCTCTAACGCACTTTATTATTTAAAAACATGAGGCAGATGCTCCCCTGGCCAAATTGTGGGGTTCCATTTCTCAGGGCAGGTGCTATGGGGCCCTGCCCAGGGACACGGGCATCCACATACTTTCCTTCCCTGCAGCCAGAGGCTGAGGCCCCATGCCCAGCCCGGGCCAGGAGCTGCTGCTCCGCCATGAAAGTGCTGGATGAACATGGCTCTGGGCTGCTGCTCTCCCTGCATCTGCTTTAAATTATGAATTTAATTTGTATACAATGCCCTGGAGCTATTGGAAATATAGTGTATGGTTTTATAAATCTACTAAATTAGAAATGTATACTTGTTCTGAATCACCTAAACTAGCTGCCAGCCGCACACATGGAATGCAACTTCTAGCTGCAAAGGTGAATCCACGCGCGTTTTCCACAGAAGAAGAGACAAATGCGTCCTCCCCAAAGGCAGCAGCTTAGACTCTTTGGAAAGAAGGCAGCGAATAAAGCTCTTCTCAGCTATTGAAATTTCACCTAAATGCCTGTCCCCTTACACCCAACTCAAGATTTGCACTGATCACCTGCAACACAGAACACCTACGATTTCTCAATTTGTTCTATGGTGGTTGGTACAAATCCTGGGGCACACGCTGCTGGTGTCCTGCCACATCCCCTCAGACCAGCCCTTGCCACAGCACCTGCTACTCTCAGCCTCAGAGCATCCTCCCAGCCTCAAGGAGCTGGACGTAAGGCCAATGACAGATGGGGGTCTAGAACAAGGACCCTGGCTTCTTTGGCCTTTGAGTGGAACAGCTCTGTGTCACGTTTCCTGGTGAGGTCTCCTGTGGGACTGAGCCTTGGTGACTCATCCAGTCATCTGCCCATAAAACACCTGCTTTGGTTCCTCCCCTTTCGTGTCTCACTTCCAGGGTCCTCTCTGAACTTCCTGAGATCACTTCCCAAATAAATTCCCTGCACATGAGCCCAGGAGCAGGGTCTGCTTCTGGGAGAACTCAAACTCTGACAATGCCTGTTTGCGATTCTCACTCTGCCCCTCTCCAGCTGAGAAACTAGCATATGATCTCTCTAAGATTCAATCACCTCTTCAGCAATATGAGCACTGTAACAATACCTAGTTGAGCAAGCTATTGTAAGGACAACATGATGTAAGAAATGCTTTCAGTGGAAGAAGAGCTCGCAGTAAATATCAAATATGTTATATTGTTCCTTCACCTAGTCAACATTTACACAGGTCTAAGGTGTCATGACTGTGGGGAGTTCAAGGACAAATGAGGTCTCTGTCCTGAGGGAGCTTTCACTTGGAAAAGGCAGTAGCCAGCCTCATAAACAGGAGGACCTACATGTCATGGCCAGATTCCAGCAGTGAAGTGGGCCCATGGCAGAGGTGGGGCCCCCACTGCCTCAGGGCCTCCCTCTAAGGGTGACCTTCACACCTGGCCCCACACCACCCCCAGCCTGCACACCTTGACGTGCAGTGAAAGGTGAGCCCCCCACCTGCTTGCCAGCCCACCACAGGTCCTGTCTGCCTTGCCCCTTCAATAACACCATCTGTTCCAACACTAACACTTTGCATTCCTTTCCCCACCAGTGTGCCAACCGATAAAGTCCCCAAGTAAGCTCCCGGGAGGGGGTGGAGGCTCCCCTGCTAAAATATGAGCTGCCACACACAGCTTTATTGATTCAGTAAAATAAATCTCTGCAGGAGCTAATATTGACTTTGGCTATGAAAATGGAAGTGAACAACCAACTGCATATTGATTGGGATAGGAACAGGGGCTGGCTTCTGGGTGGAAAAACCCCACAATTCCAGCTAAGAAGTGGCAGCTTGGGGTGTCAGGAGACCCAGTTCTGGCTGTCAGTGACCCGCTGGGCATTCCTGAACAAGGGACACAGCTCCTCTCTGGGCCTGGATCCCTCACGAGTAAAGGGAGAGGGGACAGGCCAACAGTCCCCACACACCAGCCTGTGGCCAGCACAAGAGCCAGCTCTTAAAAACCACAAATTTCCAGCACCATCCCCCAGAGACTCTGATCTGATAGTTGTAGGATGGGACCCAGTAGTCACAGTGCCATGCCTGGAGCACAGAGTGGGCACCAGTAAGTTCAGCCCCCCAGGCCAGATGGCTGGCTTCCCTGATGTCATGAATATAACCTCCAGGAAACCCAGGCAGGCCACCTGCCTCAGACAGAGAGGTTATGAAGTGCATTCCTGAATGCAAGTGAGGGTGATCCCTGGCTTGGAATAAAGGAAGCTGAAAGGAGAGACAGAGGGAATAAGAGACAGGAGGACTGAACCCAGGAAAAGGCCACAACACCACTGGCCCAAGACAATCAAGCAAAGGTGTGTCAGTGTCTAAGCGGAGGGGAGCATCAAGGAAATGGGCCCCCATGTAGCAGTGCAGGGGGAATGGGAAGAGAAGACGTGGGCTCTCAGCTGCCCGCTGGAGGCCTGGCAAGTCTGGCCTCACCTGCACTGATGTGGGTCAGGCCACAGGACAGCCTCAGCGGCGGTCTAGTGGGCAGAAAGGGGCCACGTCAATGGGGCTGCCCCTTCAGGGTTTCCCCAGCCCCCTCGGTGCCTCAGCTGGACCACGCTCCCTGACACCATGCTCCCCAGCATGGCTGGGAGGGCAAGCCCAGGATCTGTCTGCCAGTCATGCCTCAGGACCCTCACAGATCTCCTGGGGCCTATGGAGACCTGAGTGTCCAGTGGGACAGGGAGATGGCACACCTCAGCCTTTCTCCTGCTGCCCAGAGCACCCAGCATTCTGGGTGGCACGTGATGGACGTCAATACAGAGTGGCAGCTATTCCGGTCCTGTGGACTGGCAGCCCAGGCCATGCTGGATATCGTGGGACCACCAAGCAGGAGCAACTACCCTGTGCTGTGCACAAGTGGGTGGGAACAATGAGGGACATGGACACGGGAAGGAAGCCCCTGCTGCCATACCCCACTCAGTGCAGGGAAAGGGGCAGGCAGAGGAGAAAACGCTTCTGGTCCTTGTACTCCCTTCTGGTGGGGGTGAGGGGTGCCTCAAAGCCGCAGCCAGGGCTTTCGGGTAACAATGGGACCTCCTGACTCCAGAGAGAGTCCTGGGCTCTGGGTCTAAGTGAGAATCAGGTTCCCAGTTCATCCCCACTCTGCCTGCATGGGCCTGTCCCCAGCCTGGCTTCCTTTGGCTTTATGTCCCTGTAAAGTTCTCATTACCCCATCTCTGCCACTGTCTCTGGGCCTGTTAAGGTGATCCTAGCACCTGTATCTCTGCTCCCACAAGGTCTGGATGGTACCTTTAGGCCTGACCTCCTGTTGGCCTTGATCAAAACTTCAAACCCTGCCCACCCGGCCCTGGGATGGTCATCTGTCTCTGCTTGTGAGGGCTGCTCCACTAATACCTGCTCCCCTTTCCTGCCTCGGCTGAACTTCCGTCTAGGCCTGCTTGGCCTGTTTATCATCTAGGACTCTATGCTCAGCTTATGCCTGGCCTTGGTTCCTTCCAGCCTGCCCTGGCCCCACCTGGGATTCCACCCAGGAAAGTAAGGCACCCCTGCACGTGACTCTGGGTTTGGGTGTGTGTGAATGCAGATCCCACGTGACTGCCAGCTTCTAGGGCCTGTTAGGCCAGAGGTTCCCATGACTGAGTCTCAGGGCTGGGAGGAATGTTTGCAGTCCTCTGCACCAGTGCTCCGCCTGGCATGGATGAGAAGGGAACTCAAAGGCTGGCAGTCAATCACACTTCCCCGAATTCAGGGGTATTTCCCTGCCCCACAAGCCCTCTCCCAGCAGAAGCCCCCACTGCACCAGCTGCCTGGGGGATGTGCCTGGGGGACGCGCCTGGAGGCCCTGCACTCTAATCCAATCTGCAGCTCTAGCTTGTTAATTTTATGCTTCATCAGTCGGCAGCTGCAGGAGCCTTTCACTTAGGCAGGGCGAGGCTCCACTGACATGGCCTTGCTCTCCTCCACCATGGCATCCTCCAGTTGACTTTTGTTGGATTTTTAAATTTGTATTTTTAATTATATAAGTAATGCATGATGACAATCCTACAGTAAAAAGGTTCAAACACTAAAAAAGTAAATAGATGACCCCTTTAACCATCCCTCTCCTCCAAGTAAGTGCTGGAATGGTTCAGCATATCCCTTTTAGTTGATTTTGCAGCATAAATCCAGCCTGCCCTATCTTCCTTCTAAAGAGAATGTCCTGGTTCCCAAGGAATTTCCTGCTTACAGGTCTTAGCAGACCTGCCCCTGTTTGGGGAAGGACCTGAATGACAAGAAGGAAGGTGTAGGAATTAGCTGCAGGCAGATCAAGAGATGAAGAGCGCTGTCCTTACCTTTCGGTCATCTTTGAAGGCATCAGCAGTAGCAGTAAAGTGCGGAATGACCTTCTTACAGTGTGGGCACCCTGTGTGAGAGGGGAAGAGAGCACACAGGACTGTGATGCATGTGCAGGGAGGCTGCAGGGCCAGGGACCCTTCCTGAAAGCTCCAGAGAGGGCTCTCCAGGAGCTCCCCACTGCCCGCCACACTGTCAGGGTCCTTTTGTCAACCTTGCCACTCTAACCACCTCCCACCCATGTCTGATCTATTGGTAGGGGGGACTGGTAGGAGTCCCTGTCACAAGCATCATATGCTCCTGCCCAGGCTGGGGGGCGATGGTCACTGTAGTCTAGTTCTGCTCCTTCCACAGAGGACGAGGAACAGCCTGATCTTGGGGGCAGAGGGAGCTTTGGGCTTAAAGAGGAAGGCACGGGATTCTCAGAGCCGCTACAATCTTCTCTTGCTCCAGGGACAATAGCAAATCTCTCCATTTCCTGACTGAGAGGAAGTGGCGTTGGGAAATGCAGGGTGGGGGGATTTTGGGGCAACTACTCTGCACCCACTGCTCATGATTTGCTGCTAACTTCTGCATTCCTAGCAACCTCCACCCAGCCCAGACTGTGAGCAGCCAAATCAGGCCCTGGTCCCCAGGTCTCCATCTACTCTTTGCTCTACAATAACCAGAACCTCAAAGCCAGGAACAGGAAGGCCATGGTCAGGGTAAGAGGGAGAGGAGCTACGGGAAGTCACCAGGCAGTCCTCAGGTCCCTTGATGCTCCCTGTCCCAGGGAGAAGGCTTGTCAGAGCAGCCTAAGGCCTTTGAGCTATACTGGGGCCCCTACCTCCAGCATCTGTCTCTTGTTCTGGGCATCACCCTGAGCCCCAACTCTGACCTCAGTGTCTCAGAAGCAGGGTAGGGACCTCTGTGGGGGCCACTTTCTCCTCCTGTCCTGGTGAGCCCAGGAGCTGCAGGCTGATCCAGCCCTTCCCTCAGCACTAACAGATCAGAACCCAAACCCCCCTCCTCTCTCAGCCCTTTCCCAGTCACTGGTGAACAGAACTGTCCAGGGCACAGAAGGGCTCTGAGGGGAGGGTTTCCCTGAGCAAGGGGAGGCTCCAGCCCACACCTCTACGTCAGCCAGCCTCCCTCAGCCTCGGGAAGGCAGAGATGCCACGGTGGGAACAG
The DNA here is from genome assembly GCF_000001405.40 of Homo sapiens. Lineage (NCBI taxonomy): Eukaryota > Metazoa > Chordata > Mammalia > Primates > Hominidae > Homo > Homo sapiens. Next base: position 123,153,870 of record NC_000003.12, on the reverse strand, counting down.
AAACGGCTTTGCTCATCTACTTTCTCCTTTTTAAAATAAGATAATAATGACTGGCATTTCAAAGGGTTTTGTGAAACCAAATTAAGGCTAAGCTACAAGTTTAATCTGAATTTAGTCCTTGAGCCAGTCTTGAGATGAGCAGGACCACCCACATGGCCTGGCTGGCAGAGTGGCCAGCTGGCCCAGAGCATTGTGGGGGGTGATGGGGGGTGGGGGTGTAGAGGGCTTTGCCAAGTCTCATGCAGAAGGAGCAGAAGAGACCTGGGCCAGTGATGGGTTATATCAGAAATGAGACAAGCACAGCTTAGCAATGTGCCTAGCACAGCCTAGCTCATGGCAGAGACTGGATGATTTTTTAATAGCCTAAAATGGAAATTACAAGTAACACTTCACTAATTTGACATAACAGAAAGAAAAATAGCTCAAATTCATGAAAATGTCACACTATAAAGGGATGATGTTATAAAATTTTCAAAACACTTAAAGAGCGCAATCTACTGGTTAACAAGGTATGTCACAGACAGCTCCTGCAGGCAGCTGCAGGCCCCTTGTGTGTGGCCTATGCCCATAATAGCATTAGGCTGGCGAAAATAACCACCCCCCTTCCTCAAAACCTGGTTTCACTATTAATTTTTCCTTTTTAACCTCTTTGTTCATTGAAAGTCTAAAGGTAACTGTCAGCCTAGTGTAAATTCCTGTTACCATCAATTTAAAATATCTAGGCCTCAGATTAATGGCTTTCTGTTGCATCTAATTTTCTCATTATCCGAAAGAAAGAGTGGGGCCAATGAGTAATGGGAGGGAGGGCTGTTTCAGAAAGTGCATGAAGATGCTTCCAAGAGGTGTCAGGAGGGCCAGATGTGGATGATTTTTTTTATTTAATGTAGGCTTAAAAAAAAAAAAAAGGCACTGCCTCTGTGTAGCAGAAAACCAAAGACGCCTCCCAGAGTGGGGAAAGAGGAACAAAGACTGAGGACAGGCTGGACAATTGCAGTTCTAGAGACTCCGCCAAGCTGGCCTGAGAAGGGCAGTCACCATGACCAGACCATTCAGCGTAAAAGGAACAATGAAACAGCAGGAGGAAGAGCTGTGCAGAAGCTGGGGAGACAGGATGCAGGGGCAGACATGGTGGGAGAAGGGATGTGGGAGGTGGAGAGATGTGAGGGGAGGTAAGATGTTGGGGTGAGGCAGCTAGAAGGGGAGCAGGAACGTGTGGGTATGCTGCTTTTCCTTTAGACCTCTATCAGGCATTTGACTTTACTATTTGACATTTCTGTAGTGTTTAGATCCTTCATATATAAAAAGTATATAGTATATGCCATATTTATATATAAAAATAGGTATTATTATTTTCATTATTAAAAAGTCAAAAGATGTATCTTTTTTGTCCTTGGAAAGTCTTCCCCCTGTAACCCACTGATAAAGATGTATGTCCCTGGGGCAAGGTTTAGGGACAGAAAAACGCAGTAACAGAAATGAAGAAACTCTAAGGACCAAGCCCTCTGCCAGAGGTTGAGTCACTCAGTGACCCTGCCCTGGATGGATTGTGTTTAGAATTTTGTCAGGGTAGACAGTGAGCCCCTCAAGGCCTGGCAGGGACATGTCTCCCTCCCTTGTACCCTGGGCCCTAGACACTGCACAGCACAGAGCTGATATTTGATGGGTAGGTGGAAGACAGGTGGGAAGGCAGGCGGGAAGGCAGGCAGGCTGGAAGGCAGAAAGGAAGGCAGGCAGGAAGGAAGGCAGGAAGGAAGGAAGGAAGGAAGGAAGGCAGGAAGGCAGGAAGGAAGGCAGGAAGAAAGGCAGGCAGGAAGGAAGGCAGGCAGGAAGGAAGGCAGGCAGGAAGGAAGGCAGGAAGGAAGGAAGGAAGGAAGGCAGGAAGGCAGGAAGGAAGGCAGGAAGGAAGGCAGGCAGGAAGGAAGGCAGGCAGGAAGGAAGGCAGGAAGGAAGGAAGGCAGGAAGGAAGGCAGGCAGGAAGGAAGGCAGGCAGGAAGGCGGGCAGGAAGGAAGGAGGGCAGGAAGGAAGGCAGGCAGGCAGGAAGGCAGGCAGGCAGGCAGGCAGGAAGGCAGGCAGGCAGGAAGGCAGGCCAGGCAGGCAGGCAGGCAGGCAGGCAGGCAGGCAGGCAGGCAGGCAGGAAGGAAGGAGTTGTAGATCTTTGGCAGCCCAAAAGGGTAAGAGTCTCTCCCAGATTCCCTGGGGATTCAAGCACCTGTCGGTCCCAGCAGCCAGGGTCAGGGTGGCGGGGGGCTTATGTCTGCTATGAAGGCCCCTCAGTCAGGGAGGAGCTGAAGAGAGGCAGAGGAAGCACTGGGCTCTGGTCCAGAGGTCTGGGGGAAAGTATTTCGTCTGGTCAAGGGCTTCCACTCCTGCAGCCAGGTTCTCACTTGCTGCTGAAAACACTCTCACTCTCTGGACTGTGCCTGTGACATAGAGAGAGCCATCCAGGCTGCGGGAGGGGCCTGCCACTAACTTGCCCCATGGCCTTGGGCAAGGCTCAGTCCTCCACCCCCTAATGCCAGAGGGAAGATGTCAGCTCCCGAAAATTTTCAGGCTTCTGGGCACACTCTACAGACCGAAGAGGACAGCCGGAAGCTCTGTAAGGGACTGGGAGAGGACAAGTCCCACTCTGAGAAGGAAAGGCAGAAAGAGATGGGCAGGGAGGCTGCCTCAAGGAGGGGCTGAGGCTGTGGCGGCCCCTCTCAGACCCTGAGAACACACAGACTCCACGGATTACTGACACTTGAAAGGTGGGGACGGGGGAGCCAACAGGAGGGCCAGCTACAACTGAGCAGGTTTATGGCTAGATGGAGCTGCCTGGCTTCTCTGTAGACTGCAGCTTTTATTATCCTCACTCCATTAAGCTGAGCTGTAACCTGGGGGAGAGAGAGAAGGGCAGCAGAGAGTGGGAAATTCTAAGAACCTTTCATTGTAAGTATCAATTAACAACTTCAAAATGGGAATACACAGAAACCTGAGGTCACCGATGCCAATGTCGGCAGACGTGTCACTTCCTCAGCTTGAGCTCTGATTAAAACGAGCACAGCACAGGAGCTCAGGAGCGAATGTGGCTGTGCCTATGCCACGGCTCCAGAGCCATCTGGAAGGGCAGGGAGAGGGGGTTCCAAGGTGCTGAAGATAAGTCAGTGTCTGGAGAAGGAAGAGGGGGCGGGGACAGCTGAGGGGTGGGAAGTGTGCAGGTAGGGGACAGGGGCATGGAGGAGCCCAGGGACAAGAGGGGACGAGCACAGAGGCAGAGGGCTTTAGGACAGACACGAGAAAGGCTGCCCCAAAGGAAGGAGAGCCCGACGAGTCTGACAAAAGGAGGCCCTGGATTTGAAGGACCTCTTAGCCTGGAATAAAATTGGAGAGCCTGGTTCATAATGGAGATGACCCTGGGATCCATCAGCGGCTGCCTTGGTCCCTGGGGTGGGTGTGCGGGTCTTTTTGGTTTGGTGGGGCCAAACCCCTCTTACTGTGCCACTCAGTGAGCACCCAAGCTACTTACAAGGGGCGTAGAACATGACCAAGGTGTGTTTCTTCTTCTTCAGGGTCTCCCGGAAGTTGTCCCCCACCAGGTGCAACACGCTTGTCTGCTGCTCTTCCCACGTGGGCTCTGGGGGCGGGGGGGCCTCAGGGCTGCAAGAAGCCAGGGGAGTGGGGAGGCAGCCATAAGGAGAGATTTTTAGATGGGCAAGGAAATCCACCCTCAATGTCCCAACCACTCGGGGGAACATGCATGAAGAAACCACTACAATCCTTCTAAAATTTCATTTTAAAACCACAGTTTAAACACAAACAAATCTGTGCCACCAGCAAAGACCTTCCCTGATTCCCTCTGAGGAGCCCATTAAGGAGCCATTTTGTAAAATATGGAAGACTTGACACCATTTCAGGTCAGGGCAGCCCCCCCAGTTGTGGGCCACGAACTCCTTGACAAGAGCATAGAGGCACCTCTGCTTGGACTCCCAGGCCCCTCCTTTCTGCCCCCTCTAGGACCCTACATGATCGTTCATTATCTTCTGGTTCTCAGCTTCTGTTCTGGTGGAGAGCATGGGCCAAGGAGTGAGGCGGGCCTGGGTTCAAGTCCAGATGACTTACCAGCTGTGCAACCTTAGGTAAGTTACTAAACCCCTCTGAGCCTCCGTTTTCTTTTCTGTTAAATGAGGACAATGGGATCTTTATGAAGAGCAGAGAATGTATGAAAAGCATCTACTCAGTCAAGGAACTAATATTTACTGAGAGCCTAGATGCTCTAATAAATGCCAGGCATTGGATAAATGTTATTGCTTCTCAGTCTCTTGCTGTCCACTGGGTCCCTCCACTCTGCCTCATGCAAGGATGGATCTCCAGGGTCTTGCAATAGCTTTTGCTCCCCTGCTTCCCTCTCTATAACTCAGCTCCCCTTCTTGGGAGTATTTCTGGGGAGAGGGCTACACCCACGCTGCCACGTCTCCCACTGGGCTTGTGCCACAGCCCCTGCACCAGCTGAGTGCAGCCCTCTCTGTGCTTCCAGTTCTATTCTGAGCCCTTGCAATTCTCAAAGATCTCATTCCTCTGCATGGCTCCAGTGATTTCCATGGCTGAGAAGAACTTAAGGCCTCACCTCTCATCCAAGCTCCTTATTTCCAGGTGTTTTTCAGGCATTTCCAGCTGGAAGTCCCATTGTAACCTCAAATCCACCATGACTTAGAACACATTACTCTTCCCTCCTCCTCCCAAATCAGTCTCCCTGCCTCTCACCTTCTCCTGTGCTGGTGACTAAGACGGGCCCCTCCCAGCCTTCCTCCCTGTCTTTGTCCTCCAGCTTCTCTGGTTCCATGGCTGACACCACTCATCTGACCTTTCTGCTCTGCCTTTTCCCTGAACACTGCCTCCCCAGGCTGGCCTGCTGGCAGGCGCATCTCAGTTACCCACAGCCTGGCAGCCTATGCACCTGCCTGTAAATGCCATCCACCTTTTCTGGCGCTGTCTGCTCGCCCTGCTTCTGGGTGACGAGTCTCAGTTCTCCACCCCCGAGCCATCGGCTGTTCACACTCCACCTGAAGGATCCCCTCCAAGTTCCCGGAAGAACTACTATTTGTCCCTGGATAGGGCCCTTAACCTCTCTGAACCTAAGTTTCTTCACCAATGAAATAGGAATTAAAAACTCTGGCCTCAGCAGGACTTGAGGATGAAATGGAGCAAGAGATAGGAGAGCATTCTGCAAAGGCTGGCTGCTGTGATCACTTATGTATTGATACTGTCAGTCATGAGAAGTCCACAATCAGTCATAAAAATAGCTTCAACCTTTTTTTTTTTTTTAAGACAGGGTCTCACTCTGTTGCTGAGGCTGGAGTACAATGGCACCATCCCAGCTCACTGTAGCCTCAACCTCCCGGCTTCAAGCAATCCTCCCACCTCAGATTCCCAAAGTGCTGGGACTATAGGCGCACACCACCATGCCCAGGTAATTTTTTTGATTTTCGGTAGAGGTGGGGTCTCACTATGTTGCCCAGGCTGGTCTTGAACTCCTGAACTCAAGAGATCCTCCTGCCTCTACTTCCCAAAGTGCTAGGATTACAGCCATGAGCCACCGTGCCCGGCCAGTTTCAACTTTTTTGAGTACTTCCACATCATGTCCTGTGCTGAGCACTTTTCACAGGAGTCTCATTTAATTCCCTAGACAAGTCTATGGGGAAATTACTGTCTCCATCTTACAGATAGGAAACTGGGGCTTAGAGGCATCAAAGAAATGGCTCAGGGTCACGATCTCAGCCCAGGTCTCTCAGACTCCAAAGCCCATGCTCTTGACCTAAAAGCACTTAAGAAAGTATTTAAACCTGAAAGCACTTAGCCTGAGTGCTTTTCAGGCTCTCAGTAGCAGCAGTGGCACACAGAAAGGACAGAGGCCCCTCATGCTCGCTGTTTGTGGCCAAGACTCTGGAGCACTGATTAGTGATGATCGACACTCTGGATTCCCTCGGCTCTCTAACCAGAAGTCCAAGCATCACAGGGACCTGGCCAGATCCCCCGCCCCACCCAGTCCTTTCCAGTGAACCAGCCCTGGCACCAGAGCAAGGCTGGAAAAGTGGGTGTGAACAAGCCACTTACTTCAGACACCAGAAGGCCTTGAGGGGTAAGCAAGCACCTTGTGCCTTTCAGAGGCAAACCATCATTTTCCTCTGGTCCCTAAGACAAAGGCCTAGCTACTTTCCAAATCCTCCCAGTGGATGAGCAGGACAAAGTGGGAGAAGCTGAGGCCAGGATCTCATCAGTCCATTCATCTCTTGCCAGAGGCCTCCCCTGAATCTAGTGGCAACTTTGCTGCCATTCCACAAGCTGGTGTTGCTTAGAACACCATGGCTGAGGGTCCCATTCACACTTCCTGAATAAAAGAGTCTCAGAGTCTATGCTTTAAATAAACACCTCATATCTGACTGATGTCCTAACAAAGTAGCTCAGACCGTATAGGTTCAACTGTGTCCCCCTCTAATTCATATGTTGATGTCCTAACCCCCATTATCTCAGAATGTGACTATATCTAGAGATAAATTATCCCTTTAAAGGGATAATTCAGTTAAGATGAGGTCATTAGGGTGGGCTCTCATCCAACATGACTGGTGTCCTTATAAGAAGAGCAGATTAGGTCACAGATACATATAGAGGGGTGGCCATGGGAAGTCACAGGCAGAAGATGGCCAAGGGGAGGGGCCTCAGAAGAAACCAACCCTGCCAACATCTTGATCTCTGACTTCTAGCCTCCAAAATTGTAAGAAAATAGGCTGCACATGGTGGTTCACGCCTGTAATCCTAGCACTTTGGGAGGCTGAGGCGGGTGGATCACTTGAGCTCAGGAGTTCGAGACCAGCCTGGGCAACATGGTGAAACCCCGTCTCTACTAAAAATACAAAAAATTAGCCAGGCATGGTGGCATGTGCCTGTAATCCCAGCTACCTGGGAGGCTGAGGCAGGAGAATCGCTTGAACCTGGGAGGTGGAGGTTGCAGTGAGCCGAGATCATGCCTCCAGCCTGGGTGACTAAGTGAGACTGTCTCAAAACAAAACAAAACAAAACAAAATTGTAAGAAAATAAACTTCTGTTATATTGTTATATTATATTGTTGAGCCACCTGGTCTGTTACTTGGTTATGGCAACACTAGCAAACTAATACATAGGCTGAGGGGGCTCTTCAAAATCTTTATCCTCAGTTGCAAACCACCATAGCCTGCCCTGTGGACATTACTGGAGGCCCAGCCAACCACTAGCAAACCTGGACGAAATGAGTCTAGCTCTGGCTATGAAGAGCTGTGTCTCCTTCATTTATTCAAAGGGAGTGGAATAAAATGCAGACAATAAGATCTGGGCCTAAGGAGGCTGAGACAGAGAAAAAGCAACACACGGTTTAGTGCGTCGATGAAGCTGCGTCCAGAAGGACTGCCAGCAGTGACCTGATCAAGACACGTGATCAGCATATGAACGGTGGTTTTAGGGTTGAGGAAGTCAGATCCGTCTTGACTCCTACGGGCATGAGCCCAGGACATTGACCATAAAGTTTACTTCACCTCCTCAAGGTGGTCTCCAGGGGCCGCCAGCTGGCAGTTAGGATGTGCTACTGAGATCGTAACACTTACTTTTGCATCCACTCGAGAAACTTCTTCTTTGTCCTGAGCACAGGCACTGCGTATTTCTCTCCATTCTTAAAATACTTCAACGTAGGAAACTCTGAGATGTGGAATCTTTCTGCCAGGGCCTTGTTGACAGTGGCATCGACAGCTGCAAGGACACCAGAGCTCTGGGATGGGGGAAAGGCCAACCATGCATTACAGCCTCAGATGCGGTGCTGGTGGAACACAGGAGCCCAGACGCTGCCCCCACAACCCATCCTGGACCTGCTGGAATTTAACTGGGGTGGCTAGCCCAGTGGGCTCCCATATCCCAGGGAACAACTGAACATTGGCACGGCCATCATTTCTCATTTATGAGCTGAGATGAGGCTTTTGAATCTGCCCCACCAGCCACGTTGAGTAGATTGGCACCTGTTCCTGTTAGCCAGGGTCCCAGAGAAAAGAGGGAGCAGGCAGAGGTCACCTGGATGGGCACGGGAACATGGGCCAGTAGTCTTTCTGCCCCCTCTAGGATCCCATCTGTCTAAGATGTTCTACTTGGGCACACAGAGGTACTGCTGGCCTCCACGGACCACGGGAGCTGCAGCAGGGCTTGCAGGGGAAAGTCATAATGATTCCACCTGTCAGTGATTCTTTCAAAGAGAACGGTGAGGGGGAAGGAAAGGAAGCTTACATCCGCTTCTCCATGGAGGGCTTCTGCTGCCTTCTCAAACTCCGGCTTCATTTTCTTACAGTGGCCACACCCTGTGGGGAGAGATCAAGAGAAACCATTCTTATGGCACAGAGGCCCTCGGGATGCTCCCCTGCGCCGCCTCTGTAAGGCAGCTCAGTCCCATTCCCAGACACCTGAGAAAAGCAGCAGCAGCACCAGCTCAAAGAAAAGAAATATTTTGCATAATCCACCAGAAGTGGGTTGGGGTAGTGGGAAGGTACCCCAGACACAAAAATAAAACAACTGCATAAATAATACGGGCAACTGGTGTGCCAGGTACTGACCAGTGCCTTACAGCCTCATAACTACCCCACAAAGTAGGAACTGACATTATCTCCATTCTATGGATTAGACAATTGAGGCACCAAGAGGGCAGGTGACTGCCCAAGGCCATATACACAGCCATGGTCACAGAGCTGGGTTGAAAACCCAACCATCTGGTGAGAGGCCCTAGCTGCAGGCAGCGTGTAGGTTGTGGCACCATGCTGTGATCACCATCATCATCTTCTCTGGACAGAAGGCAGTCTGAGGCCTTGAGCTGGGCACAAAAATTCACAGAAGCATAAGTATGGGACATAATTACATTCTAATTGTCCCCATATGACATGATGGGAATTTTTTGGGATAGAAACTGCTCTGTCCTTTTCTTTCTTTTTTTTTTGTTTTGAGATAGAGTCTTGCTCTGTCTCCCAGGCTGGAGTGCAGTGGCGCCATCTCTGCTTACCGCAAGCTCCGCCTCCTGGGTTCATGCCATTCTCCTGCTTCAGCCTCCCACGTAGCTGGGACTACAGGCACCCGCCACCACGCCCGGCTAATTTTTTTTGTACTTTTTCAATAGAGATGGGGTTTCACTGTGTTAGCCAGGATGGTCTCGATCTCCTGACCTCGTGATCCACCCACCTCGGCCTCCCAAAGTGCTGGGATTACAGGCGTGAGCCACCGCGCCCAGCCTGCTCTGTGCTTTTCTTACAGCTGCATGAACACAGTAAGATGTCAGAAATAATAAAATTTGATGCATTAAAAAGAAATTAAGCACTTTGTGTAAATGACAGACCTTGACATTTGTACATTGTTTTCATTTTAATAGAAAGAGTACTTTCTGGCCTCTGATGCTGGAGGGACTGGGAGGTGAGGGGTCTGCAGACTGGCTCAGGATGGAGGCTGCTCAGAAGGTAAGCCTGGCTGTGCGGGGACCATGCATTAACTAGGATCAGCGGATGACAGGTCGTGACTCAACCTTCTCAGGGGTGTGCCACTGTGTGGGAGCTGAGAACGCTATAATTCTACTACTGATTGTTAGGAAAAAGAAAGACAAGAAGAAAGCAAGACAGAAAGTCAAACAGTGTAATCAGAGGAGACCTCCCACTGAGCTACGGAATCGGCTTTCCTGCCTCCAGCTGAGCACCCGGCAGGGGTGAAAGCTCCTGTCTCCTCCTCCAAGGCCATTTCTGCAGAACTCAGCTCCAGGTGAGACATGAACCTGTCTCGTTCTTAATCTCTCCATTTCACTCCTGCCTGTACCTGGCTTCCTCAGCTCATCCTCACCCTGTCCCTCCCAGGGACAAGGGACCCCGGAGTGGCTACTCCCCACTTAACTGATAACAGAAAACCAAACTGATCCTTGAGCTCCCAGGCAGTGTTGTGAAGCTCCTCCTCTGGACAGAGCACTGGAGACATGACTCGGTCAAGGGCACTGACCCTCATGGAATGCAGCCCAGGGAGTGGCTACAGTGCTTAGCCACATCAACATGTCAGCTCTTCCCAGGTGGATCCAAGGAAGAGAGACACTGCTAACCCTCAAGTGGGAGGCTCCACAACAAGAAGAGGAGGAACTGCTGGGTATACAGGCACCTCTGCTGCCATTATCTAGGGAGCTGCCTACTCCTGTTGGGCTATGATGCAGAAGAAAGGGTAGAAAAGGCATCAGCCCTTAGAATCTTCCAGCATAATGACAGAGAGGACCATGGTCTTTGGTCCAGAGGGGAATAGAGTGGCACACATGATGCCTTCAAGGGATGAACCAGAGGAAGAGCACTCCACCTGCCCTGGCAGCCCCAGGGGAGCCGGCAGCTGCTTGTAGCCCTATTACATATTGTACCCACACTACACACTCATCATGCTGGGCTCTAGGTACCAGACAGTGCCTCTCTTTTTTTTTTTTTTTTTTGAGATGGAGTCTCGCTCTGTCACCCAGGCTGGAGTACAGTGGCACACGATGTCAGCTCACTGCAACCTCCGCCTCCTGGGTTCAAGTGATTCCCCTGCCTCAGCCTCCCGAGTAGCTGGGACTACAGGCATGTGCCACCACGCCCAGCTAATTTTTTGTATTTTTAGTAGAGATGGGGTTTCACTGTGTTAGCCAGGATGGTCTCGATCTCCTGACCTGTGATCCACCCACCTTGGCCTCCCAAAGTGCTGAGATTACAGGTGTGAGCCACCATGCCCAGCCCCAGATGGTGACTCTCTAAAGGTGGGACCTGAGGTTTTTTTTTACCTTGTACCTCCCCATGAAGCAAAAGGATCACCATTTAATAGATACATGATAAATATTTACTGGTCAGCAATGAAGAGACCTAATTAAATAATTAGTAGACAACTCCTGGGTTGACCAGGGGCTTGAGAAGACCTCCTGGAGGTGGCAGATGAAAGGACACATGTGGGCAAGTTAGAGACAGAGGACAGAGGACCCAGTCAGGAGGGCAGGGGCAGCCTCAGAGAAATGAGGACGTCCCCATGCTCAATTCAGCAGTGCAGAATTCCGCTGCCAGGGCTGAGCAAGGCACATAGCCCCAAAAGTGCTCCTAAGGGCTCCTCTGGGACTGCTGAGCTCGGCCCCCCCAGAGGCTGCCCCTGGGCTGGGCAAGACAGCCTGGCTGTTCCTGGCCTTGTTCTCCACAGCAGATATTCTTAATGTCCCCTGCAGTCAGACATTGTGGAGATCATGATCAAAGTGGTAAACCCTTCTTCCAGAAAAATGCACATAGGGTTAGATGACTTTGGGAGTTCACGGTCTGACTAGACCCCACTTGGGATCCCCCCATCATAAGCTGTAGAGGTATCAAGGTCATCATTATTTTGAATGACAAGAATATCACTTTCCAGAAATGAACATTTAGCATCATCATGAGCCATGTGTTACCTAAATAATCCAGTCACAAAAGGGTTGTTTTGGTAAGTTGGCTGTTTGTTTTCCCCTCAGAAACAATTTTACACACCGATTACATGCAGATTCCCAGGGGCAACCGCAAAAGCCCATTTAATAGGATGCACCTGAAACATAAAAGCACGCAGTGCTATTTGTATTTCCCTGAGCCTGCTCCCAATGGGACAAGTGCAGCCCGCGATCCAGTGGGGACAGCAGGCAGGCCGCTCCCTCTAGGCAGCGACCCCCACCTCAGCAGTGAGAGGAAGAACTCCAAGAGGGACCAGGGAGAGCTGGGGCAGGAGTCTGTGCCTCCCAGGCACTGACATTCTTGAGATTGTCACAAAAGCCTCTCCTCCCCTTCCCCACACTGATGCATATACTCCACATGTATGTACAATTCCAGAGGGATCCTGGACTACCTGAACTTGCTCACAGAACTGGGGTTAGGAGCCCAGGACAAAGGAGACCACCGGACTCCAAGCCAATCACTGTCCAATGGGAGGCAAAGCGGAAGAACACGGAGAGCTGATGCACAGGGGCCCAGGCTTAGATGTCTTTCCACACTGGCCCACATGTCAGGAGTAAATGGAATAATCTGCAGAAGGTTCTACTGACTTAATATGAGGTATATTAAGATTAAAAAATTATTTTTTTGCTTCTCACTAAAATAGAGTGGAGTAAACCATCCTTTGGGGCCACGGTCAGGATGAAAAAGTTCTACAGCTCTTAAAGGGATCTCCCTGCCCCGGGGGCAACCCCAAGCTGCTGCTCCCTGCACCTGTCCAAGGTGAGCCCCCCACTCTCCTGCTTTCAGGCTGACCTCCCCTGACTGGGGCAGAGTGAGGGGGCTCACCCTGCATGAACAAACTGCAGGAGAAGGAAGCTCAGAGACTCTCCTGTGGCGGTGAGTCTATCGCCCGAGAGTTCAACCTGCTCTGGAGAGATGTGAGTGGTCCATGCAAAGTCCCCAAAGGTCCACTGCCCTGAGACAGACTGACTCAGCCCAGCAGCACATAGTGGAGGACACACTGGGAGGCCTCGGGAAATGCAGGCATGAGGCCCTGGGTGGCCTCCAGGGAGGTGGGAGAGGCAGGAAAGAGAGGCTCCCTTGACCACTCTCCCCATACCCTCCATGATATGGATGGTGCTGTTAGGCCAGCTGCTGGCAGGGCCCATGGTCAAGATGGACAGTGGGACTGGAGTAGGAATCAGGGGAGGGAAGACAAAGAAAAGCCAGCCATTGCCATTCACTGAGAATCACTGTTGCTTTCTAAAGTGACCCTGTTGATGTGGCAGGACTCCTGAAGATGAGAATTCACTGTGTGCTGGTAGGGAGGTTTACTTCATCCCTTTATCAGGCTCCAGGCCTTTGATGCCACTGCCCTGCCAGGGTGGCAAGTGGGTTTCATTCCACCTGCCAGCTTCCATCAGCGGTGGGCCTGAGACAGAGGCTGAGTCTGAGAACTCGCTCACTGGGAAGAGGAGCTGTGACCAACTTGCAACGTCTGCCACAGGCATGGGAAGCCAGCTGGGGTCAATACCAGGAGACCTCCAGTTTCCGCAGCTCGCACACATGGCTGTCTCCTGGGCTTTGGCCTCAGCTCCCAGAATTCCCCACCTCTATAAGGAAAGCACTCGCTGTCTGTGCTGGGCTTCCACACTCTATCGCAGCAGCCCCACCAGACACATGACACAGCTCAGTAGGTCCGTTTTACAGTGCCAGAAATTGTAGCTCTGGAAGACGAAGTGACAAATCCCCCAGGGCCATCACCACCTGCCACCTCTTCCTCCCAGCCCCTGCTCTGATGGATAGGCAACATCCACCCTGGACAACCCCTCGCAATCCTACCTTTGTTCTGGCCCCTGCTTTGAGTCTTCCCAGTTCACTGTAGCCCCATCGAATGATCTGTCTCTCTTCTAATTACAAAATACTTCTTATTCAGATATTTCTATGGCATTTAATTTTGTGTTGCTTTGTGACTGTGATATTGCTGTCTTCTGATATTTAAGGGCAGCCGGGGTATATTTTCAAAACATCAATCAGATCAGATCCCTTTGCTTAAAACTTTACAGTGGCTTCCTATCACAGGTAGATTCAAATCCAAACTTATTATGGCTACAGACCCCACACAAGCTGAGTCCTGCCTACCTTCAACCTCAACTCAGGTCACTTCTACTGCAGCCTCTGGCTCTCCTCTTCTCCCAACACACCAAGTTCATTTCTACCCCAGGGCCCTGGAACATGTTCTTTCCTACCCACCTGGAGCATACATACCAACATCTTCCCCCAGGTCTGTATGCGGCTTACCCCTCTTTACATCAGCCACTCAGGCTTCCACTCAAATTTCACCTTCTAGGAGACCCTCCCTGACCACCTATCCCAAAGGCGCCTCATGCTATCATGCCCTCTCCCAATATCCTGTTTTATTTTCTCAATTGTACTCAAAGCAGCTGGAGTAATCTGCTCACTTGTTCCCTGCCCATCCCCTCAACTGGAATGGAGGCTCTGTATGTGCAGGCAGGGGCTCGGCTGTCTTGTCTAATTGGCCACCATATTCCTGATACTGACCACGCTGCTCCACACGCTTTCTGAATGAATTAGCCTCATGACTTGTTAGGTTGTTAGGTTTACACCTGTACACACAAGGTTTGGCAGGACTAAATTCTTTATGGGCAAGGGTCATGGCTTGCACTCAAATAGTCGTTAATTTGACTAAACACCTCTAATTAGTAGAACTGGCAACCAAGCCAGTTACTATGCACATCCCCTCTCCTCTCCTCCCCACTACCATCTTTGCGCCTCCTCTGCACCTCACTAGGAGAAAAGTGTCTCCCAAAATCTCTAACATCTAAGGATGCTGTTCTAAAGTTTCCCATACATACCCTAGAATTCTCTTGATATTGTTAAGGTTTTCAATTCTAGCATCAATTCCCTCTGACCCTGAATAAGACACTAAGGCTAAGCAATAAACTTCTGCAAACAGAGTTTAAGATGAGGAGCCTGGCCAGGCCCAGAGGAGGAGAAAGGTCTGGCTGAGAAAACACCTCCCTTCCAGACACCCTCCTGTCTTGGGGAGCCGTGGGTGATGGATAGAGCTGGCGGTGACCTGAGGACCAGCCTCCTGGGCCTGGCCTTCATGATGTCCCTGGCTGTGGGACAGTTGGAGGAGGAGGGTTACATGCAGGGAGCGGGACTCCGGCCCACTGCATTTTGTGTCCTGATTGTGATTTGAGAGGCCATTAAGTTTTATTGCTAAACTTCCTTGTTGGGCTTTTATCATCTGTGTAAGTGCACTTACTCCGATTTCCGTGATCTGGCATAGAGGTCTGCACATCAACTCCTTGATCATGCTCTTTTCTGGCTGTGGGAATGTTGGCTTCCTGTCAACCCAAAGCCCTCGGATTCGTCTGGATTTCATTAAATTCAATTATACTTATGATTTTACTACAGGCCAGCTATAGGGCTTTCCTGGATGCTGGAACCAGAATTTCCCAGAGGACCAGATTAATCTGTAAAGCTCCCTGGTAGCCAGGGTACTGGGGTAGTACTTGGGCCTCTAGAAGAGCCTGGTTCCTGCCTTGCTTGGAATTTGGCTTGGGGCATGCCAGGGAGGGAGGGTTTCCTACAAATGCCAGCAGAAATACGGGCGTGGAGGGGCCTACAGAGACCTCAGAGCTCTTTTAAGGCTTCCAAACGCATAAGCACCAAAGTGGACTCCTTGACAGTTACAGGCATCTTGGGGCAGACTCACACACTCACAGATGCCTCTATTCATCACATGACCCCTCTTCTTATGCAAAGAGTTTGTTTTTTCCTTTATGTTAGCACAAAATGTGGATAAACAAGCTTTTAAAATTTTACTTCTAGGTTCCTATCCTAAGGAAATAATCAGACATGTAGACAAATATTTTTGCATTAAAATGTTCTTTGCAGCATGATTTATAATGGGAAATATGGTAAACAACTCAAACCTTCAACATTATGATGCTAGTTAACCAATTTACAGTGTCATTATATTCTACAGCAGAATATTATGTGGCCACAAAAAGCACGTACAAAAAAAAGCATTTTTAATAACATATGAAAATACCTACAAGATAATGTTAAGGGGACTATGTAAAGGAAAAAGATGCATAGAAAAGACTTAAATAAATAAAATTAGGGCCAGATGCAGTGGCTCATGCTTATAATCCTAGAACTTTGGGAGGTCAAGGCAGGAAGATTGCTTGAGGTCAGGAGTTTGAGACCAGCTTGGGCAACATAGTGAGACTCCACTGCTATAAAAATTTAAAAAATTAGCCAGGCGTGGTAGTGTGTGCCTGTAGTACTAGCTACTTAGGAGGCTGAGGCAGGAGGATCACTTGAACCCAGGAGTTTGAAATTGCAGTGAGCTATGATTATGCCACTGCATTCCAGCCTGGGTGACAGAGTGAGACCCTGTCTCAAATCCCTTCCTCCCACCTGGCACAATAGACAAATGAAAAATAGAGATGAATTAAAGAAAGAAATTAAAAAATAAAAACATTATAACAAAATATAGGGCACTATTTTAATATCCTAAGGGAGAATTTCCTAAACAACCCACAAATCCCAGAGGTCAGGATGGGAGAAGGCAGACTTGCAGAATGGCTCAGTGGTTAGGCTGTGGCCTCTGGGACAGCCTGGGATTTCATCCTGGCTGCACTTTTTGGCTATGTGACCTTTGGCACGTTTCTTGACCTCTTGGTGTCTCCCCGTCCTTACTTATAAAATGAGAATAATTAATCATGACATCAAATTCACGAATTTTTTATGAAGACTAAATCTGTTAAAATATGGAAAGTACCTAGAACAACGCCTGATCCATAGTAAGTGTGATCAGTGACCAATAAATATAATAGCTATTACTCAGCTACAAAGGATGTAAAGCTTTGTACAATGAAAGGCACCATAAACAAAATTAGAGCAAGAAATAGACTAATGGAACATGGAAAACACAGAAAACAGATAAAGATTAATATCTATAATTGTAGAGTTCTAGGTCAAGAATAAAAAGACAAATAAATAAAAAGACCTAGCAGAAAAATGAGCAAAGTGTATGAATAGGTGGTCCATGGAAGAAACATGAAAAGCTGATTATCACATGAAAAGATGTCCAGCTTCCCTAGAGGTCAGATAGCTGCAGACAAGTTGCTGTTTTGCCGAGCTTAGCAGAAATATAAAAGGCAGATAGTATCCATGGCTGCAAGGACAAAGGCTCTGTCACCCGCTGGGTTTGGGAAAACCTTTCTGTAGGGCAATTTGGTAGCATCTGCCAAAGCTCAAGCTTACTTACCCCAGGGCCAAGGAAATTCACTTTTAGGAATTAATCAAAAATATTTACACATTTTCCCAATTATATATGTTTACCAATGCTCACTGTATTGTTTGAATAGTGAAAAACTGGAGATAAATACAATACCTATCAGTAGGGGAATGGTTTAAAATTTCTGGCATATCCAAATTATAAAATACTATTCAATGGTTAAAAAGATTGAGGTAGATTTATGTGCCAATATCTACATTTACATGAAAATATCTTCGAGACCTATTGACAAGTTAAAAAAAGCAAATCACAGAAGAATGGATAGGAAGTAGTCCTACTTATGTTAAAAAACAAAAACAAAAAACCCAACCCCCTTTTTTTTTTTTTTTTTTTTTTTTGTCTTGTCACCCAGGCTGGAGTGCAATGGCATGATCTCGGCTCACTGCAACCTCTGCCTCCCGGGTTCAAGCAATTCTCTTGCCTCAGCCTCCCAAGTAGCTGGGACTACAGGCGTGCACCACCATGCTCTGCTAATTTTTGTATTTTTAGTAGAGACAGAGTTTCACCATCTTGGCCAGGCTGGTCTCGAACTTCTGACCTCATGATCCACCCGCCTTGGCCTCCCAAAGTGCTGGGATTACAGGCGTGAGCCACCATGCCCAGCCAACCAACCCCCTGTTGTTTAGGTAGAAGCACTGCGGAAGGAGAAGGAAGGATCCATCCTCTACTGTGAGTGGTGACCAGCCCTGAGAAGGGGCACGGCGTGGAGAGTGAGGGATTTTCACTGTCTGCACTATATTCTTATGTATCCCTTGAACCTTGCACTGCTGATAACAAGAATGCTGTTAATATTATTCTTAAATTATTTGTGCAATTAGAAAATACAAGTGGCCAAGTGCAGTGGCTCATGCCTATAATCCCAGCTGCTTGGGAGGCCGAGGCAGGAGAATCACTTGAGCCCAGGAGTTCAAGACCAGCCTGAGCAACATAGGGAGACTCCATTTCTACAAAAAGAAATCCAAAAAATTAGCCAGGTGTGGTGGCCCGTGCCTGTAGTCCCAGCTACTCAGGAGGCTGAAGTGGAAGGATCATTTAAGCCCAGGAGTTTGAGGCCAGCCTGAGCAACATAGTGAGACCCTGTCTCTAAAAAAAGAAAAGAAAAAAAACAGAAATAAATAAATGAATAAAATAAAATGACAGCATGAAGGCCCTTCGTGGCATGATAGTTACACAAATCTATACATGTGATTAAAAAAAAAAAAAAGGTCGATTTTATGGTATCCTCTTTTAAAAAATAAAAGTTAAAAATAAGACCAAAAAAATGAAAAAGACTAGCAAGAATGATGCCAAAAAGTAAAAAAAAAAAAAAAAAAAAAAAGTTGTTACCTCTGGATAATGGGGATTATAGGTAGTTTCTTTCCTTAATCACCTATATTTTACTATACCTTCTAGATTTTCTACAAAGGTTATATATTGCTTTGAGAATAAGACAAAAATACAGTTAAAAGCTTAAAAAAAAAGATGACAGCAGAAAATCTTGAGTCTGATGGGGACCTGCTGCCAGAAACAGCCCGGCTCCTGGAAGGCAGTGCAGATACATGCTGGAGGCAAGATATGGCAAAGAAAACATCCCATCTCAGACCTGTTGCTAAGGAAAATGGGTCGATGAGTCAGGGGGTAGGCAAGGGTAGAGCCACGTGGCCCCCAAGAAGCCCTGTAGCACAGGGGAGAGGAAGAGCAGGGGGTCCTCAGGATCCCCAGAACCTGCATGGGTGTCCACAGGCCTAGGAGAGACGAGCTGCTCAGGAACACCCCTCTCTGGGATGCCCCCCTTGCTCCCCTGAACATCCCCATATAAATGATGTCTACTCAGGTAGTGCCACAGCAGCTTGTCCTTCCCCTGCTAATGCAGACCTGAAGTTACTAGAGAGGGACAAAAAACAGTGACAAGAGGAGATGAGTGGCCACACACACTCTGACTTCTCTCATATGGAACGCCGCAGAAAAACACAAACAAAAAGGTGCCACGGGTGGCAGCAGCCACTGTCCTCCTGACACACCATTTGCAGAGAGCATCTCCGTCGCCTGCAGGGTGGGAAAACCGGGCCTGGGGCTGCATGTGAGGCCCCACTGTGAGGACCAGAGGGAGGTCAGGCACGAAGCCTTGCTACAAACGGGAAGCCAAGTGCTAGCAAGAGAGGCGGCTCCTGGCCTTGGGTCCAGGCAGCACCACAGACACACCCCTCTCAGAGCCCTCTGCTCACACTCGGCCTGTCCTGCCCAGGAGGCCCGGCCCAGCTCCTGGGGGACAGGGCTGTGGGGCAAACCTGGCTGTAAATCTCAGTGTGGCCTGTGGCAGAATAGAGATCGCCCATATGAAGGGCCTAGCACCGTGGCTGCCCTGGGCTCATTTATTTAGTGACAACTTAGGCATCAGTTGGAGAGGCCACTGAAGTATCTGTGGAGGGTTTCTAATGGGCTCTTGCTGGGAGAGAGAGGGAAGAAAGACAATGGGGAGATGGGGGCAGATGAGGTGGGAAGTGAGTGGCAGGAGTGCTGGGAAGAGGGTAAAGGAGCAGGGCCCATGGTGTCTCCAGGTCAGTCATCACTTACGGTGATGGGTAACACAGAACGGGGAGGGGTGCCGTGTGCCTTTCCTGCTGAGAGCCCAGCAGGGCAGCCTCACAAGCATCCCATCAGTTCCAGGCAGAGAAGCAAGTGCCTTGCCTCTGGAACCCACAGGTGCCAGAGAGCACCCCCCTGGGGTGGCACAGGTCAGAGGAAAGCTGAAGACCCTTTCCCTTCCTGGCCTTTCTAAGCAGGACCGGGAAAGAAACTAACATTGACTGGGTACTTACTACAGGCATAGAAGCAACAAAGCAGACCAGCCTGGGCAACAAAGTGAGACCCCGTCTTTACAAAAAATTTAAAAATTAGCCAGGTGTGGCGGTGTGCACCTGTAGTCCCAACTACACAGGAGGCTGAGGTGGGAGGATCACTTGGGTCCAGGAGGTCGAGGCTGCAGTGAGCTGTGTTTGTGCCACTGCACTCCAGCCTGAGTGACAGAGCAAAACTCTATGTCAAAAAAAGAAAGAAAAGAAAAGGAAAAGAAAAGAAAAGGAAAAGAAAAGAAAAGGAAAAGAAAAGAAAAGAAAACAAACAACACTGCAAAGAAAGACCAGGTTTTCTCTGGGAATCAGTATCAGGAAGCATTTTAATTTTCTTCTCTATACTTTCCTATATTATCCCTTGATAAAATGTACATGTATTACTTTTATAATTAGCATAGAGTCATAAAAAATAAATCAGCTTTTTAGTTTGAGCCCCACTATTTCGGTTTGTTGGGGTACTTCAAAATGTCAATGCATGGTCTGACATTTCAGCTGGTCAGCCTTTTCCCAAGGCTAACCCTGCCAAATGTGAAAGTATGCCTTTTTATAGCATTAACAAAGTTGCTGATTAAAAACAAGTACATACCCTCTAGACAGACTCAGGCCAGATTCACAGTCACAATGTATCCAGGGGATGCTTCCCCTCAGGGTAGCTCCATCCTGTCTGATTCTCCCCATCACAGTGAGGAAAACAGCAACTCATTTTGTCAAATGTCTTGATAAAAGAAAGACACGCTAATTCATCAAGCTCAGCAATCCTATCCCAAGAAACAAACCAAGCGGCGCATTCAGCGATCTGGAGTAGAAGCTGTGGTCTGCTATGTTGATGGATCCCAATTTGTTTCTGTGAGTCTCTAAAATGGTCTGTCTCCAAATCACTCCGTATTTGGCCTGGGACTGACACCTGGAACACTGTGATTTCCAGAATTCACCCTTTCTGCACTTAGGAAACGCAGGATGACACTGCTGGTCTCTGGCCTCTTGACATTTGTCCTTTACTCCAGGTCCCTCAAACACTGCAAAAGTGGTTTCTTGATCACTGGGGATTCTCAGAAGCACTCTGGCATGAGATACAAAGCCAGGCAGCTATGAGCTCTCTGCTCTCAGTTCACCTGTCCTGAGCTCCAAACTCCCTAAAGCATGTACATTCCATCCCTCCCTAGGCTAAAGACCATGCTCTTAATGAAGAAGTGTGTAGAAAGGGAATTAATCCAGAGCTATTACCATCCGACAGGAACATTGACGGGCAGTATATCAGGAAGCTAACCACATGCTTTTGCCCTGATCCCTCTCACTCTGCCAGCCCAGCAGAAATAAACCCACATGCGCACAACCATGAATGCCCAGGGGACTGGTGACCTCTCCCAACCCTAACTGGAAGGACAGACACATGGGGATGAAGACCCTGGAGGTTCCCAAGGAGGAACTGGAAACAGCCAGCCAGTATCTGCTGTCACGGCTGGGACAGGGGTGCAAGGATGGTGATTTCGGCTCTAGATTCAACATCAATTCCTGCAAGACTCGCTTCCAGCAGCAGCTCTGAGGCTGGCCAGGGAGTGTATTTTATAGCTAGGAAGAGCACTGCAGTGCTACCTGGCTGGCCTCATGGCGGGCACTTTTTTGAGTACCTTTACCCTCGGGGATGCCCTCACCAAGGCCCTAGCAGACCTGAGGCAGACGCCCTTCATTGCGCTTCATCAGGAGAGGCCCACAAGACTAGAGGGTTTTTGAAACTTAGTTTTGGGGGCTTGTTTTGGTCTCTTTTCTAGGAACTCAGAAGAGCTATAGGAAACTATTCCTTTAGAGCTATTCCTTTAGAGTCCTTTAGAGCTATTCCTTTAGAGTCTCCTAAGAATTTAGCACTTGTAAGAAATAATGAGTTAGGAAAATCCATGGTAAGAGTATGTTTATGAGCAATTCCCAGGCTAGCCAAACTCATGGATACTGTGGGGGAAGGGGAGGCGGCCAGGAGACTGGGGCTCAGGCTCTGACCCTGTTCTTCCTGGAACCTAAGGCTCTTGAGGCCTGAAGCAGCTCAGGACTCACGGAGCCGTGGGTGGTCTATGTCATTTCTCTGTGTGACGGTCTCATCTGTAAAATGGGGCTAATTGTACTCACTTTGTGGCACGCTGGGTAAAACAAAAGATGACCCTTCAGGAAGACAATGTGTTACCACTGTAGGGTGACACACAACTGTTGGCATGAGGACCCTATGATTAAGAGGAGTAATAACATTTCCTCCTGATAGAATATGCCTCTATGGACTAACCATCCTCATGCACTGTGACCTCACGATTTCAGCCCTGCTCCATGAGGCACTGACCTCTTGCTTTTCCTCCACAATCTCTTACTCACAACACTCTGTGCCCACACCTGCCATCCCCTGGCTCTCACGCGGCCTTGTCTGCCTTCCCAGGGGCAGCCTTGTCCCTCTTGGAAACCACCTATGGTCAATTTTCCACTCTCCATGGGAGTAGGAAGACACTGCTCCAGAAAACTCCTGGGCCACAGGCCTTCCAGCCCTTATCGCAAGCACGTTTGATAGCATTTACAGGATTTTACTTCCTTGATTCACTGTGGTCATTTCAGAATGAGAATGCAATGAGGTGAAGCAGACAGAAGGCATTCTAGATGCTGGATGATCTGCAGCTCCAGCCTGGCCTCCCCATGCCCTCTCAGCTCCTGGGCAAGCACAGGCTCTCCTGGGGCCTCAGCCCGCGACCACTTGTAAGGTAAGAGGTGACTACTGCCCTAGATAATATCTTTTTTTTTTAAATTAAAAAATTGTTTTTAGAGACAGGGTCTTTTTTTTTGAGATGGAGCCTCGCTCTGCTGCCCAGGAGGGAGTGCAGTGGCACAATCTTGGCTTACTATAACCTCTACCTCCCAGGTTCAAGCGATTCTCCTGCCTCAGCCTCCCAAGTAACTGGGATTATAGGTGCACGCCACCACGCCCGGCTAATGAGACAGGGTCTTGTTTGGTTACTCAGGCTGGAGTGCAGTGGCACAATCACAGTTCACTGCAGCCTCAACCTCCCAGGCTCAAGCAATCCTCCCACCTCAGCCTCCTGAGTAGCTGGGACTACAAGTGTGCACCACATGCCCAGCTAATTTTTAATTGTTTGTAGAGATGGGGTCTTGCTATGTGGCCCAGGCTGGTCTTGAACTCCTGGCCTTAAACAATCCTCCTGCCTTGACCTCCCAAAGTGCTGGGATTATAGGTATGAGCCCCCATATGAGGTATCAGCCCTAATTTTATTTCCAGGCCCAGTCTGTTCTAGGTAACATCTCAGGGTGCTTCCAGCTTAATTTCTCCAATTCATGCTGACTGGGAGGAAGATGCTCAGAGCTAGGGGTGGTGGAGACTCACTGAGCTCTAGCTAAGGGACAAGTAAAGCCTGATCAGGACTTCTGTGTTGTTTCCATGGCAATGGGGGGTAGGCCATGTGCACTACGAGGGTGGGGACCTCGCCTGTCACCACTGCATCCCCTGGCTTAGCATGGGTCCTGGCATCCAAAAAATAAGTGCTTCCTGGGTTCACATTGCAAAGCGCCACACTCATCCTACTCTGAGAGAGGGGAGGGTGTGGAGGGGGAGGAGCAAAGTTCCACTCACATGGGGCGTGGAACATGACGAGGACAGAGGAGTGTTCCTTCACAAACTGGTCAAAGTCTTCATCGGTCAGGTGATAAACGGAGCCGCCCTCATCTGCCCAGGGAGTCTCAGGGACCTGGGGCTGTGGCGGCTGCGGACTGGAAGACCAAAAACAGGCAGAGCTCAGAGCAGGCCCTGGGGCCTTGGCAGCCCTTCTAATTCCAGGCCCCTGGACCCAAAGCTCCCCATGGGCTCGGGACGGCCCACTCCAGGGGCTCAGCCTTTAACAAACCAGAAACTGCCCTCATGGAGGTGCCGTGGGGTGAGTGGTGTGGCCCTGCCCACCTCCACCTTCCCCGCAAAGCCCCAGACAGGTACTTAGCTGATATCCTGTTACAAACAGTGGCTTCTGGCTACAGCTCTCTAGATAGCCTAAGAAATCTCACTTCCTCCTGGGAATCTAGGGGCTTGTTAGCTTTCTCAACCTATTTCAAACTTTCAGCAAACTGGAAAGAATAAATAGCAACAGTGAATGGTGACCTTTGGAAAAGCTCACTGTTGTGTTTAAAACTGCCCACTGGGCAGTGGAGGGGAGGAAGAGGGTACAGAGAGGAGGGGGTGAGGAGGAGAGAGAGAGGCCAGGTATCTCAGAAAGATCAGATCTAGGCCATGCAAGGGGAAGCTGCCACATGGGGGTGCAGGGGAAGGTTGCAGCAAGGGAAGTAAGGCTGGGGGTATCCTAACTACGACAGCGTGTATGCTACATCACTAATCCTTCCCAGAGGCCAACAACCAACTTATTTAGTTCTCCCAGAAGCCAAATCAACTCTACCACTCATCAGCTGCAAAACCTTAGGCAGCCGCCTGACCTCTCTGGAGCCTGTTTCCGCAGCGTGACTGTGTGCCAGTCCTAGGTCATCATCTGCTAGGAGGAGGGAGGCTCGCAGGGGCCCTCCCTTGCCCCAAAGTTCAGGACAAGGTGGCTGGTGGTGACACAGTCTCCCTGCTGCTTTACTGTCACAACTACCTTTGCCAGAGCACCTTAATTGCAGCTTTGAAAAAACCCTCAAGGATGACAAATGTGAAAAGACAACCATTGTGTCGCACTTTTGAGAGCCTACAGGAGGAAATATTTTAAAGTTCCAGCAGCCAGGGCTGGAAAATCCAGAGGGAGTGAAGTGGCTGACACAATGGAACTCTGCCACCCACTTCCCTCCGCAGCCGGGTATGATGTCGCCTTCAGAAGCCCTCTCTGGCCCTTCTGACTGGGCCCCACTGGCCACCATGGCCTCCCAGGTCCCAAGAAATGGAAGGAGGCAGGGAGAGGGCAAATCAATCTCAGTCCATGCATATCCAATGTCAGATGGGACTGGTGACAAAATCAAGCTTCAGAATGAGTCACCAGCCAGACAATGGTCCTAGACAAACATCATGCAATCTAGGTTCCTATACTTGGGCTCAAACTACTGACCCCTCAAAACACCACCAATTACACTTCAGAGCAATTTATCTTTACAATACACCTGCACACATACAAAATTATGTGCATCTGAAGGCATTCACTGCAGGTTGTCATAGCGAAAATTGGAAGGACGGGTTAGGTAAACTGCTGTCCATCTACACGAGGGAGGGCTGAGCACTGCAAAGAATGATGTTCTCTATGCACTGATGTGGACAAACTGCTGGAGATGGATGGAACAGTCTAGAATTTGCTAACTTTTGCATTAAAAGGGGGGAGATAAAATATACTTATTCACATTTGCTAATATCTACATACAGAAACACTCTAAGAACATAAAAGAAACTGGTCTAAGTTGTAAATTCTAGGGTATAGGAGGGAGGATAAGGAGGAAAGAAGTGAAAGCGAGACTTTTGAATGTATTCTTTTTAAGCACCTTAAAATTTTGCCAGCCTGGGCAACAGAGTGAGACTCCATCTCTACAAAAATATGAAATAAAAAAAATTAGTCGGGCATGGTGGCCTGTGCCTGTAGTCCCAGCTACTCAGGAGGCTGAGGTGGGAGGATCGCTTGAGTCCAGGAGTTCAAAGCTGCAGTGAGCTATGATGGTACCCTCTGCACTCTGGCCTGGGTGACAGAGCAAGACCTTATCTAAAAAAATAAAAAAATAAAAAATAAAAAATAAATTGAATTATGTGAATGTAATTGACTCAAAAACTAAATTTTTAAAAAGTCAAGCAAGTGCACAAATATAGGATGGAGAAGGCTATATTTTGCAGGAGTACAGGCACCGGAAGGAAAGAACGGGAGGAACTTCTAGTTAAACACAGAGGCGAATACACTCTAAAACTGCTAAAATAACAGTTCAGGAGTTTCAAAACAAAAAACAAAAAACTTTCTGGTCAGAAAAAGCAGAGTAGGGGCCCAAGAACCACACGCACACAGAAGACAAGGCTCTGAAGGGCCCAGGGGCCCACTCCTTGAAGCAGAGCTATAGCCTGTGGCTGAAAACAGGGTTTAGCGGTCACTGGAGTGGTCAGATCCTCAGATCCTAGGGCTCTCCCCTCTCCCACCCAGGAGATGACTGGAAGTTTCTTTTTGGGAGAGGACTGGAGAACTGGGCACCGTGGTAAGAGGATGTACTGGGAAGAGAGGGACTGAGTGAGAGTCTGAACCCAAAACACTGAATGATGCTTTTCACTCCCCGCCTACCCCAGGCCGTGAGCTCCTTGAAGACTGGGCTCTCCCTCACCCCTTTACTAACTCCTGCACCCAATACACAGCAGACACTCAATACATGCTCGTTGAACAGGAGCATTCCTTGAATGAGGGAAGGCTCATTCCCCTCATTCAGGGAAAAATGGCTTAAGGAACTGGAAGTGTTTAATTCGGAGAAAGGACATAAGAGAGCACAGTGGCTATCATCAAATATTCCAAACTGCATTAAGAAAAGAAATTAAGATTTATTTTCTAGGGCCCTGAAGAGGAGAACCAACACTAACAAGTGGAAGCTCCAGAGAAACTCCAGTTCGGTGTAAATAAGAATGTTCTGTCTTCAGCAGAGGAGAGGGAAAGAAGGCCAAACTGGGAGTCAGAAGACCTGACTTGAGTCCTGTTTCCTCCACTAGCCACAATCAAACAGCTTAAAACAGTGACAAGATAGTGCATTGTGGTCCTTTCTTCACCTAGCTCTCAGGCTCATATAGGCCGAGAATGGATGTGAGATGCTTTGTAACTTTATAAAGTACTACCCAAATGCTCCTAGATATCATTTATCACCTAAATCATAAGAGTCATTCAAGCATGAATGGGGAACCTCAGAATGAGTCCAATGGGAGTGAGGAAATGCAAACATTGAAAGGAGAATTGCTGGTGCAGATTTGATGACTTGTATGTTCCCTTCTGATCTGCCTTCATGCGACTGATTTCATGAGCTCTGCAGTTTGGAGAGAGCAATTGTTCCAGGCTCTCTAGGACTGGGAGGGTCACACAATCAGAACCTCATCTAAGGGAGATGCATGTGCCATAGATGAGAAGATGCAACTCTAAGCATTACGAGTCCAGAAAACTTGGTGTTTGCTAATTCAGTTCACTTCTGGTTGGCATAAAGCTACACAGGCCAAAATGACCCTGCCCAAAATGGATCACTGCTTATGTACCCCTCCACCTGTCTGCTAGCCCAACTCACCAGTGACAGCTTCAAGTGGCCAATGAGATACGTGGCCATTAGGAACACAAAAGACACCAGTGCCACGATCAACACATCTACTCCAGAGCCCTCATACACTCAGATGCCAGGGGCTGACTCCCTGCCCTGCCTCACCTGGTGCCACCCTTCCCTGGTCCAACCACCAGAGTCACGCATTGAAGGGCAGGACCTAGGTCTTCTCTCCTAGGCATTTGAGAGCCATTTGGAGAATTAGCTAGGCTGGCTTCACCCTCATCTTTGTATACTTGGCTGCACAGAAGCCCTGAGCAGCTAAGAGCCAATGGAGAAACCTAGAGAAGCAGGAAAGATGAGGTCACTACTGCCCAAAAGGATGTGAGGGGAAACTGGAAAAGGCTTAATCCATGTGGGACCGGGAAAACCCACATGCAGAGCTAGATCTATGTAGGGGAAATAATAACAATATGCTATCTTTGGGTAATAGGGTGGGGGAGGACTTTTTGTTTAACCACACTTTTAGGTTTTTCTATAATAAGCCTATCTTAGTTGAGTATCTCTGAAATCAGAAAAGACTTTAAAAAATTAAGCCAGCTGGTAGCAGAATGACATTACTAGCTCTTGCAGAGGATAAGGCCGTTAACAAGAGCTCCTTCTCTCCCACAGCGGGGGATGGGGGGAAGTAGGAAGTGGGGATGGGGTACCCAGGACCAGAGACTGGAGGCAGCTGTGGGGTGCAGGCCAGCCGGAGCAATGCGGGTGGGGGAGCCGGGATGGGGTGTGCCGAGAGGAGAGGGGTGGGAGGATGGAGTAGGAGGCTCCAGCGGGGAGATAATAGCCTGTTTCAGAAACACCATTGATGTGCTCCCTTTGTCTAGGGTTAGCAGGTAATTCTGAATACTTAAAAAAAACCACATAAACCTTATCCTTCCAAAAAAGATATGAGGGTGTTTTGAAATCAGAAAAGGTTAGAGAAGGGAAGGGAAGCAGACAGATTTTATGCTCTAGTGACAAATGAGATTGCTATTTGTTGAGACCTTCTCCCAAAGCAGAATGAGATGTGTCTGGATAGAGGAGAGGACACGCTTATTATCAAATGAAAAAGGAAAACAGGAAAGCAAAGGCCCAGGTTAAGACAATGAACACATGATAATGGGCAGCAGCCTTCCCAGGCAGGGGCTGGAAATGAGGTAGCCGATGGGGACAGAGATGTGAGAATGCTTCCAAGAAATAAAAGACATGATGCAAACATGTGCTAGCACTTGTGCCTTATCTCCCGAGAGTAGGCAGAACAGAAGATGGAGACTCTCCACCTTTAGAAATCTAACAGTTAGTTTCATGTGCATTTTTTTCCTGGTACAAAACCCACCCTTCTTTCCCATTTTGAAAATACACATTTTCAACCTCCATATCTTGGATAACTAATTCTTTAACCCTGGGGTTTGCACACTGTGTTCCTAAGGTAATGATGTCAATAAATGTCCACTGTGCCGGCAGCTGAGGGGAGGGGCTCCGAGCAGAACTTGAGGAGGCTAAGTTGGACTGTCGGGGCTGCAGGGAGCTGGGTTGGTGGCGGGGACCCATCAGGGCCCTGCTACTGCTTACCGGCACCACCCCTTTACTGTGCCTCAGGGACCTCATTCATAAAATGAAGAGAACGGTAACATCTTCCTTACAGTGCTGTTGTGAGGATTAAATGAGAATCCATGTAAAGTGCTTAGAACAATGTCAGCCACAAAGGAGAGCCCAAAAGATGTTGGCTGTTGTTACTCCAGCACATATGCACAAATACTCATGAAGCAGCAGTGGCTGGTAAGTGCCAAACTCGTGACACACAGAGCGCAGCCTGAGTAGGGTGCGTGCTCAGCGAGGGTGGCCTGGGGAGGCTTCCAGAAGGGGACATCGTGAGCCTGTCGTGGAAGTGCTGGTGAGAAGTGGGAATGGGGTGATCTGGCAGGACAAAGCAGCAGGCCTAGCACAGTGGAGGCTCCAGGTAAGGAGGCAGGAGCCAACAGGGTGGTGGGGTTTGGCATTACAAGGATCTAATCATGTTATAAAACAGGGATCACAGGTTGCAATGAAGCAATGCCTGTGGGGGTTGAACAGTAAAGCACTCAGCAAACCTAAGGCATTAGAATATTTCTTAGTACCTTCACAGCACCTAAGACAGTGCTGTGTTTGAAATAAGTGTTCAACTGACAATTCTATTTTCAGAGAGACCTGCAGTGGAACCTCTCTCAAACCTGGTAGCCTGGGTGAGAAATACCTCTATCCATCAGATAGATGTGTTGAGGAGAAACTTGATGTGAAATGTGGGAAGAATTCAGAAAGGCCCTGACTATTCCAGAAGAGCTGACAGGCTTAGGCAGCCCCTCCCCAGTTCCAACCCGTGGAGACGGGAGGTAGGGGAGACAGACTCCACACCCAACACCCAGGCAGGTCTGATCATCACAGGCCAAAGTCACACCAAATCCTCATGGCTCCTGCAACCTAAATTCCCACAATCCCCACAGTGGCCTAGACTCAAGCCAGAGACAGCTGTGTAGGCAGTACCACAATTCCCTTCCTCATTCTTTCCCCCAACCTCCAGCCAGAGCCCTGCGACCCTCAGGCCCGGCAGATGCCCCGCCCTCTGGGTCCACGCCCACTGACACACACACACCCCACTTACTTCTTCAGCCACTCCACAATGTCCTCAGCTGTGGACCCATAGTTGTCATACTGGAACAAGAACCGTCCTTTCCTGTGAAACGTGGAGAAACAACGTGGGCTCAGTCACGGATGCAAATGCCACCCTGAGATTATGGTCAATCACCAGGGAGGGAGGTGAGCTTTAGAAGGAAAGTGGGGGACGTACTCAAAATAGCAGATGGTGGGGAAGCCGCGCACGCTGTACTCCTCCTTGATGTTTTCAAATTCAGAGGAGTAGACATTCATCCCGGCCAGCACCTGGGAGGAAGCGGAGAAGAGCCGTGTGGAGCCTGTGCCCCACAGACACCCTCTAGTCCACACGCCATCTGTCCAGCTGCTGTCCCACCAGAAAGACATATGGGACAAAGCCCCACAGACTGATGTGCATCAGGGCTGCTGAGAAACAAGGCCAGCGAAGCCAGCCGGGAATCATGACCTGGCGCTGGAGAAGTCAGGCAGCTGGGCCGAGTGCTGCACTCCGCACGCCTGCTCCCTCTGCCTCCCTGCAGGAAGAACCACCCCAGAGCAAAACCAACGTTCTGAGGGTTGCAGAAGAAGCCGGGCCTTGCCATCAAGTTCACATTACTCTCAGAGAGGGGCCACTGCCAAGGATGTGTTACGCCTATTTCTCTGTTCATGTCAACTCGGGTTGTACTCTTTCCTAGGCTATGGAAATAAGTGGCTTTCATACACCAATTCAGCTCTGTACAACGTCCTTAGACACCTTCCTGGATACCTCACGGTTTGCTCACCTAGGCTTGAGTGTGACGTTTCCAAACCTCACAGCTTATATGTGGCCAGGGAGGCCGTGTGGTTCTCATAACACAACATGAGAAACGAGGCACCTGCCTAACTCTCCTCCTTCCAGGCCGTGCTGTGTCTCCCCAGTGTTTCCTCCTGTTGGTGACCATTACCCACAGCCTGGCTGGATCATCATCTCAGAATTCTGAACATATTCTGGCTCCAGGGGTCCACATGTCCACTATCCCTGAATCAGAAAGAGTATTTTAGTAGCTGGGTAACCGACGATGTAGCTAAATACTAAGACTGACTCATATAAGGAATCCCCTAAAACTCCCTCTGCAGTGGCATGATCATAGCTCACTGCACCCTCTAACTCCTGGGCTCAAGCAATCCTCCGCTGTCAGCCTCCTGATTAGCTGGGACCACAGACATGTGGCAGTATGTCCGGCTAGTATATTTTTCTTTTTGGTAGAGATGAGGTCTTGCTGTGTTGCCCAGGCTGGCTTCCAACTCCTGGGCTCAAGCGATCCTCCCACTTCAACCTCCCAAAGCACTGGAATTACAGGCATGAGCCAGCATGCCCAGCCAGGACTTTGAATCTGTTCTTACCAGAGAACACAGCTAGAATGGCCCGACACACAAAGGTTGTTCCACAAAGCAGAGTGGCATAGAAGCGAGGGAAAAGTAAGTAAAAAAAGCCAGCAGTAGTTACAGAAGCAGAGAGAAGAAACCCAGGAAGCTGAACTTTACTGAATAATACATAAGGACACAGAGAGAGAGGAAAATAAATAACCGTTTCAGTGGACAATAAATTGATTGCAAAGACAGCTTCCACTTATGAGTCATGTGACCTTGGGCAAGTCACTCACCC
The DNA here is from genome assembly GCF_000001405.40 of Homo sapiens. Classification (NCBI taxonomy): domain Eukaryota; kingdom Metazoa; phylum Chordata; class Mammalia; order Primates; family Hominidae; genus Homo; species Homo sapiens. The sequence goes on along the minus strand of NC_000003.12, from coordinate 123,122,708 downwards.
TCACTGAGGTCCCTTGCTGGAAGATGTGACCATCAAAGGGCTCTTTAGAGAACTAAATGAGATGAGAGGTTTTAGCACAAAACTGGAGCTCAGTAACTGTCATCTTCCTACCAAGTCTTCCTGGTGATGGGAGCCACTGTGCCTCTGGCCTCTCCATTCCTAGGGGCACCTGGATATCTTTCCAATTGTTTTAAGTCCCTAGCACAAGGCCTCACATACAGCAAGGACACAATAAATGCTCACTAAATTCACTGTTTTTTTTTTCCTAGCCCATTTTAGGATGCAGCAAATAATACAGGAAGAATAAATTTGAATTCGAATTTACTTGAAGCCCTGGAACGCTCTATAAAAGTCATTCTGCTCATTTCCCAGACTGCTCCAGCGGCCTGTTCCAGTAATATTTGTCTTCTTTAAAAGTCCTTTTTTTTTCTGCCTAATTGATCTCCCCAGTGTCAGTGCACATTCACCACAGATTAATCTTACACGTCCTCCTCGCTCATTACATCACTTCCCTGCACAAAACCTTCCAATTCCATTGAATATAGGCTAAAATCCAGCTCCACATTCAATGCCCATATGTTACCTATTTCATTTTTGAATCTTTCTTTCTTACAAAACTCTTCATTGTACACCTGTTAGGGTCTAGATTTTTTATTCTCCCAGGAATAAGACAGTCTGAGATTTCTGCACAGGAAGGAAGTTGGACTGTCTGCCTTCTCAGACATCTTGCTGAGTGCAGCAGCAACATGCAGTGGCTGGAAGCATGGACTCAGGATGCCTGGGTTTGAGTCCCAACTCCCCATGGGGTCGCGCATTTCCTTGAATGAGTCACAGTTGTCTCTGCGTCTCACTTTCCTCATCTGCAGCCACCTCATGTGGTTGTTGAGAAGATTCAATGAAATAATACAAGATAATCAATAACACAAAATGTATTAGCTATTTTTGTTACTAGGACTAGGAGGTGCTCTATTTCTGCCCACACTTCTGGAACACTCGCTGTTCTCTCCTGGCCCCCACTTGGTGCCTTCCAGTCCCCTTACTGAGGCTGCCCATCCCCCGCCTCCTGGCGACCCTCCAGACTCACCCATCCCTTAAGGCAAATCAAACCTCACGTCTCTGGGCAGCCTTTGCAAACCACCTTCGCTTGGGGTGAGCTCTTAATTCTCCAAGTTTCTGTAGCACTTTTGTGCCATTTTGGGGGCATCTATTAGTTAATGAGGCAAAAATTTTTGAAAAACTACATACAAACACTTTCTGGAGTTAGAATTTGTGAAGTCAAATGAGGTGACACACCTGGTCTCGGCCTGTGGAGAAGATAAGAACACAGCCTCCCTGCTCCCCACTGCCATCTGCATGCTTGGGGCCACTCAGCTGGCGTGACATGCTCTTCTGTGTGTTCAGCCCTGCTGCCAGGAACCATCACGGCAGCTTCTTAGCGTGGGCTGCATGTGAGCTTGCACTCAGAGGAGAGTAAGATTTCAACAGACGTCCCGGGATGGGGAACTGGAGGCAAGGCAAAGAAAGATGTGGCCCAAGAAATGGAGCACATTTCCATCTAACTGGAAGGCAGGATACACAGAAAGGAGAAGACATGAAAGAAAAGGCTGAGTGAGTTGGCCAGGATCACTTTGGGAAAGGCTTGAAATACCTAAGAAATCGGGACTGTATTCAGGAAGTGACGGAGAGCTCCCGAGGGTTTCTAAGTAAGAAAGCAACCCTCAAACCAGTTGTATCTCTCGAAGCAGAAAGGACGAGCTATGAGGGAATGCTGTGGTCAGGAGACAAGTCAGCAGCCTTTGGCCACCAGCTAGCATAGCCCACTGGACAGGGCTGGTGGGCAGGGAGAGGATGAAGGGTGCATGAGGAAGATGCCTGATGATGCCTCAGTAAAGAGAGGTGGAGGTGGGGGGTGGGGAAAGAGCCTGGCCCCTGGGGAAAGGACTTAATGCAAAGTTCACAGTCTGCCAGATGGAAAGATACTGAATTTTCAGACATGCATTTGAGACACAAGGGAAAAAATCCAGATGGAGCTGTGAAGCAAGCCATCTGACACGTGGCACTGGCACTTAGGGGAAGGACTTGGGCTCCATGGAGCTACGTTTTGTTGAAGCTATGGACAGAGATGTGGTCACTGGAAGGTAGACTGTAATAAGACAAAACCTTGCTCCAATGTGTTAACAGGAAAGCGGAACCTTGGGAGCACCCCCATCTAGCCGGTGGAAGGAATGTGGTGCAGGGCAGCTGTAGGGAAGAGAGGGGATCAGTCATCTGTGTCTATGAGTGCTCTGTGGGGTACAGGGCTTCTTCCACACAGCCCATTTGTTCCTCACCACAACCCAGTGTGGGCAGGGTTGGCATTATCATCTCCATTTTACAGATGGAGAAATGGAGGCTCCAAGGCTAAGGAGCTTGGACCAAGATCTCCCAGCTGGTTAGCAAGAGCCAGCACTAGAGCCTGGTCTGTACAAATCTGTCGTCATGATGGTTCTATTTCATGGTGTTTATACCCAGACTGGCCCATCATGGCCGAGGTCCACCAAAGACTAGGCAAAGCTCAAAGGCTCAGTGCAGATGTCAATAACTGGCAAGGCTGGGAAGAGGCAGATGGAGACAGGGCTCATTCTGATGGCTGCTCTGAGATGGGGGCAGCGTGGCTGCTAATGAGGATGTCAATTAGCAGGAGTAGATGGGACAGACGCGATGAGTCACCAGACGTCAATGACAGCACAAAAGAGGCAGCTGTAAGTTTGGAAATGGCAAAGGCTGTGCATCCCTGACCTGGCATGCCTTCCTTCCTAATGATGTCAATCAGGTTGAACACCTCCCAAAAAATCTGTAGAGGAGGAAGATTTTTGACCCTTGCCAGAGACAGACCCAGCCAAAAAGGCTCAAAGATGACAGAGATGAAGAAGTGACAGAAGGCCCTAATCCAGCTGTGTTTCAGCAGCGAGGAGGGGGTGAACTTTGATTTCTGGGGAATAGCAGCCCATTTATTAGTCCCACCTCTTTTCTGTGTGTGAAGACAAAAAGCAATTGACACCTGTGGTCACTCAACCCCTCCAGCCAGGTCCCCAGTTTCTGGGGAGCTGCCCCTGCAGAGTAAGCCCTAGCCTCTAGGGGCCTCCTGCGTGGGTGATGCGTGCAGCGGCCAGGGCCCTTCCCTCTTTATGTAGCTGGGAAAGGGCTAGAACTTTCCAGAAGATGCTTTTCTAGGAAATGAAAGGGAAAATAGAACAAAACAAACCCCAAGCAAGAAAATATACAAACAAAGAAATGAGTTTACACAACCCAGATGTCTTAGGCCAAGGCAGCCAACACCTGGTCACAGCTTGACTTGCCCAGCTTTGCAGACAACGCCCCTGACTTTTCTGTAATGTTGAGGGAACTGGAATGGGTAACTTTTATATTTCTAGACCTGGGCCCAGGCAGAAGAAGCTGGAATTCATTTTTTCTTTTTTTTAGAGACAGGATCTCACTCTGTTGTGCAGAGCATGGTGCAATCATAGCTCCCTGCAGCCTTAAACTCCTGGGCTCAAGTGATCCTCCCACCTCAGCCTCCCAAGTAGCTAGCATTGACTACAGGTGTATGCCATTGCACCCAGCTAATTTTTAAAATTTTTTGTAGACATGGGGTTTCACTATGTTGCCCAGGCTGGTATCTAGCTCCTGGCCTCAAGTGATCCTCCCACTTTGGCCTCCCAAAGCACTGGGATTACAGGCATGAACCACCATGCCCTGCTGGAAGCTTATATTCTGAACACGAGTGGTCTTTGCAGTTAACCTTATAACCTGTCCCACAAATGTCCTTCCCACTATGCTTCCGGCCTTAATAACAAATGCTCTGAATTCCTTTAAAAGAGAGGACCATCACTTTTAATATAGAGCTTAAAATAAAACATACCCCCAGGAGTGATGAGCAAAAACCCTATTCATTCATCGGCATATACTGGATATCTACTGTGAGCTTAGCCCTGTGCTATGTGCTAAAGAAATAGACATGAACACAACTCCTGTGCCCAAGAAACTCACATATCATAATTAGTATCAAGTGCTGAACAAAGTGATCTGGAACAAAAGCAAAGATGAACGTATCTGGCTGTGCGTGACAGGGATGAGCTCTGTGGCAGCGTGGGATGGGGCCTAGAAGAATACTGAGTTTGGCAGTGGATGCAGCATTGGCTGAGAATGGCCCACGAGATGCACTGAGACTGGCATCAAGTTCTCTTCTGCTTCAGTGGGTCTGGCTGGAATAACTTGTGATCTGATTTGGGGCTGAGCTGCTTACCTTCCACAGCACAGAATTCGGGAAGTTGAGCTGAGCAGATTTCTAAGTGTATGCGGGTGCAGGCAGAGAGAATACTGTGGGTAATTAAGTCTTTTCTCCAGGCTAAATAATCTCAAAATATGGTGTCTATTGAGGTCCCAATAATGTGAAGTGAAACTTCCCTGGGGTGATGTATGTGTGCCCCAAGGCCAATGTCTCCAGGCAAGTTACTAAAAATTCATTAGTGAGAAGCAAGCAGGACCTCAGTGTCACCCCAGAATGAGGTCAAAAGAGAAAGCATTGGCTCTCTGCAGCCCCATCTTGCAGCTTGGCGAGCAGGGCCGTCTCCATGCCCAGGTGCTGCCACTTAAACTTTTTAAGTTGACTTTGAGCTAATCACCACTTAATTTGATCCACAAAGATCATGATGCAGTTTCAGGACCTCAGGTCTCCCTTAATGGGGCTTTGGCCACACTATTGAGATGGCTCCTCTTGATAACCTTTCATGAAAGATGGATGGATTTTTCCACGCTCCCTAGAGGAGCCGGCAGCTGTTTTTATGTTGCCATCAAGACACTTCTGCTACTCGGGGTAAGTGCAAAAATGGATAAACAGATATCCAAAAGAATTAGAAGCAGGATCCCAAAGAGGTATTTGCACACCCATGTTCATTGCAGCATTATGAGCAACAGCCAAGAAAGCTAGAAGCAACTCATCAACAGATGAGTGTATGAAGAAAATGTGGTATGTACATAGGGTGGAATATAATTCAGCCCTAAAAAAAGAAGGAAATCCTATGACATGCTACATGGATGAAACTTGAGGATATAATGCTAAGCAAAATAAGCCAGTCACAGAAGGACAAATACTATAGATTCCACTCATAGGAGTAACTTAAAATAGTCAAAATCATAGAAATGGGCCTGGCTAGATGGCATACATCTGAAGTCCCAGCTATTCAGGAGGCTAAGACGGGAAGATCGGTTGAGCTCAGGAGCTCAAGTCCAACCTGGGCAACATAGTGAGACCCTGTCTCTAAAACAGAATATATATATATATATATATATATAAAATCATAGAAACAGAAAGTAGAAAGGCAGTTTATCAAGGTCAGGAGTGGGGTGGGAAGGCAGAATTCATATTTAGTGGGTACAGAATTTCAGTTTTGCAAAATGAAAAAGTTCTAGAGAAAGGTTGCACAACAGTGTAAATATACTTAATGCTACTGAACTGTACATTTACAAATGGCTAAGATAGTCAATGTAATGTTATGTGTTTTTTACCACATTGAAAAAATAATAGACACAAGGCAGAGAACAAAAAAACCTGGCAGGGTGGGGGAACACAGAGGTACCAGGGAGCATTTGGTGACTGACCCTCGGCCCTTCTGTGTGAGGTCCATCCCCCCTCCCAGCTCTCTTCTCCCCCACAACACTCCAGGCTCCCCTCCTACCTCCCCGCCCCATCCCAGCTGCTCCTACTTCTCTGAAGGCCCATTTCCTTAGTGGCTCCTCTTCCTCCTCCTGTAGAGGTGGGCATCCCTAGGACACATGTGTCTCCATTCTGCCTATCCTTCCCTACACTCCTTCTGGGAGAATGCCTGCATTCCCAGGTCTTTCGCTCCCCATCCAGCCCCACCTCCTCCTCCTCTGGTTCCCACCGTTCTTCCCGCCCCACAGGAACCACAGAGCCTGGGAAGCCGGGACAGGCCTTTGCCTCTGTGAGCCCCCTTTATGCTTCTGGTCCACCCCTAAGGTCATCACACCCTCTTCTTTGCCACTGGGCTCCATAGCAGCTGCCTCAGCTCACTTCAGAGCCCAGCCCTCAAAATTCTGGACCCACGATGTTCCGACCTTGGTCCCTGGCCCCCTGACAATGCCACATGTGCATCTTGCTGGTGTCCTATTTCATCACTGGCCTTTGGCAGGTGTCAAACTCTCCTGGTCCCAGCAACTTGGTGGAGTTCTCAACCTTCACAGAGAACAGGTCTCTGAGCTCCATGCAAGGCTGCGATTCAGCAACGGCCCAGGCAGCAGGGTCAGTCATCCTCACCATTTCAAAACCTGTCCCCACCCCACCCCTGGCACCCTTCCTCCGCCAAGTCCAAGAGTGACCCAGCCCTGCCAGGCAATGGCGCCTCACTTACGGCGTGGCCTCGCAGCTGAGTCGCAGCCTTCTGGAAATGCGGCATCATCCTCTTGCACATGCTGCACCCTGGTCACAGGCAGGAGAGAGACCACATCCGGTTACAGGGATGGCTGAGCCCTTGCACCCTGCCCTGCCTCCCCATGGCCATCCTCTACCCAACAAGCACTTATCCAGCCTTGAGAAGCTCAGGACTATTCCAGACCCTGGGGACACAAAAGGAACAGGAGGTGGGCGTCTCAGCCCCCAAAGAGCTTACTGTATCAGTGGTGCAAAACAAGGCACTGCCCAGCAGCCACTCATAAATGTTGGACTAAAGAAACAAACATGACATGATGGGAGAAGAGCAGAGCCCAGAATACTTCAGCACTGATAATGAATTCAACAGAGATTCAGAAAACCAGAACAGGTGTCAAGAGAGCAACTGCTGCACGCACAGCAAAAGGCCACCCCTCACTGCCCAGGCAGGGCCTGCAAATGAGCTGGAGTCAAATGCCATTATGAAGAAAAATGTGTGACCACGAATACGATCACTTTTGGGATGTCCATGCCTCCTTTCTCTTTCATTAACAAGGATAATTAAGCAATGACCAGAGGCAGGCTGATGGTGAACAGTGCTGGCTCTGGCCTGTGGGAAGAGCGTCAGGCCAGGAATCGGGATGCCATGCGGACTCTGATCTTCACTCAACTTTCTAAAGGCCTTGGAGAAGTCACCTCCTCTCTCTGGGCTGTTTCTTCTGGCAGATGAGAGAGGCTGGACCACACAACCTAAGGCCCCTTCCAGCTCTGACAGCAAAGGATTCTGTCTGCGATGGCCTTGGCTCAGCCCTCCGGGGCTCTGTGGTCTACCATGGTCACACTCCTCTCCTAGTGGTGAAGACCCACAGCCTTGATAGGGGGCCTTGAACTCCTGGACTCAAGCGACCAGGAAGGCCAGGTCCCAAACATCCACTAAAACTTTAGAGTGACCTTAAACTCCTTCCCTTAAACCAGAGCAGACCACATTTCAGCACTGATCCCACAGGACATGAGCAGTTTCCTCAGACAGCAGGGATTCTGAAGTGCCAGGCTATTACCCTTTCCGACTGCCTCTCTGCTACAAAACAGGGCTTAAGATGCATCTGAAGAGCACAGAACCAAAGCTGCCTGGAACCATGTGTCAGGCTGATCTCAGCTTGGCACAGCGGGCACAGGGTCCATGTGGCGACAGGCAGCCCAGCTCCAATCCATGCTTAGCTGACGCCTAGACAGGCCGTGAAGCCAGAAGGCCAACATTCCTTCTGGGCCACCAGAACCTCCCCAGCACCAAGCCTACCGGACAAGATGCAGACACAGGACATTTGGCCATGAGGCTCCAAAACTGCCCCACAGCCCCCTCCTGACATTCCTGTCTGACAGATGGACTCACACACACCCCAGTACGCGAACCCTGGGCTTAAGTTCTGCCATCAGTCCTGGCAGGAGAAAAGGAGCTGTTTCGAGGCCAGCCTGCAGCGCGAGCCCGCCGAATCTGCCCTCAGAAGATAAGAGGCACCTCTCCTCAGGACCTGCCACCTCAGTGCGAACACCATCAGTGGCATGAAGGAAGGAATATGACACTTGTCAGGGGCATTGTTTCCATTGTGGGGATTCAGAAAGAGGAGAACAGAAGCAGGAACAACGCTCAGGGGGAAATGCACCGGGTGGAAAACAGGAGGCTGCAGATGGCGCAGAGGAAGGAGCTCAGCTCTGGGAAGAACAAGGCTGAGACCGAGGTCTGCATCTCCCCATAACTCCCACTGGCTGGGTGATCTTGGGCAAGTGGCCTGGGCTCTCCAAGCCTCGGCTTCCCTATCTGTGCAGTGGGGATAGGTGCCCTGCAGGTGTTAGATAGAGCCGGGGAACATTCAGTGCCTGCAGAGACATCTTAGTCCAATGCCAGGATTTGGGGGGGTGCTTCCCAGTCCATGGTGGGGGAAACACTTCCACTGAGGGAAGAGGATGTCGCTGCACTCCCCAGGAGGGAAAATAAGGGGGGACACCTGCAGCCTTTCACTCATTCTTCGCTCAGTGACTTCAGTCTGACCCCCACTGGGCCACATTCATCTATCAAGAACTTTATTTACTATCTGTCTCCACAGTGTGGCCTCTCTCTTCCTGTTTCGCCTGTTTGCAGCCTGCAGCAATAACACCCTGAAACAGAGGATAAGTCGGCCAGTTGTCCCTGTGGGCAGGGCCAGTGGTGCTGGGTGGAGAAGTTATTGGTTGGGGAGAGGTGATGCAGGAGGAGTAGGAAACCACAGGCCAAGCCAGTTTCCAATTTAACTTTACCAAAAATAGGGCTGGCCCTGTGCTTCCTGAGTTTATCTTCCAGCTGATTCCACTGGGAGGCAGGGGGAGAGGTAAGACTAATTATCATTCTCAAACCTCAAAAGTCAGAGTAGTCAGCCTTTTTATTTTCTTATTAATTCAGTGAGCAAACATTTCCTGAATAAGCGGTAGATCCTGGGGAGCCAGGTTCCTTGTCACCACCAAAGGTTCTCACTGCCTTTGGGCCCATTCACCCAACATGTGACCAAAGGGTCACAGAGTCCTAACAGACGTCCCAGTTAGGGAACTGCTGTGTATCCCAGGAATCAGCTGAATTATGATGCCATGGAGACTTGATTAGACTAGTGTGCTAAAAGCACAAGTTTGTTTCATTTTGTAAAAAATCATACACACGTGCATAATCAAAAAAAGGGTCCCGAGGTTCCTTGGGACCTAGGAGTGCAACCGATCTGACCCTCCACCAAAAGTTGAACTTAACCTCCGAGTTTTCTCCTCCCTCCCCTACCACCAATAAGCTTTGTGACTCTGTGAGGTACCTAATTTCCCCTGCCCCAGCTTTCTCTTCTGTAAAGATGATAACTGTGCTCACCTCTCTGTCGTGAAGGATGGGATGGGCACACTGCCACACAGCCTGGGTGCATGGCGGGAGAGGGCACAGCACACGGGCGCAAACTGCCCGTGCACACTTCTAAATGACTAATGGCATCACACTGAGACCTGCCTGGTTACACCCGGATGCCGTCTTGTGGCACGCACTGCATATTGATATACACTCCATTTTACAGCTTCATTTAACCAATGTGTTGAGTCCTGAAGGGCTTTAAGATATACCAAAGGAGGCCCATCCTCTAGGGGCTGTGTGGACAGAATAATTCCTAAAGCAATTCACAGCTGGGTAGTTAGTAATATTCCTCCAAGAAGAAACAAAAAGGGGTGAAACCAACTAATGAACATTAATAAAGAGAAGGAGCGAGGGTTAAAGTAGCTACCATTCAGGGCAGAGCTGGATCTACAGCAAGTGAGACACCAGGGCCTCATCCCAAAGGTAAGCACAGCCCTGGGGCCAGCGAGGAGGCCTGGGGAGGAGGCTGGGGCTGGAGGACACCCAGCAATCAAAACAGGGCTTGGGGGGCCGGGCACGGTGGTTCACACCTGTAATTCCAGCACTTTGGGAGGCCGAGGTGGGTGGATCACCTGAGGTCAGGAGTTTGAGACCAGCCTGGGCAACATGGTGAAGCCCCATCTCTACTAAAAATATACAAAAATTAGCCAGGCCTCATGGCGGGCACCTATAGTCCCAGCTACTCGGGAAGCTGAGGCAGGAGAATCATTTGAACCATTTGAACCCGGGGGGCGGAGGTCGCAGTGAGCTGAGATGGTACCACCACACTCCAGCCTGGGCAACAGAGCAAGGCTCTGTCTCAAAACCAAAAAAAAAAAAAAAAAAAAAAAAAAGAATAGGGCTGGGGAAAGGCTGCTGTCATGGCGAATAAGCTACTGGCTCAAGTCAGGCAGAACCACCAGAATGCCACAGAGGGGCATCCGGCTGGGGGGCGTCATCCCCAGGGCACAGATGGGAGGAGCCTTTGTTTAAAGAACTTCTCAGGAAGTGGGATTCGAGATGGGCTTTCATGAGCAAACAGAACTCTGGTTTGCTATGACAAACCAGAGCCTATGACACCCTCCTGAGCCACACACACACCTAGGCACACCTGCCTTGCATCATATACAACCCCTCTGTTGCTCAGCCTTCAGGGAAACACTGACACTGCTGGCTTCGTGAAGGGCCGATGCAGCTCACAGAGGTGCAGCACAAAGGGCCTTGGCAGGCTCAAATCCAGGGTTATTTTCAATCTGTGGGTTGGGAGCCATTAGACTGTGGAGGTGCCCGGACAGTGAATATTTGAGGCTTTGCAGGCCACGCCGTCTCTGTTACAAGACTCAACTCTGTTGGTATAGCTCGCAAGCGCCCACGGACACCACATCAATGTATGGCCATGGCTGGGTTCTAATAAACCTTTACAAAAAGAGGCAGCTGGCCCGTGGGCCATAATTTGCTGACCCTTTGTCAGAGGGTTATGAAGCAGTACGTAGAACCAATAATTTTTTAAAAAAACAGAACAGAAAATAGTGGGCATTACATCTGGTAAACAACAGATGGCAATAGTAAGGGCAAGAGTGGTTTTGCGAAACTTTTGTCTCAGCTTATTTGCATATAATTTATATATACTTCTAGTACTGGTTGCAATATAAAACATTTTTAATTCTGTGAAATTCAGTCAAAAAGTTTGAAAGCCACTGCTGTGATCCAGTCCCTTCTCTTACAGATGTGGAAACTGAGACCTAGTGAGGAAGGACTTGGCCAAGTTCACCCGGCTTGCAGTGGCACAGCTGGGATTCAAACCCACATGTTCTGGCTGTCATCTGAAAGATCCTCCTGCCATTTCCCACATCCTCCTGCCTCATACAGGGACTGAGCCCAAATCCTGGAACCAGTTTCTCTCTGCTCCTGGTCCCCCGCTCCTCCCAGGTGGCACCTGCAGAGGATGCCAGCAGAGGATGCGGGAGCCAGAGCTAGGCAAGCTGTTGCCCCCAGAGGCGGGCCAGGCTCTGGACCATGACGCCATGCCCGAGGGGTGGCAGAACAGCCACAAGGTGACCGCCACTGAGGCATGGCACCACCAGCAGGAAATGGGACATGGTGGGGGAAGGTGGAGCTGACCAAACAGGGTGAAGCTCTGGATAAAGAGGGTAGAAGGACACAGATTCTACTGGAGACAGAATGCAGGGCAGACAGCAGGAGGGGAGGAGCCAGATGAAAAGGCAAAGATGAAGGAAAAGAGGCGCAGATGGAGAGATGAGATTCAGCGTTCTAAGCCAGGCACCCAGGCTAATCCCCCAGACCCCGCCCGCAACCCCCACCTGCCTCCCACCCACAAAGAGACTAAACAACTAGCTCTGGCCCAAGGGAGAAAGTTCACTCACAGGGGGCATAAAACATGATCAGGAGCGGCTTCTCTTCCTTCTTCAGGAGCCGTCTGAAGTCCTGAGGCACAAAAAGAGAATACCAGCAGCTCGCACACAACACAGTAACAGGATGAGACCCCCTCCCCGCCCCTCCTGCATACAGCAGGGTGAAGGGTAGGGATGGGGAGGGGAGGGGGAGTGAGCACTTCAGAAAGCATACGCTGGCAGCTGATTTGCGGGTGGGGGCAGAGCCGCGGCAGGCCAGGAGCTGGAAGAACCTCAGAGATGATCTATTCGAGACCACCCTCACGTATTACAGATGGGAAAACTGAGGCCCCAAGCTAACAAATGGCTTTGGCCGCCTGGTGAGAGGGAGTCGTGAGGACCAGGCTGCTGGCTTTCCTTTCAGCTCCACCTGAACAGTTCAAAGATGGCAAAGAGCGGTTTTTGTCCCGTGAGGCTGTTGAATAGGCTGCCCCTTCCTGTGACTTACACAGCGGTTTTGTTGTGCTGCGGGTGGCTGTTTTCATGTGTGCCTGACTTGGCAGATGGGGATCCGCTCACTGTGGGAAGACGGGTTAACCCATACCCACTAATCTCTCGCTAATCTCTCCCCAGGCTCCAGCTCTGCCACCACCATCCTTATCCCCAGGAGTCCACGGAGCACACAGGGCAGAAGGAGGGGGCCTGCTCCACCCTCCAGGAGGTTACAGGCAAAATAGATTTGTAAAACCCTTAGAACAGTGCCAGGCATGTTATTAAGCAATACATAATGATTTGTTAGATACATACAATAAAGGCAAAAAGACAAATGGCCACACAGTGCTCATGTAAAGACTTGAGTGTGTGAACAGGGTAGAGACTTTTCTTCCAATGAGAGCCAATGATGGATGGGAAAAAGCAACTCTATCAAGGACTGCAGTGAAGCACGATGATAAGAGCATATTTCGATTAAAGTAAGCTGCTCAACCACATTTTACAGAAGAAAATGAGAGGGTTTTCTCTTTTGAATAATAAGGAAAATAAGAAAATTTCAAAATGCAGCTTTCTGGCAGCAAGAAGGCATTAGGTAAATAAATGATGGCACATCCCGCACAATGGGATACTACTGCATCATTAAAACCGATAAAGAGGAGTGTTTAATGTCACAATCAGATGTGCATGGTGCACTAAAGGGTGGGGGAAGCAAGTTACAAAACAGCACATAAAATGTAATGGCATCTTTGTGAGTAAAAACATCATATACACATTATCTTGAAAGCCTGGAAGACTACAAAAATATCAGCAGGCATCTCTCTCAATGTAAAGGTATGAGGTGATTTTTTTTTTCTTTCTGCTGAAGGTGCATTTTCTAAATTTTCAACAATGAATGTGCATTAACTTAAAATTTTTCAGTTAGATTAAAAAAAAGATTAAATTTTTGTGGATATCCAAAACACTAGAATAAATTCTGGAAAAGTTTACCTTTGTTTACGTAACTAGAGAGAGCATTAAGGCACTAATTTTCAAACAAATTTTGTTTGAAATAATTTCCAAACAAAATTAGTAACCAAGATATTTAACCCTAACTACGGGTACAGGATGCAAACACTTCTAAAATTGTCTTCTGGGATTTCTGTAGATAAAAGCTAGTAAAAGACCTGAGAAGAGATTTTTATTGAGCCTATAGCAATTTGGTTTCATACCCTGAGTAGTAACAGATATTACATTCAAAGATGCTTAATTACCTTCACAAAGTATGAAATTCCAAGCCTACAAATTGAATCAGCAATTCAAACTTGAATTTGGAACTTTTCATTATTTATGTGGACATTCTATTAGCAGAGAACCAGCTATACTTCTTATTTCCATAGGAGAGAAAAGAGCACAAAGCAGAACAAGAGGATTCCCTACAGGTGTGAAAGAAATATTTCCGCTTGATATTCCTACAGTTACAGAAGAACAACCTTAGGAAGGTCAGGACATTGTGTCTGGGGGAGGAAGGCACCAGGCAATCACTTTCCAGAGAAGCTATCAACATTCATCATTACAGGAGCAGCACTCCGTTTAGGCTGTTTGTATTTCCATGGGTCTAGGCACATGTGCCACTCTCTCCTGGCACTTGCCCCTCTTTCCCTGCCCCCACATGCTTTTTTTTGAGAAGGAGTCTCGCCCTGTCACCCAGGCTGGAGTGCAATGGCATGATCTCGGCTCACTGCAACCTCTGCCTCCCAGATTCAAGCAATTCTCCTGCCTCAGTCTCCCGAGTAGCTGGGATTACAGGCAGATGCCACCATGCCTGGCTAATTTTTTTATCTTTAGTAGAGACGGAGTTTCACCATGTTGGCCAGGCTGGTCTCAAACTCCTGACCTTGTGATCCACCCGCCTCGGCCTCCCAAAGTGCTGGGATTACAGGCGTGAGCCAGTGCCGGGCCCACATGCTTTTTAAAAAGACATCTTTAAGGCCGGGCACAGTGGCTCACGCCTGTAATCTCAGTACTTTGGGAGGCCGAGGCGGGTGGATCACTTGAGGTCAGGAGTTCAAGACCAGCCTGACCAACATGGTGAAAACCCATGTCTACTAAAGTACAAAAATTAACCAGGCATGGTGGCACACACCTGTAATCCCAGCTACTCAGGAGGCCAAGGTACGAGAATCGCTTGAACCCCAGAGGCAGAGGCTGCAGTGAGCCAAGATCACGCTACTGCACTCCAGCCTGGGTGACAAAGTAAGACTCTGTCTCAAAAAAAAAAAAAAAAAGACATCTTCAAGATGACAATACTGGCTCTTTGTATCCCAGAGAATGTTGTGCCCAGTCCTTAATTTGAATCACCACTGATCCACTAGGTTGGCTCACAATGATGACATATTTTACCTTCCTCCAGAAGGTTAAAAAAAGGCATCATTTTCTTCTGGGCCAACAAGCATTAAGAGTACAGTCAATAGGCAAGTTACAGAGGCCCATGCCCGTAATCCCAGCACTTTGGGAGGCTGAGGCAGGAGGATTGCTTGAGGATAGATGTTCAAGACCAGCTTGGGCAACAGTGATAGCCCATCACTACAAAAAATATAAAAACTAGCCAGGCATGGTGGCATGTGCCTGTAGTCCCACTTACTTAGGAGGTCGAAGCAGGATTGCTTGAGCCCAGGAATTCAAGGTTACAGTGAGCTATGATCACAACACTGTACTCCTCCAGCCTGGGTGACAGAGCGAGATCCTGTCTCTAAAAACAAAAAAAGTCAACAATTTTAAAGGAAAGGGGAGAGGAGGAAGAGAAAGATGAAAGCTATGTTTTATTTTATTGAGATAGGAATGAACCCTCTCCCTCTACCTACAAAAAGCACTGCTTGCCTCACAGACCATCTGGACTATCACAGAGAAGTTCTTGCCCATCCCAAGTGAAGGCATCATACAAACACGGATGCACATGGCTAAAGATGCACATTCAGGTCAGGTGGGCAGGCTGTGGATGGAGGGGCAATGTGTGTCACAGCTTTTGCATTCTTTATTTTTTTAGAGATGGGGGTCTCACTATGTTGACCAGGCTACCCTTGAACTCCTGGGCTCAAGCGATCCTCCTGCCTCGGCCTCCTGAGTAGCTGGGATCACAGGCACCCGCTACCACAACCGGCCTGTCATAGCTTTTGTTAAAT
Organism: Homo sapiens; assembly: GCF_000001405.40. NCBI lineage: Eukaryota > Metazoa > Chordata > Mammalia > Primates > Hominidae > Homo > Homo sapiens. The sequence goes on along the minus strand of NC_000003.12, from coordinate 123,107,387 downwards.
ACTTAAGAACTAATAAACACCATAATCTAGATCTACCCTTCTACCTCCACCCCTGGCCAAATTTGGAAATTGAAGCATAAGAAGGTAAATAATTGGTTGAAAGCTATAGAATGACCCAGAATTGTAGAGATCTGCCTCAAGTCTCTGGAAATCTAACCCAAATCTCTAAGGTTATTCTTTAAAAAAACAAAACAAAAACAAAAAAACAAGATGTAAAGCCAATCCTAACAACATCTGGATTACACAATAGAGAGAGAACATTTAAATCTACATTAATGTATGGAAAATCTAAACGTGTTCAAATGCATTAAATAAGGAAGGTGAAGAATGGAGAAAATTCTCAGGCAACCTGTGATCACCGCTGGTTACAACATGGAGCTGGGAAGGGGAGTCAAATATTAGGGTCCTGGCCTAGCTTCCCTAGAGGAAAAGTACAAGTGATCCTGGAATAGTCCCATTTCTCAGTTCGTTGGGCTCCTTTCCTTGGGAGGCCCTGGTACCAGGGAAGCTTCCAGCATCCATCAGAACTGACGGGGAATACATTACCTTTTCACTGTCAAGGTGGACAACATCTTTGGCTCCAGGATCTTCCTCCCACAGTGGGGGCCCTTTTGGATCCTTCAAAAAGGCCACTATGGACTGAGGGAAAAAAAAGAGAAGAGAAAATGCATTTTAGCCCTGAAAAGAGGGAGGTGGGGGAATCAGGAACCTGTCCTCTTTCCCTGCCTGGAGACCTGGGCACACCAGCTGCTGAGCTCAGGACTGCATGTGGCATAAGCTTGGAGGGTGTGTTATTTCCGCTGTCCACTGACATCATGGATAAGTGCCCAAAAATGCACCTCCACCACTCCCATCGGGCTTTTTCAATCACAAGACACCTTGCTCACTCCAGCCAGGTAGTCCATGCCTACTATGCATCTTCAAGGACAAAAAAGAGAAAATTTGAGACAATGAGTTGGCTTATTCAAACCAGAGACATACTAGTGCTTCTACTAAATCTCATCTCCTCCAAGAAGTCTTTCTGACTAATGGAATAATGGTCTCAGTCTTGTCCAAAGGAGACATTTCCACATTCCTGCAGCCACTAAAACTGTCATCCCATAAGCAGATCATCATACCTACTTATGACCTGCTTGGTATTTCATGATCTAAACTGGTTTTGGAGTGGATTAAATCCTGATTATCCGCCTCTGTATATGAATGAGTGAGGTCCAGGCTGGGAAGCCCCCAGGGCAGGGTGGGCACCAATGTGGCCTCACCCTTGTTGCTATACTTCTCATGCTGGGGCCCCTCTTCTAGACTGCCTGGATTGAAGATCTGACCAAGTTCTTACAGATAAAGGGCTTCGCTGGCCTTTGTTATGTGTACAATGACTCAAATCTCCACTCCCTGTGGGGAAGATGCACAGGGGCAGGGAAGAGTGGCACTGTCCTTCCACCCTCCTCTGTATCCTCTGCCACTCTCACTGGTCCAGGGCAGAAGCAGCATTCCCTTTCCCTTCAGTCACTCAGAGACGGTGCTCAAAGTCTGAGAGCCAGGATCAGGAACCAGACCCCAGCCAGATTCTGTTACTTCTGTCAACTTTGACCACGCTCCAGCGAGCAGATGCTGAACTGAGAGTGTATGTGTGTGTGTGTGTGTGTGTGTGCGTGTGTGTGGCCTGAGATGAGAAAGGGAAGTGCCCTTCTATAATAGTAAGGGTGTGCATTCAGCCCATCCACTGGTCACACACGGAGAGGACCTTATTATTTCTGGAAACTCTATTTGGAAAGAACTACTACGGGAGAATGGGAGACAGCCAAGACTTCATAGGATTTCATTCAGGTAGTGCTTCCTGCCTGTCCAAGTGGAGCTGTGAAACGCCTCCTGGCAAAAGAACAGCCATTTCTGCCACAGCAAAAGGCGGATCCACCCTTTCTCAGTCCCTTGTCAAGGCTTTGCCATGACAACATAAGGAACTATGGAATTGGCAGGGTCTTCCCGACACCCACACTCACCCACAGCTGCAGAGGCACCTGTCCACCAGGCCATGTGAGAAAGATGCTGGTAGGCACCCACCTGCCTGGGGTTCCAGAAATACCTGGTGCAGGGGTTCTTAATCTAGGGTGCACAAGGGACTTCAGGAGTCGGTGAAGCCCCAGACTCATGTGAAAACATTGACTTTGATTTGTATGCACACACGCTTTCAGGGAGAAGGTCTGGAGTTCAGTAGGTGCTCAGTGGGATCAGGACTCCAGAACAAGTTAGGAACTGCTTGCTCTGGGGGGTGTCCTGGCCCCACGCCCAGCCCTCCTCCCCCTTCTCCACCTCAGCATCAAGAAAAAAAGATAGCAGTGGATGGAAAAAGGAGATAAATGGCCTTTTAACGTAACAACTGACATGTTCGTACACACAACCTTGTTTTTCAGGTGAGGATTATTCTCACTTAACTGAAGCTGAATAACCCCACCCATAGGTTCTCTCCAAGTTGATCTAACTGGACAAGACCTCAGGGCAAAAGTCTGCAGGGAGCAGCACCTGGAAGCCCACCCTCAACTGTCCTATTCTGGGTGCTCTGAGTCCCAGGCACTGTCTGACACCACATCTGGCCTTCATAGCTGTAATCCTGGCTCACAGCTACTGGGCCCTGAGGTCATCAGTGAGTCATCTGAATCCAGACTGCCAGGCACCTCTGGCCCTTACCACTTCTATAGTAAGGATTTGGGGAGTATGTGCTAACAAGGAAAGGGCAGCTTAAAGGGGACATTCCCCACTTCGAGTTTCCTATTCTTTGCCAGTGGGGAGATAAGTTCTCACTTAACTGGCCTATGACCTCTCTAGGTGCCGTGGCACAGCGTCTGTGACCAGGCTTCTGCCCAACCATGCGGGTTGACAAAAACCACAGCCAGAACATGGGCCTGCAGGTGATGGGCCCCTCCTGTCGGGGGGTCCTCCATCTCTCTGGAGTCAGGGTCCCAGGAGAAACCCTGAATGGAAAGTTAATTAGTGACTGAGGTGGGCTCTGATCTCAGCTGTCTCAAGCTGAAAAAGCAGAAGCCATCAGCAGTCAGGGAACTGTCCTGTCCCCTTCCCTCTGCCCTGAAGAACTCCAGGGATTCTGCCCCAGTCCTGCTTGGGGATGCTGGGACTAAGAGTGCCCTCTCTCCAACTGAAACTGAAGACTCTGGCCCCGTACGATGCTCAGCCACTTCTTCACCTTGTTGATGCCTAAATCACGGGAAGGTCAAGAGAACGCTGACCTCACACGTCTGGTCTTTGTAAGAAGTGGGGCGAAGCCAGGATTCTGCCTCTCCCACCCAGACACCCAGTGGCATGCTGGGGCCACCTGGGCTCCTTGCTTCTTCTCTGCTACCACAATTATGAGGAGCCGCTCAGAACTCCCTGCTCCATAAGCCCAAGACAGATTCCTCAGAGGTCCCGGTTAAACATAAAATATACACAGCCTTCAATAACAAAACAAAACTCCAGCCCTCTTTCCATCATTGCATAAGCACTTCCCCCATCCCACCCAACTAAATCTTGTTCCTGGGGAACATGTGTTCTCTCCAAGAACTTCGGTTGACGTCTTAACATAGAATAAGAAGGGCTGAGCAACTCTAGTTGGAAGAACTTTCTAAGTGTCTAAGTAGGTGTTAAGGTGATGAGTAATCAGGCTGAGTCCCTATATAAGGTGAACGCTGTAGCAATTTAAAAAAAGAATGAGTGTTAGTGGATAAGCAAGAATGACCTGGAGAGATGGTGGGGAGAGACAGAGGGAGAAGGAAGGGCAGAGGGAGAGGGACACTGACAGCTGCACAGACAGATGGACAGATAGGAAAAATGGAAGAGACACAGATGGAGAAAGAGGGACAGATGAAGAGACAGGAGCACAGGGTCCAACCCCGTGTGGGAAACAGGAGGGTTAGGAAGTGAGTTCAAACACGTCAGGACCAGGAGAAATGTATGGCTTCAGCCAGCGCAGGACCAGAAAACAGAAGACAGGCTGGAGGAAGGGAATCCTGACCCTGAAGGAGGAGAGTTGCAGTTCAGGAGGACTAAGGGCTGGGGCAGCCGCTTTGTGATTACAAAGCATGTATAGATTACAGGATCTCATATTTCTTTCCATTTATGCTTTTCCATCTACTTCTAAATTGGATTGATAGCAGGGAACTCCTCAATGATACCCATATCTCATCTGGAACAAGCTGCATCAGCCCAAAGGTGTCAACCTGCCCATGTGCAATACCCTGTGCTAACCTGGGCATCCAGCCTGAGGGTGGCCACTACCACAGAGATGAGGGGAGGACTTTGAAGCTACAACGAAATGAGGCCCAGGCCTTTGGCAAAGAGAGAGGTGACATCACCTGCCTTACTGGACAACTGCTGATACATTCACAAACCTATTTCCAAAGCTGGGTCAATCTGTTGTGTTAAGAGCTACAAACTTTTCCACATATTCTGCTGACATATGCTCTAGAGATAAGAATCTCTCAGGTCATTTAGAAGAGCTATTTGTGCAATCTGCCCTTTCTTTTCTCAGAGAGAAAACCTGCCAGACTTTGGGCGTCCATTTAGACTCCACCATTGCTGAGAACAAGGGAGGTAAATTTACCTTAAATGTCACAGCTCGGTTATATTCAGTATGAAATGCACCATCCCTGTCAAATGAGGAGAAAAATGTGTTAACTTTAAGAATGGTTGTGAAGATACATACCTTTGGTTTCCTGCAGCATCTTAATAAGATTCAGCTTTTGAACGGAGTTCAGGATTTTTTTTTAAAAGAAATAATTGTAAACACAGGAAGAAAACCATTCTGAAATAAAATTAATCTAACTAAAAATTGCTGTTCGCTGAAAATACCAATGAAAGCATTTGGCACTTACTTGGAAATTGGAAATGCCCATGTGTACTTACTGGTAATGGAATAATTCAACCTTTTTGTCCTTCGGGCTCAGGTCAACTTTCATCTTCTTGCACAATTTTCTACTCTCTGCATCACTGGAAGACACAAATGTTGGGAACCATTTATTACCTGAAGTCCTCACAAAGGTGTTGACAGCAAAATCTGCTGGTGTCCTAAGAAATAAGTCAGGTAACTTGGAATTCTCAATAGCAGATGAAGGCCTTACTATAGATGGGCTGTGAGAGCTAGAGGGTGGAGACTAACTAGCAGGCTAGGGGCTGATCAAGAAAGACAGAGGCTGGGCGTGGGGGCTCACGCCTATAATCCCAGCACTTTGGGAGGCCAAGGCAGGCAGATCACCTGAGGTCAGGAGTTCGAGACCAGCCTGGCCAACATGGTGAAACCCCGTCTCTACTAAAAATACAAAAATTAGCCAGGTGTGGTGGTACGTGCCTGTAATCCCAGCTACTCAGGAGGCTGAGGCAGGAGAATCGCTTGAACCCAGGAGGCAGAGGTTGCAGTGAGCCAAGATCATGCCACTGCACTCCAGCCTGAGCAACAGAAAGAGACTCCATCTCAAAAAAAAAAAAAAAAAAAAAGCAAGAAAGAAAGGAAAGGAAGGGGAAAAGCAGACAGGAGCATGTGTGTCACAACTTGTGGGTGGCAACACAGACAGGTCCAGACAAAGGAGGTGACCCAGAAGCTTAGTGGGTGGACAGCCCATGGTAACAAGAAAATAAACTCCAATCCTGGCCGTTCTTTAGAATTATCAGGCAAGTTTTTAAAAAGATGGATGCCCTGGCCTTCCCCTGATTATCAATTTGGAATCTCTGTTGGGGGTGGACAAGCAAGATTTTTGTTTTTGGAGCTCTGACATAGGCTATCTGCTATATACTACGTGACCAAGGTAAGAGGAAAACATGCTACCATGTTGAAGAAGTTATGAAATCTGGCCAGGTATTGACAAAAGACAAAAGGAGAAAGGGCCAGGCTGTGGTTAAAGGAGCCCCTCCCTTGGCATCTGGGATATTACACTCTCTTCCAATAAGAAATGCCTGTGAGGTGCCATTCCCTGTTTACAAAGCACTCACGCACAACCTCATCTCATCTTGGTGCCCTGCCTGTTAGAACAATGGATTTCAATGTGTGGTCCCTGAATCAGTGGCACCAGCATCATCCAGGAACCTGTTGGAAATGCAAATTATCAGCCCCATCCCAGACCTACTAAATTAGAAACCCTGGGGATACCTGAGCAATTGGGTTTGAACAACCTTCTAGGTGATTCTGATGTGTGCTCAAGTTTGGAAACCACTCATTGCATTAGACTAGCTCCTTCACTGGCTCATGTTCTTCTCCCCTACCTCCATAAGGTTTGGCTCCCCTGTGCCCTAAACCAGTCCCTTAGAGACCTGACCTGTTCTCAACAGCTTCCCCATCCTGCCTGCACTCAGCCAGTCAGAGAGCTCTTGTTACCTGGGGGCCATCTCCCCAGCCCTGAAAGGACTCAGTAAGGGCATCTCGGCTACCCAATGCCCACTGGTCACCACTGACTACACAACTGGAGTCATCTTTTGGGGAACTTTGTTGGGACAGGTACGACAGCCACCTGAGGCAAGGCGCTGTATCCCCCAGTTGCTTACATGCCTCACCTCCACCAACAGCCATCAGCTTCACACAGCTGTGCACCAGCCCAGAACAGATGGACTAATTAAACCACTCAGCTCAATTCTAAAAGCAACACTCATCAGTGGACATGTAAAAAACGAAGGACCTCATTTTAAGTGTAAAGATGCAATTTGCAACTCAAGAAGCATGTCTTACTGGAGAGGTGTGTGGTGGTCAGAGAGGAGGAGTGTCTCCCTGCCCCCTTCCACCCCCAGGCCCAGGGGTTTCCTCCCTACTAGTCCCAGCTGTCTAGCCATCGCTGCAGCCACTGCAGCTTCCAGCCATGGGCCTGGCAAACAGTGGGGACTCATGAAATGCATGAGGAATCCAGAGAGGAAAGGCTAATGACACTGCAATAGTTCCTACCCCAAGGTGGCAAGGACATTTTAAGATAGAGTCCAGAGAGAAGGGGCAAGCTGGGAGTGGGCTCTCCAAATGGAGAAGGCAGCCCAGGGCACCCGCTGAAAACTTTCTTATCCTTAAGCCCTCTGAGGTCCACGCATGCCTCTTCTGACAACTGCTATTACAGTTCAGGTGTGCCCCGTCCCGCAGGGACTCTGTGGTGAAGCTGCATGGACAGGTGGTGGGTCTGTTTGAGAACAACTGCGAACGAGGTGCCCTTTCCCTGTTTGAGTTAATTCCCTGGGACACAGGGCTCAACTCAGGATGTTTACAACCACTCACATGGCACCTTCCTCGCTGGCCTTTGTTCTGCTATGCTCCACTGTTTCTGTGACCACCTACCGTCCACCCAACTGCAACAACAAACAGCAGCTGGGGCAGGGGCCAAGGCTGGGATGGGATGTGCATGGCCTCCCTCAGCCCCATCAGCCCCATCCTGACACCAGCAGCTGCGAAGGGCTTGCTCATTGCCTCTCCGTTCACACTGCAGTTCCTGCCTGGGGGCTCAGACGCTGCAAGGCAGCAACTGGACAGGAGAATCCCCACCCCATGCTCCTCTCTCTTCCATCAAGCCTGGCTGGCAGCCTCTGCCTGTGACTATCACAAAGCAGAGGGAGGAAACAGGGGCTTGGTTCATTTCCACGCCAATCCTGGTCCACTCTGTGGGAAACCCCTCCATGGAAAAGTCCCACGACAGCAGTCTTAGGTTCCCTGAGGGCCCAGGCAAGGCTTAGGACCAAGACTCCAAAACAACTAAGTTGGCTGGTAGAGCTGGGGGCACAGAGGCACCCCTGCCTGTTCTTCAGCGTGGCCTCCAAGTTTCAGCCCGGTGCACAGCCTCCTGCCTCACTCCACCTGAGCAAGCGCCCCACGAGCCCTCACTGCAGACTCTGTGCCACCTTCTTTGTTAGGTTATGTAACATTC